>NC_000006.12:21575151-21878181 GCF_000001405.40 Homo sapiens
GCCACTGCACCCGGCTTGTTTTTTTTTTTTTTAGACAGATTCTCACTCTGTCACCCAGGCTGGAGTGTAGTGGTACAATCTCAGGTCACTGCAACCTCCACCTCCCAGGTTCAAGCAATTCTCCTGCCTCAGTCTCCTGAGTAGCTGGGATTACAAGCGCCCACGACCATGCCCAGCTAATTTTGTATTTTTAGTACAGATGAGGTTTCACCATGTTGGCCAGGCTGGTCTCGAACTCCTGACCTAAAATGATCCGCCCCCCTCGGTCTTCCAAAGTGCTGGGATTACAGGTGTGAGCCACCGCGTCTGGCCATAACTTTCTATATTACTGGATTTGATGTATTAATATTTTGTTGAAAATTTTTGCCTCTGCGTTCATGAGGAATTTTGGAGTGTAATTTTCTCTTCTTATAATTTCCTTGTCAGATTTGGTATCAAAGTTCTGCGGCATCATAAAATAAATTGTAAAGCATCTTTTCTTTCTCTGGTTTTTGAAAATTTTATTGTAAAATTGGTGTCATTTTTTCCCTTAAATTTGTGGAAAATTCACAAGTGAAGTCATCTGAGACTTGTGTTTCCTTGGAGAGAGAGTTTTTACATTATAGATTTAATTACTTTAATAGATATAGAATCATTCCGATTTTCTTCCTTTTTGTACTAATTTTTGTAAGTTGTGTTTTGCAAGGAGTTTTCCCACTTTCTTCAAGTTGTTAATTGATTGGCATACAGCTATTTATTATATTTTTTCATCTTTTTAATATCAGTGTAATCTGTATGTATGCACGTTTTCCATTCATGATATTGGTAATTTGTGCTTTTTTTTTTTCTCTTGATCAGTCTTGCTAGGGGTAGTGATCACTTCCAAGAGCAAACTTTTATTTTCAGTACATCTGCTTTCTATTTCATTGATTTCTGCATTTTTCTTTATAGTCATTCTTCCTTATACTTTCCTTGGGTTTAATTTACTCTTTCTAGTTTCTTCAGTTGGAATCCAAGACATCTTTGATTTTATTTTCTAACACATGCATTTGAAGTTGTAAATTTTCCTGTGAGAGGCCAGGTGCAGTGGATCACGCCTGTCACCCTACCACTTTGGGAGGCCAGGGTGGGCGGATCACCTGAGGTTGGGAGTTCGAGACCAGCCTGACCAATATGAAGAAACCCCGTCTCTACTAAAAATACAAAATTAGCCGGACGTGGTGGTGCATGCCTGCACTCCCAGCTACTCGGGAGGCTGAGGCGGGAGAATCGTTTGAACCCAGGAGGCAGAGGGTGGTGAGCCAAGATCATGCCATTGCACTCCAGTCTGGGCAACAAGAGGGAAACTTTGTCTCAAAAAAAAAAAAAAAAAAAAAGTCCTGTAAGTGCATCCATTTTGATATGTTGTATTGTCATTTTCAATATGTTCAAAATAATTACTAGCTTCTAATGTGATTTCTTCTTTCAAGTGTTGGTTATTTAAAAGTACATTGCTGAACCAGGCGCGGTAGCTCACGCCTGTAATCCCAGCACTTTAGGAGGCCGAGGCGGGCGGATCACGAGGTCAGGAGATCAATACCATCCTGGCTAACACGGTGAAACCCCATCTACTAAAAATACAAAAAATTAGCTGGGCGTGGTGGCACGCACCTGTAGTCCCAGCTACTTGGGAGGCTGAGGCAGGAGAATCGCTTGAACCCAGGAGGTGGAGGTTGCAGTGAGCAGAGATTGCGCCACTGTACTCCAGCCTGGGCAACAGAGTGAGATTCTGTCTCAGAAAACAAAAAACAAAAACAAAACAAAAAAACATTGCTGGTGGGGTGTGGTGGCTCACACCTATAATCCCAGCACTTTGGGAGGTCAAAGCAGGTGAATCACTTGAGCCCAGGGGTTCAAGGCCAGCCTGGGCAACATGGGCAACCCTATCTTTACAAAAAAAATACAAAAAATTAGTTGGGCATGGTGGTGTGCGCCTATAGTCCCAGCCACTTGGGAGGCTGAGAGGTAGGAGCCTGGGAGGTTGCAGCTTTAGTGAGCTCTGTTCATGCTACTGCACTCCAGCCTGGGTGACAGAGTGAAACTCTGTCTCAAAAAAAAAAAAAGTATGTTGCTGGCTGGGAGTGGTGGCGTGCTCCTGTAGTATCACCTACTTGGGAGGCTGAGGCAGGAGGACGGCTTGAGCCCAGGAGTTCAAGGCTGCAGTGAGCTGATTTCACCTGTGAATAGCCATTGCACTCCAGCCTAACACAGTAATGCTCCATCTCTAAAATTAAATAAATAAACAACAAAAAAATGTAAAGTATGTGGCTTACTTTTCAAACATTTTGGGATATTCTGATTACCTTTTCATTGTTAATTTTCAGTTTAATCCCACTGTCACTAGAGATACACTCTGTGAAATACCAGTCTTTTGAAATTTACTGAAATTTGATTTACGACATAAAATTTAATCTCTTTTGATAAGGATTTAAGGACTGTATCTGCAGTGTTTGGTACATTGCTGTATCCAAGTTAATTACGTCAAGTTCATTGACAGTGTTGTTCAAATCTTCTATATCCTTACCGATGCTTTATTGTTTTGATCTGTTTGTTACTATGTCAATCCATTTGTGATGCTGAAATAAAATACCTTAGACTGGGTGATTTATAGACAACAGAAGTTTATTTCCACAGTTCTGGAAGCTAGGAAGTTCAATATCAAGGCACCAACAGATTCAATGTGTGACGAAGGCTCACCCTGCTTCATAGATAGTGCTTCTTGTTGCATCCTCACATGGCAGAAGGGGAAGAAAGGGCAAACAGACCCTCTCAAACCCTTTCACAAGGACACTAATCGCATTCATGTAGGCAGAACTTCCATCGTCCAGTCAACCCCCAAAGGCTCCACTTCCCAACACCATCACATTGCAAATTAAGTTTCAACATATGAATTTTAGGGAGAAAAATTCAGACCACGACAGATATTCAGTAGTGTTACAGTCTTCCACTTTAATTTATAGTTGTTTATTTCTCTTTCTAGTTCTGTCATTTGTCCACTATAGTTTAAAGCTATGTTATTAGGTGCACACAAATTTTTTATTATCTTCCTCTTGACCCTTTATTTAACTGTTTCTTTACCTCTAGAAATATTTCTTATCTTAAAGTCACTATAATTATAATATAGACAAATCAGCTTCCTTTTGGTGTTTATATAGGATACGTTTACCTATTTATTTTTATTTATTTTTTTTTTTTTTGAGACAGGGTCTTGCTCTGTCACCCAGACTGGAGTGCAGTGGCACAAATCTCAGCTCACGGCAACCTCTGCCTCCCAGGCTCAAGCCATCCTCCCACCTCAGCCTCCCGAGCAGCTGGGACTATAGGCTCACGCCACCAAACCTGGCTAATTTTTGTACTTTTTGTAGAGACAGGGTTTCATCATGTTGCCCAAGCTGGTCTCAAACTCCTGAGCTCAAGTGACTGCCCACCTCAGCCTTACAAAGTGCAACCTATTTATTTTTAACTAGTCTGTATTCTTATATTTAAAATGTGACCTGTAAACAGCATATAGTTGAGGCTTTCTAAAAGCCAATTTGGCAATCTTAGCCTTTTAATAGGAGTGTTTAGTCCATTCATATTTAATGTAGTTACTGATTTGGTTTGCTTATAAGTCTATAATCTTGCTATTTGCTTTTTATTTGTCCTGCCTATGCTTTGTTCATTTATTCTGTCTTCCTTGCCTACTTCTAAATTAATCAAATATTTTTAATATTCTACTTTATCTCCTCTATTTTTAGTTATATTTAAAAAAAAAATTTTTTTTTTTGAGATGAAGTCTCGCTCTGTCATCCAGGCTGGAGTGCAATGGTGCAATCTCAGCTCACTGCAACCTCCACCTCCCAGGTTGAAGCGAGTCTGCTGCCTCAGCCTCCCAAATAGCTGGGATTACAGGCGCCCACCACCATGCCTATCTAATTTTTGTATTTTTTATAGAGACTGGGTTTCACCATGTTGGTCAGGCTGGTCTCAAACTCCTGACCTCAGGTGATCCACCCACCTTGGCCTCTCGAAGTACTGGGATTACAGACATGAGCCACCATGCCTGGCCTAAATTTTTTTTTAATAAACTTTTTTTTAATTAATTTTTTTTTCAAAAAGACAGTGTCTCACTATGTTGCTTAGGCTGGTCTCAAATTCCTGGGCTCAAGCAACCCTCCTGCCTTGCCCTCCCAAAGTGCTGGGATTGCAGGTGTGAGCCACCATGCCCAGCCAGTTATATCTTTTTGTATTGTTCTTTTAGTGATTTAATCGCTACCCTAAAAATGTGCAAATGCATACTTGACTTAGTATTGTCTATTTCCCAAACACTACAAGAAACTTACAGCAGTTTAACTCCATTCACATCCCTGCCATTCTTTGTGCTATTGTTGCCATGTATTTTCCTTCTATGCATAAACCCCATAAGACACAGTTACCATGGTTGATTGAAACAGTCAGTATCTTTTTATATTTACCCAGGTGTTTATCCCTTCTTATGCTTTTCATTCCTTCCTGTACTTCTGTGCTTCTATTTAATATTATTTTCCTCTAGCCTGAAGAATTTCCTTCAATGTTTCTTAGAGTATGTGTCTGCTAGAAACAAAATCTCTTAACTGTAATTTGCTTAATTTTTTTTAACCTTTTTTTTTTTTTTTTTTTTTTTTTTTGAAACAGAGTCCTGCTCTGTCCCCTAGGCAGGAGTGCAATGGCACCATCTCCGCTCACTGTAACCTCTGCCTCCCAGGTTCAAGACATTCTCTTTCCTTGGCCTCCTGAGTAGCTGGGATTACAGGCACATGTCACCATACCCAGTTAATTTTTTGTATTTTTAGTAGAGACGGGGTTTCATCATGTTGGCCAGACTAGTCTCAAACTCCTGACCTCAGGTGATCTGCCCACCTCAGCCTCCCAAAGTGCTGGGATTATAGGCGTGAGACACCGCACCCAGCCTTAACCTTCATTTTGAAGGATATTTTTAATTATTAGAATTCTAGAATCAGCATTTCATTTTGTTTAGCTTTCCAATCTTTAAAAGCATCAGTATATTGTCTTTTGATCTCCATAGTTTCTGTTAAAAAGTTAGTCTTAAGTCTTATGTTTTCTTTTAGTGTAATCTGTCATCCCCTCCTTTGACAGCTTTAAAGATTTTCTCTTTGATGTTGGTTTTCAAACACAGGTTTTTTTGTTTGTTTGTTTGCTCGTTTTTAAGCTACTTGGGGCTTACTAAGATTCTTGGACCTATAGGTTGATATGTATCATCAATTGTGTAAAATTCTCAGTAAGCATCTCATCATGTTGCTTCTGATCCATTATCTGTTTTCTCTTTATAGAACTTCAGTAACACAATGTTAAACGATATATCTACATTCCACATACCTTTTCCACTCTTTTATTTTCTCCATTTTCTCCCTGTATTTAATTTGAATATTTTCGATTGACTTGTCTTTAGATTTCCTAATCCTGTCTGCTGTGGTTTGAATGTGTTCTACAAAGTTCATGTGTTAAAAATGTAATCCCCAATCCAACAGTGCTGAGAGATAGACCTTTAAGAGGTGATTAGGTCATAAAGGCTCTGCCCTCATAAATGGATTAATGTCATTATCATGGGATTGAGTTTGATTTGGCCTTCTCTCACTCTCTCTTGAGATTTCTTGCCTTTCTGTCTTCCATGACAGGATGATAAAGCAAGAAAGGCCTCATCAGGTGCCAAGACCTTGATATTGGACTTCCCAGCCTCCAGAGCTGTGAGAAATAAATTTCTTTTCATTATAAATTACCAAGTCTCGGCCAGGCACAGTGGCTCATGCCTGTAATCCCCGCACTTTCAGAGGCCAAGGTGGGCGGATCACTTGAGGTCAGGAGTTGAAGACCAGCCGGGTCAACATGGTGAAACCCTCTCTCTACAAAAATACAAAAATTAGCCAGGCATGGCGGCAGGTAATCCCAGCAACTCCAGAGGCTGAAGTGGGAGAATCTCTTAAACCCAGGAGGCAGAAATTGCCATGAGCCGAGATCACGCCACTGCCCTCCAGCCTGGGTGACAGGGCAAGACTCTGTCTCAAAATAAATAAATAAATATTACCAAGTCTCAGGTATTCTCATGGACTAAGACACTGACTTTTGCTTTTTTTAGTTTTATGTAAAATCCATTCAATGAGCTCTTACTTTAAGATAGTGTATGGCTGGGCAGTGGTTCATGCCTGTAATCCCAATACTGTGTAAGGCCAAGGCGGGCAGATCATTTGAGCTAAGGAGTTCAAGGCCAGCCTAGCCAACATGGTGAAACCCTGTCTCTACTAAAAAACAAAAATTAGCTGGGCGTCGTGGTGGGTGCCTGTAATCTCAGCTACTCAGGAGGCTGAGGCAGGAGAATCACTTGAACTTGGGAGCAGAGGTTGCCAGGAGCTGAGATCGTGCCACTGCACTCCAGCCTCAGTGACAAAGGGAGACTGTCAAAAAAAAAAAAAAAAAAAGATAGTGTACTTTTCATTTCTAGAATGTCTATTTGTTTCTTTGTTAAATAAAGACTCTGATTCTTGGCCAGGCCCGGTGGCTCATGCCTGCAATCCCAGCACCTTGGGAGGCTGAGGTGGGTGGATCACCTGAGGTCGGGAGTTCGAGACCAGCCTGACCAACATGGAGAAACCCTGTCTCTACTAAAAAAAAAAAAAAAAATTCAAAATTAGCCAGGCGTGGTGGTGTATGCCTGTAATCCCAGCTCTTCGGGAGACTGAGGCAGGAGAATCACTTGAGCCCGGGAGGTGGAGGTTGCGAGGTTGCAGGGAGCCGAGATCACGCCATTGCACTCCAGCCTGGGCAACAAGAGCAAAACTCTATCTCAAAAAAAAAAAAAAAAAAAAGACTCTGATTCTCTGTTTAAATGTTTCATCTTTTCATTTACTTTTTCCATATTTTCTTCTATGAAAAAAATTATAATAAAGTCCATGTCTGCACTTTAATATCTGGATGATCTATAGGCCTGCTTCTATTGTCTACTTTTTCTCTTGATGTATATTTACCTGCTTCTTTGCATATCAAATAATGTTGTAGGATGAACCTTGTATATAAAATTACTACACACATTGCAATTGTTACTCTTTCTCCACCCAGAGAGAATTTGTAGTTTTGTCTGTTAAGTGGATAAGGTGAAGGACTGATCATTTCAAGCCAACCAGGAATGGCATCAGTTTGGGGCTGGCTTGCACCTTTAGTTAGATGCAGCTTATATGTGTTTTCAACTATCTTAGGGCCAGAACTTCTTATGTTTGTTGCAGACTCCCCCCTCCATGGAATTTGTCTCCTAAGTACCAACAGACCTCTGGAGATTGTATTCTGCCATTCTTGCCCAGCCTCTTTTGGGGCATAGCCTACCTGTAGTCCATTGATTCGGAGACTGGTAGGTCTCTCTCTATTTCCTCCACCTTGAAAGTTCTGTCCTTCAGAGGTTTGGGGCTTAGCTCTTTATTTTCTCTTCATCCAGGTTCAAAATCTGGCAAATCTTTTGAAAGGGAGATATTTTGTTTTTCTTGTTTTGTATTTTCTTGCCTTGAGCATGACTTGGCCTCCAGTTGATTTCTGTCTGTCTTTGTGGCTCAGCCTACCAGTCTGCTATACTGCCCTAGCATTCAGTGAGTAATCTGTGAGGAAAACAGCTATTCATTTGATGATCTTGTAGATTCCAATTTGTCCATGCTGACTCAACTGGCAATAAGACAATTCTGTTTTTTCCCTTTAGTACAGTTGCTTGCTCTGTCTATGAAAGCCTGTGTCCAGACTCAGAAAATGCCCCAGGCAAGACAATGGCCAGCAATCTAGGTTCATATAACAAAGACATTTCTCTCTCTAGAATTTATTTCTTCCAGTCTCATATGCATCTATATATCTTTGTTATCTTTAATGTAAAATGTCTTTTTTCTAGTTGTAATTGCTTTCTGTTTTTACTACATTGTACTTAAAAGCGGAAGTATTCACATCTAACGACTTTTTGGAATCTTTAAAAAAGAACAGTATCTATAGTTTCCGTTTTTGGTTATGTCTTTTCCTGGTTTTGTTATTAGGGCGATACTGGATTCATAAAATGATTTAGGGAGGATTCCTTCTTTCTCTGTCTTGTGGAATAGTGTCAGTAGGATTGGTACCAATTCTTTTTTGAATGTCTGGTAGAATTCAGCTGTGAATCCATCTGGTTCTGGACTTTTTTTTGTTGGTAACTTTTTAAATTTCCATTTCAATCTCACTGCTTATTGGACTGGTCAGGGTATCTGATTCTTCCTGATTTAGGCTAGGAGGGTTGTATCTTTCCAGGAATTTATCCATCTCCTCTAGGTTTTCTAGTTTATGTGCGTAAAGGTGTTCATAGTAGCCTTGAATGATCTTTTGTATCTCTGTAGTGTCAGTTGTAATAAATATCTCAATATCTCCCATTTCATTTCTTTTTTTTTTTTTTTTTTTTTTGAGACAGAATCTCACTCTGTTGCCCAGGCTGAAGTGCAGTGGTACAATCTCAGCTCACTCCAACCTCTGCCTCCCAGGTTCAAGCGATTCTCCTGCCTCAGCCTTCTGAGTAGCTGGGATTACAGGCGCATGCCACCATGACTGGCTAATTTTTGTATTTTTAGTAGAGATGAGGTTTTACCATGTTGGCCAGGCTGGTCTCGAACTCCTGAACTCAGGTGATCTGCCTGCCTTGGCCTCCCAAAGCACTGGGATTACAGGCATGAGCCACCGCACCTGGCCCCATTTAATTTCTAATTGAGCTTATTTGGATTTTCTCTCTTCTTTTCTTGGTTAATCTTGCTAACAGTCTATCCATTTTATTCATCTTTTCAAAGAACCCGCTTTTTGTTTCATTTATCTTTTGCATTCTTTGTTTGTTTGTTTCAATTTCTTTTGGTTCTGCTCTGATTTTGGTTATTTCCTTTCTTCTGCTAAGTTTGGGTTTGGTTTGTTCTTGTTTCTCTAGTTCCTTGAGGTGTGACCTTAGATTATCCATCTGTGCTCTTTCAGACTTTTTGATGTAGGCATTTAGGACTATGAAGTTTCCTCTTAGCACTGCTTTTGCTGTTATCTCAGAGGTTTTAATAGATTGTATTACTATTGTCATTCAGTTAGAAGAATTTTTTAATTTCCATCTTGATTTTATTTTTGACCCAGTGATCATTCAGCAGCAGGTTACTTAATTTCCATGTATTTGCATGGCTTTGAAGGTTCCTTTCGGAGTTGATTTCTAGTTTTATTCCACTGTGGTCTGAGAGAGTGCTTGATATAATTTCAATTTTCTTAAATTTATTGAGGCTTGTTTTGTGGCCTATCATATGATCTATCTTAGAGAAAGTTCCATGCACTGATGAATAGAATGAATATTCTGCTGTTGTTGGGTAGAATGTTCTGTAAATATCTGTTAAGTCCGTTTGTTTCAGGGTATAGTTTAAATCCAGTGTTTCCTTGTTGACTTTCTGTCTTGATGACCTGTCTAGTGCTGTCAGTGGAGTACTGAAGTTCCCCAGTATTCTCGTGTTACTTTCTATCTCATTTCTTAGGCCTACTAGTAATTATTTTATAATTTGGGAGTTCAAGTTAGGTGCATATATATATAGAATTGTGATATTTTCTTGTTGGACAAGGTCTTTTATCATTATATAATGTCCCTCATTGTCTTTTTAAACTGCTGTTGTTTTAAAATTTGTTTTGGCCGGGCACAGTGGCTCATGCCTGTAATCCCAGCACTTTGGGAGGCCAACACAGGTAAATCACCTGAGGTCAGGAGTTCAAGACCAGCCTGGCCAACATGGGGAAACCCCGTCTCTACTAAAAATACAAAAATTAGCTAGGTGTGGTGGCAGATGTCTGTAATGCCAGCTACTGGGGAGGCTAAAGCAGGAGAATCACTTGAACTTGGGAGGCGGAGGTTGCAGTGAGCTGAGTTCACACCATTGTACTCCAGCCTGGGCGATAGGAGTGAAAGTCTGTCTCGAAAAATAATAATAAACAAAAAAATAAACTTTGTTTTACCTGATATAAGAATAGATACTCCGCCGCTGGGCGCAGTGGCTTACGCCTGTAATCCCAGCACTTTGGGAGGTCAAGGCAGGTGAATCACCTGAGGTCAGAAGTTCAAGAGCCAGCCTGGCCAACATGGTGAAGCCCCGTCTCTACTAAAAATACAAAAATTAGTCGGGCGTGGTGGTGGGTGCCTGTAACCCCCGCTACTCGGGAGGCTAAGGCAGGAGAATCGCTTGAACCCGCGAGGTGGAGGTTGCAGTGAGCCAAGATCATGCCACTGCACTCCAGCCTGGACGACAGAGTGAGACTCCATCTCAAAAAAAATAAAATAAAAAAAAAAAGAATAGGTACTCCTGCTCGCTTTTGGTGTCTATTTGCATAGAATGTCTTTTTCCATGGGGTTATTCAATTTTAGCTAACTCCCATATACACTATGGGCATTGGTGAAAATACTGACTGAATTTTTAATAAAGATCTAGAGTCATTAAGAAAAAGTTACCTTCCTGCATGAACTTATATTTTGGCATCTATCAAATGGCATTGTAATTAATACAACTCTGACCTCTATTACTGCATAACAAACTACCCAAAGCATAGTGATTTAACGCAACTTATTAGTTCTCATAATTCTGTGGGGTGTCAATCTGAGTGATTCTTCTGTTGTACCCATCTGGAATCGCTCCTGTGGCTGCAGTCATCTGACAAACCAACCAAAACTGGAGAGTCCAAGATGGCCTCAGTCACATGCCTGGGATGCTGGCCTTGGAGGGGCACCTTGGTTTTCCCTATGGGGCCTTCAATCCTCGAGTAAGATCAGCTGCTGAAGGTAGTTCACAACATGATGTTTTCATGGTCTCACTGGAGTAGGTTCACAACACGACGGTTTCAATGGACAAACCCCAGTACATGGGCACTTGTGAAGTCTGTTTGTCTCATGCTTGCTAATGCCCCATTTCCCAAAGCAACTCAGTGACCAAATCCAGAATCAGAGAGAAAAAGGTCCACATAAAAGCACACGTACTAGGAGGACGATTTATTACAAGAATCTACCACATCCACTGTAAATTTAAGAACTCAGAATACAAGTAGCATCCTCATTATTTAGCGTTTGCCTGCCACCCATAGTGCATAATTCACACCTAGGCAGTAGTACTCCTAGGGAGAATTTTTAAATTTTTGGACAACATTTTGGGTGTTCTAGTGAAATACAGCCCTACCATGCATATTTGAAATGTATATTATCTTATTATAAATTACCTACTGTGTATTTCTCCTTTAACATTGTAGTTTGAACATTATGGTTTCTTTTTTAATTTTGTGCATAGTAAGTTACGTAATCCACAGATTTTATTTCAGGAGAGTAAAGTTATATTACAAAATATTTGTTACAATAAGGCAGCGGTTTGGGTCTGATATTTTTGAAATTAATGAGTTAAGTTTGAGTGTTTTAAGTACTAGCCTTCAGTTATTTTTGAATCGTGATAGCCAGATAAAGTGTCACTAAATTATTTTTTTAACTTGGAATGTGGGACAGGAAGGATGGAGTTTCATGCTTCAGGAAGCAGTGAAAAATCACAAAACCTCTGTACTGCTAGACCCAACACTTTTCCAGATCCCCAAACTATCTCTATCACCCTCCTTTCATGGCAAATTTGCATATGCATTATTGTCAGAATTTTGAACTTATTTTACAACCATATACACAGAATTCTTTTCTAGCTTGCTGCTTAACTGAACAGATGGTGCAGTTTCCCAGCCCAGCAGCTGGAGGGGACCGAGGATGCGCTCGGCACACAGTAGGAGCACCATAAACGTTGATTGACTGAGTTCATTGAGGCGGTTGACGCCAGGCCATCCACTCCCACGCGGTACTCTTATCTTTCTCCAGGCCCACACCCCTGGCCCGAGAGGCGGTAGCTGGGAGCAGATGGCGAGTCCCGGGTGCCAGGTGTACTGCACTCCAGGCGCGGTCTGGGGCACTGGGTTCTACGGTCCCTGCCCCACCCCTCCCATCCCTATGAGTTCCCCCAAAGCTGTCTGCGCCAAGTGTGACGTCTGACTACGGCGGGAACATGGGAGGGGAAGGGCTGGAAGAAAGGAGATCGGTTGCCTGGCGAGGGGGCCCGTGCGTCCTACAGTCGCTACCCGCCACGCACGCGTCCCTCTCCTCCTGACCCGCGTCACTTAGCAGCCAATGCGGTCTCCGTGCCTTCCCACTTCCCCGCAATCAAGCGCCTTTCTTCCTCCGCCTCCCCTCTTTCTGTTATCTGACATTTTGCTCTGCTTCCCTCTGCCCACTCCCCAGCGGGATTCCCTCCCTGGCAGACGCGCGCGCCCCAGCCCGCCCTCGCACAACCTCCAATAGCAGGTCAACTGGCTTGTAACGCTGGCTTAGGGTTGCTCTTGAAGTGTTTTTCCAAAAGCGAAATCACCCGCTTTCCCCCACGGGGCTAAAACTGTAATTGCAACAACGGGCTGTTGCGTTGGGGGTGGGAAGCCCGTCGGGCGTGCCCCACCTAGACCGCCTGCTGGGGCCACTGGGGTGGTTTTGCCGCCCCCTCAACCCCTGCCACCCCGGGTCGAGTAGGCAGCTCCACCCGGACGCTTGCGCCAGGGCCTGACTGCCGCGGCTGCCAGCGGAAAGGCAGAGACCAGCTGATCCAAGGAGGACAAAGCGAGCCGAGACCTTCCGCAGAGCTTGGCTTCCTCGTAACTGCGCCCAGGGCGCAGCCTCTCCCTGTTAACTACCTGCCATATGTTCCCTTCTCTCAGACCCGAAACCGCCTCCTACAGGTGCTGGGGACTGAATCTGGAGCTTCGGGCGCGGCCCTTGACAAGGGCGCCTGGCACCCTGGGGCGCCTCCGTGGCCCTCGCAAACTCAGAGAGCCCCCACCGTCCAGTCTTTCCTGCACGAGCGAGGGATCGAGGGAAGGCGCCAATGCACGTCTGTCCCTCCGTGATCCGCGCAGAAGGGACGCTTGAAGACTGGGGTGCAATGAATTGTCGACTTCCCTCAGCTCTCAGCCCTTTTCCTCCCCCCGCGCGCCGTGCACGCGCAGCCTGCTCTGCCCTTCTGAAAGAGACGCTGCAGCTGCGCTCTCAATGGGGCCTCAGCCTGCGGGGTCCGGGGAGGGGATGAAGTGGGTGGTTGCCCAGCCGGTGTACGAAGGTCGTGTGCCTGCCGAAGAGTGGGTCCCACACGCACAGCGCGCGCCGTACCAACCAAGCAAGGCTCACAGAGAGCATTTAGTCGTCCAGAGCAAAGGATGCTGGGCACTCAAGAGAGCAGGGGGCCAAGTGGCTGTCAGTTCTGGTCAGTGACGGAACTGGACAGCATCTCCAAGGGCCAGGGGATGGGGTAGGAGGACGGAGGAGCCAAGCTCCTGGGAAACGACCCCCCCAACCTATCCGCGACCGGTTGCAAATTCAAAGGAGGGCTGGGAGCCCGCGAGGGTGCGGGAGGTGTCCTCGCTTGGGCTGCGTCTGCGCCCGCGTTTGTGTGTGTGTGCGCGCGCGTGTCTTCAGCTCCTTCCCCGGTCGTAAAACCTAAACGGAAGACGGGTGTTAAAATGCTGCTGACAGGATCGCCTGAAACATGTTTACAGTAGGAAGGACTTTCCTCCAGAAAGCACAGTCTGAGTCGATTCCAATTTATTTCCTCCCTGTAACTGTAAGCGAAAGGAGAGGTTCGGCTGCCGCGGCGGAGCGAGGCTGAGCACCATTAATCCTTGGCGAGCTTAAGCCAGGGAGAGCGCCGTGCCTGCGAGACCGAGTCGCTGCGCTCCGGAAGGCGTTCTGCCTGAAGGAAACCTCTTTTTTTTTTTTTTTTTTTTTTTTTTTTTTTGAGTAGGGAGTGGCCTTTGCACTGGAGTCCTTAAGTAAGGCGCGTCGTTTCTCTGCAGCCGCTCTCGGAAGCCGGAGAAACTGCATTCACTTTAGCAAGAAGACAGGGAAACTGAAATTGATAATCCCCCGAGTTGGGTTACCTGATCCAGACAGGAAGCTGGTCTAGGCTTCCCCCGTCACCCGGAGCTCCTGACAAGTGAGCAGGAGGCGGCGGGTGGTTGCCCTAAACTTTGATTTATGAAAAAAAATCAGAATTCATCGACATACCCTGTTACTCGTTGAGCGTTTAAGCCTCTAACTAAAGAAGGTACAGTGGTAGGGAGTGGTAGGGGGGTCGGGAGAGGAGGAAGGGGGAGAAGAAAGAAGACTGACTATCCCCACGATTTCCTACCTCGCCTCGCGGGCGCAGGGAGGCTCAGCGATGCCACCTGGCGGCTGCTTCTCCCCAGATTGGGAGCCGGCTGGCTGCAGACAAACCCAGGCTCTCCCCGGGTGCCGTGCCTCTGCCTCTAGAATAGAAGCAGAAGCCTGTATTCATGCTTGCAATCCAAGTGGCCCTGCAAACATTCGTCTTCTGCTTGTTTTCTTGAGAAAATCGAAGGAAAGGAATAATGAGTTGGCATTGGCATGAACAGCTTAAGCCTACTGTGTGCTAGTCACTGGTTATGAGAGGAAAATGGTACAATTGTTAGAAATGCAGGTTTCTTAACTCTTAGCTTATTCTAGTGATAAAAATAAATGCTAGGTTTCATTTACCCCAGAATCCTATTTTGATATTTTGCAAATATGAGTTATTTCCATATATTATTTTTCAATGCACGCACCCCCACCCCCATTACGCGCTGAGCCCAGTTACAATGCAATGTCATCAGCCCAAAAGGATGAAGTGCAAGTTATGTTTGTCTACTTGACTGAGAAGTAAATCAGCCTCACATGGAGGCTTCTTTTCCATAAAGTGTGGAACCAAAAAAACTGGCGCCTTTCAGTTGACAAAGGCCAATGACATCAGATTTCCCAGGGCTTCTTCCTTGTCAGGTAAAGTAACAACTACACAGTTTTTCCTCCTCTTTATTTTATTTGAACTGAATACTTGTCAGGTCTGACTAGCGCCTACAATCATAGTTTCTATAACCAAGGCAAGGCAAAATCTTGCAAATCAGTGCAAATCCAGATTTGTTAAACTAATTTCCATTCAGGTCCCTCCCTCCATGCCAAAGGAATATATTAAGCAGTGGAATAGAATCTTATTTCATCTATGCCCCATACCATTGTATGGATGTGAGATTTTATGTTGTGTAGATGTGTGAGAGCAGAAGAAATGCATTAGCAGATATTACACTTACATCTCAAATGGAATTCCATCATTTAAGGGAATAAAATAAAATACCTAATTCAAAATTGGAAATGTCTAACATCATTGCTAACAAAGACAGTTTATTATTCTAAACCAGGATTTTTTTTTTCTGCAAAATTATCTTGGCTTTCTCTTAATACAGCTAAAAGACTAGCATTAAGAATTACTTCATGTACTGCAAAGCCAGCAGAGGGAACACTGCGTACTGATTTAGTAGGGGCCACCAAATATCTGGTATTTGGGGAAAAAAATGTCAGTAATGGAGAACTGATTACAGAGCATATGAAGTTAGGGAATGAGAAGGGAGAAATCTTTTCTCATTATTTGGTATTGAGAGGTCCAACACATTCCAGTGTGCACACACTTAGTTGGTCACAAAGATGACTTTAATAAAAGGGCATTCGTCATATGTTTTCTTACATTCTAAGAGAACTAACCCATTAGAACAGATCTATTTCAGAAGTCTAGGCACTTGTGTAATATATAAATATATATGCAGTAATTATAAAGTCAATGGAAGTTACTGATACCATATTTCATCAAGTCTAAGAGGAAATTTTTCTTTTCATTTCAACTCTTCCTGAAATAAGGAGGCATCCTACATCTAGGGGGATATCACAGTTTCATTGGCAGCTTTCTTCCTTGGTGGAATGTAATATAATGGTGTGTCTTAAAATTTGTTGGATTTGTTGAAATACAGAAAATACATGTAACAAAAGAATGAGGCCAGTGGCTGTGTTTTAGTACACCCTTTAAAAAATCCATGTGTTTTAAGCAGAAACATATATGACTGCTTTAACTTCCACTCTTCCCTATCATATTCGATGATGGAAGCATAAATGACTGAGAAATATAATCAATAATGTTGATACTCAACTTGACTGAATTATCAAACTAGCTACACCCTCAAATCATTAGTTAGTACAAATTCAAAAATAAATATTCTTTTTTATTCTAGTGAAAATATTGATCTTATAGATAATAGCCCTCTTAAAATAATTTTTTTTTGTCAGATTGGTAACATTTAAGGATGTGTTTCTATGCACACCAGAGAAAATGTAGTATATAACACAGCAACACTGTTATGCAAAAAAGGTGCCTGTGTGTTTTTGGTTTGGGTTTTTCTTTTTTTAAGGATTTGTTTCTCCTTTTTTAAAAAAATTATGTAATACAAGTAGCTAATCGTCAAAAATTATTTGCTTTTACCCACAAAAACAGTTTTGCTTGTGGTTGATCCTTACAGATCCAGTCAGATGGCTACATAGGGTGTTCTTTCCAGTAAAATTCTAAGTCTGACAACCTGGGCCTATTGCCAGCCTACATACTTTAAAAGTTTGACAAGATACATAGAAATTTACTACCCAGCACTAGTTTAATCTGAATCAAAAGCCGACTTAATTATTTTGGATTGACTTTACCTAACCACTTATGGTTAGCCTGAAGAATATTAGTTTCCTATTATAGTGTTAAGGAAAGCTGATTTTTACTACAATTCTAATTTTCAGACACTGGAAAACAAGTAATTTCTGTAGCCAACGTTTATTTTGAATACCTTGGCATCCTTTCTTTGCCACATTCTTCTTAGTATTCTTCATGGAGTTCCTTTCTTTTAAAATCAATGGAATGGCAGGGTTGCCACTATTGTCCTTCTATGGTTCACATCAATGATCTGTGATTACTTTTTTTTTTTTTTTGAGATAGTCACACGCTATCACCCACACTGGAGTGCAGTGGCTCAATCTTAGCTCACTGCAACCTCCTGGGTTCAAGCAATTCTCCCGCCTTAGCTTCTCGAGTAGCTGGAATTACAGGCGCATGCATCCCTGCCCAGCTAATTTTTTAATTTTTTAATTTTTAGTAGAGACAGGGTTTCACCATGTTGACCAGGCTGGTCTCGAACTCCTGACCTGAAGTGATCCACCCACCTTAGCCTCCCAAAGTGCTGGGATTACAGGCGTGAGCCACCGCGTCCTGCCTGTTATTACTTTTTTACATAAGTGGCTATTCTGTTTTAGCCTCTTGAACAACATGCAGCTTTTACTAGGAGTGTGTCTGGCATTTGAATTAGAAAGGAAGATATTAGTATTCATTGAGGGCTTACAATACATCAGGTGCTTCATAGTCACAAATTCATTGAACCCTCACAACAACCCTCTATAAAGTAGCTCCTAGTGTTCCCATATAATAGATGAGGAAAACTGAGACTTGGCCACATCCCCATAGTTACAAACCATTAAGAAGGATTAGCAGCCAGGTCTACTATGAATCCGGAGGCCCCATTCTCTTCTGCTACCAGTTATCACCTCCTTCTACAGTTTCTCTTTGCCTTGGTTTTTCAGTTCCCTTCGATTCAAGTAACAAGAGGAAATATATAAGAAGGAAAGGAGGAAGATGGCTTTGGGAGGAGGAGAGGGAAGAGAGTGAAGCAATCTTTAATTTTGAAAACAGGGAAAACAAATATTTAGAAAGTAAAACCGATTTCCATCCTTTACATGCCATTATACATCCTATACAAAACT
The DNA here is from genome assembly GCF_000001405.40 of Homo sapiens. Taxonomy (NCBI): domain Eukaryota; kingdom Metazoa; phylum Chordata; class Mammalia; order Primates; family Hominidae; genus Homo; species Homo sapiens. The sequence continues at coordinate 21,592,871 of NC_000006.12, forward strand.
CTGGAAATCTGCCTATTGAGGTAATTACGGAGCACTACCTAATGTGTTTCAAGGGAAAGCTCCCCTGTTTGGGCTATGCAGGATTTACAGGGAGTTTAAATCATTAAATAACCATAGTTGACCCTTGCTTGGTTAAGAGAGTAAGCAATTATTGCAAAGTCCTCTTCCCTGCCTTCCACAAACAGCACAAAAACGGTTCTGAAGGGATTTACACAATACATCAACATCTGTGCTGTACCTAGAGTTGTTAAAATAATTGTGATGACAGGTGTCTAGGTACCACTTTCTTAATGGTTTTCAATATCCATTGATTTATTGTTTTGTGGCTTTCTCTTCCCCTTTACAGCTTTGGCTTTAAGAAAGAGCTGGGGAACAGATTTTGCACCAGAGGCTGATTCTTTATTCCAATGCTGAAAAGAACTAATAAAAATAATCACTTGGCTTTTAAGCAGAAAGCTTCCATTTACAGTATTTCACCCTTACCCCGCCCCGTTCCAAGCCCCTTGTTATCTAACATAATGGTTAGAATACATTTCCGTCTCTCCCCTTAATAATTTCATGCATTAACATCCTCTTCACACACTATACACACACGCACGCGCGCACACACACGCGCGCGCACACACACAGCAAAAGGAAAAAAGAGGCAGCAGAAATCTCAGCTGTACTTCTAGCCCTTTTAAAAAGTTTGCTCTGTAAATTGGAATGAGGTCAGATTTGGAGCTTCTCATTGCACGCGGAGATTATTATTGCATCGGGTTCCAAGCCAATGGGAAGCCCGGGGGAGGGGTTTGGCATGAGGAAGCGTTGGTTACAGCAGCTGATTGGCTGCAGCCAAGACTGTGAAAGGATAAAGAGGCGCGAGGCGGAATTGGGGTCTGCTCTAAGCTGCAGCAAGAGAAACTGTGTGTGAGGGGAAGAGGCCTGTTTCGCTGTCGGGTCTCTAGTTCTTGCACGCTCTTTAAGAGTCTGCACTGGAGGAACTCCTGCCATTACCAGCTCCCTTCTTGCAGAAGGGAGGGGGAAACATACATTTATTCATGCCAGTCTGTTGCATGCAGGCTTTTTGGCTTCCTACCTTGCAACAAAATAATTGCACCAACTCCTTAGTGCCGATTCCGCCCACAGAGAGTCCTGGAGCCACAGTCTTTTTTGCTTTGCATTGTAGGAGAGGGACTAAGTGCTAGAGACTATGTCGCTTTCCTGAGCTACCGAGAGCGCTCGTGAACTGGAATCAACTGCTTCAGGGAAAAAGAAAAAAAAAAAAAAAAGACTTGCCTGGGAGGCCGCGAGAAACTTGCATTGGAAGCTTCAGCAACCAGCATTCGAGAAACTCCTCTCTACTTTAGCACGGTCTCCAGACTCAGCCGAGAGACAGCAAACTGCAGCGCGGTGAGAGAGCGAGAGAGAGGGAGAGAGAGACTCTCCAGCCTGGGAACTATAACTCCTCTGCGAGAGGCGGAGAACTCCTTCCCCAAATCTTTTGGGGACTTTTCTCTCTTTACCCACCTCCGCCCCTGCGAGGAGTTGAGGGGCCAGTTCGGCCGCCGCGCGCGTCTTCCCGTTCGGCGTGTGCTTGGCCCGGGGAACCGGGAGGGCCCGGCGATCGCGCGGCGGCCGCCGCGAGGGTGTGAGCGCGCGTGGGCGCCCGCCGAGCCGAGGCCATGGTGCAGCAAACCAACAATGCCGAGAACACGGAAGCGCTGCTGGCCGGCGAGAGCTCGGACTCGGGCGCCGGCCTCGAGCTGGGAATCGCCTCCTCCCCCACGCCCGGCTCCACCGCCTCCACGGGCGGCAAGGCCGACGACCCGAGCTGGTGCAAGACCCCGAGTGGGCACATCAAGCGACCCATGAACGCCTTCATGGTGTGGTCGCAGATCGAGCGGCGCAAGATCATGGAGCAGTCGCCCGACATGCACAACGCCGAGATCTCCAAGCGGCTGGGCAAACGCTGGAAGCTGCTCAAAGACAGCGACAAGATCCCTTTCATTCGAGAGGCGGAGCGGCTGCGCCTCAAGCACATGGCTGACTACCCCGACTACAAGTACCGGCCCAGGAAGAAGGTGAAGTCCGGCAACGCCAACTCCAGCTCCTCGGCCGCCGCCTCCTCCAAGCCGGGGGAGAAGGGAGACAAGGTCGGTGGCAGTGGCGGGGGCGGCCATGGGGGCGGCGGCGGCGGCGGGAGCAGCAACGCGGGGGGAGGAGGCGGCGGTGCGAGTGGCGGCGGCGCCAACTCCAAACCGGCGCAGAAAAAGAGCTGCGGCTCCAAAGTGGCGGGCGGCGCGGGCGGTGGGGTTAGCAAACCGCACGCCAAGCTCATCCTGGCAGGCGGCGGCGGCGGCGGGAAAGCAGCGGCTGCCGCCGCCGCCTCCTTCGCCGCCGAACAGGCGGGGGCCGCCGCCCTGCTGCCCCTGGGCGCCGCCGCCGACCACCACTCGCTGTACAAGGCGCGGACTCCCAGCGCCTCGGCCTCCGCCTCCTCGGCAGCCTCGGCCTCCGCAGCGCTCGCGGCCCCGGGCAAGCACCTGGCGGAGAAGAAGGTGAAGCGCGTCTACCTGTTCGGCGGCCTGGGCACGTCGTCGTCGCCCGTGGGCGGCGTGGGCGCGGGAGCCGACCCCAGCGACCCCCTGGGCCTGTACGAGGAGGAGGGCGCGGGCTGCTCGCCCGACGCGCCCAGCCTGAGCGGCCGCAGCAGCGCCGCCTCGTCCCCCGCCGCCGGCCGCTCGCCCGCCGACCACCGCGGCTACGCCAGCCTGCGCGCCGCCTCGCCCGCCCCGTCCAGCGCGCCCTCGCACGCGTCCTCCTCGGCCTCGTCCCACTCCTCCTCTTCCTCCTCCTCGGGCTCCTCGTCCTCCGACGACGAGTTCGAAGACGACCTGCTCGACCTGAACCCCAGCTCAAACTTTGAGAGCATGTCCCTGGGCAGCTTCAGTTCGTCGTCGGCGCTCGACCGGGACCTGGATTTTAACTTCGAGCCCGGCTCCGGCTCGCACTTCGAGTTCCCGGACTACTGCACGCCCGAGGTGAGCGAGATGATCTCGGGAGACTGGCTCGAGTCCAGCATCTCCAACCTGGTTTTCACCTACTGAAGGGCGCGCAGGCAGGGAGAAGGGCCGGGGGGGGTAGGAGAGGAGAAAAAAAAAGTGAAAAAAAGAAACGAAAAGGACAGACGAAGAGTTTAAAGAGAAAAGGGAAAAAAGAAAGAAAAAGTAAGCAGGGCTGGCTTCGCCCGCGTTCTCGTCGTCGGATCAAGGAGCGCGGCGGCGTTTTGGACCCGCGCTCCCATCCCCCACCTTCCCGGGCCGGGGACCCACTCTGCCCAGCCGGAGGGACGCGGAGGAGGAAGAGGGTAGACAGGGGCGACCTGTGATTGTTGTTATTGATGTTGTTGTTGATGGCAAAAAAAAAAAAGCGACTTCGAGTTTGCTCCCCTTTGCTTGAAGAGACCCCCTCCCCCTTCCAACGAGCTTCCGGACTTGTCTGCACCCCCAGCAAGAAGGCGAGTTAGTTTTCTAGAGACTTGAAGGAGTCTCCCCCTTCCTGCATCACCACCTTGGTTTTGTTTTATTTTGCTTCTTGGTCAAGAAAGGAGGGGAGAACCCAGCGCACCCCTCCCCCCCTTTTTTTAAACGCGTGATGAAGACAGAAGGCTCCGGGGTGACGAATTTGGCCGATGGCAGATGTTTTGGGGGAACGCCGGGACTGAGAGACTCCACGCAGGCGAATTCCCGTTTGGGGCTTTTTTTTCCTCCCTCTTTTCCCCTTGCCCCCTCTGCAGCCGGAGGAGGAGATGTTGAGGGGAGGAGGCCAGCCAGTGTGACCGGCGCTAGGAAATGACCCGAGAACCCCGTTGGAAGCGCAGCAGCGGGAGCTAGGGGCGGGGGCGGAGGAGGACACGAACTGGAAGGGGGTTCACGGTCAAACTGAAATGGATTTGCACGTTGGGGAGCTGGCGGCGGCGGCTGCTGGGCCTCCGCCTTCTTTTCTACGTGAAATCAGTGAGGTGAGACTTCCCAGACCCCGGAGGCGTGGAGGAGAGGAGACTGTTTGATGTGGTACAGGGGCAGTCAGTGGAGGGCGAGTGGTTTCGGAAAAAAAAAAAGAAAAAAAGAAAAAAAAAGAAAAAAAAAAGATTTTTTTCTTCTCTTAATCGGAATCGTGATGGTGTTGGATTATTTCAATGGTGGGGTTAATATAGCATGTTATCCTGTCTATCTTTTAAAGATTTCTGTATAAGACTGTTGAGCAGTTTTTAAAATAGTGTAGGATAATATAAAAAGCAGATAGATGGCGCTATGTTTGATTCCTACAACGAAATTATCACCAGCTTTTTTTCATTCTTAACTCTTTAAAGGATTCAAACGCAACTCAAATCTGTGCTGGACTTTAAAAAAACAATTCAGGACCAAATTTTTTCTCAGTGTGTGTGTTTATTCCTTATAGGTGTAAATGAGAAGACGTGTTTTTTTCCTTCACCGATGCTCCATCCTCGTATTTCTTTTTCCTTGTAAATGTAATCAGATGCCATTTTATATGTGGACGTATTTATACTGGCCAAACATATTTTTTCTTTTGTCCCTTTTTTTCTTTCCTTTCTTTTTACTTCCTTTATTTCTTTATTCCTTCCTTTTCCTTTTTTTCTTTTTTTTTTCTTTTTTTTTTTTTTTTTTTGGTAGTTGTTGTTACCCACGCCATTTTACGTCTCCTTCACTGAAGGGCTAGAGTTTTAACTTTTAATTTTTTATATTTAAATGTAGACTTTTGACACTTTTAAAAAACAAAAAAAGACAAGAGAGATGAAAACGTTTGATTATTTTCTCAGTGTATTTTTGTAAAAAATATATAAAGGGGGTGTTAATCGGTGTAAATCGCTGTTTGGATTTCCTGATTTTATAACAGGGCGGCTGGTTAATATCTCACACAGTTTAAAAAATCAGCCCCTAATTTCTCCATGTTTACACTTCAATCTGCAGGCTTCTTAAAGTGACAGTATCCCTTAACCTGCCACCAGTGTCCACCCTCCGGCCCCCGTCTTGTAAAAAGGGGAGGAGAATTAGCCAAACACTGTAAGCTTTTAAGAAAAACAAAGTTTTAAACGAAATACTGCTCTGTCCAGAGGCTTTAAAACTGGTGCAATTACAGCAAAAAGGGATTCTGTAGCTTTAACTTGTAAACCACATCTTTTTTGCACTTTTTTTATAAGCAAAAACGTGCCGTTTAAACCACTGGATCTATCTAAATGCCGATTTGAGTTCGCGACACTATGTACTGCGTTTTTCATTCTTGTATTTGACTATTTAATCCTTTCTACTTGTCGCTAAATATAATTGTTTTAGTCTTATGGCATGATGATAGCATATGTGTTCAGGTTTATAGCTGTTGTGTTTAAAAATTGAAAAAAGTGGAAAACATCTTTGTACATTTAAGTCTGTATTATAATAAGCAAAAAGATTGTGTGTATGTATGTTTAATATAACATGACAGGCACTAGGACGTCTGCCTTTTTAAGGCAGTTCCGTTAAGGGTTTTTGTTTTTAAACTTTTTTTTGCCATCCATCCTGTGCAATATGCCGTGTAGAATATTTGTCTTAAAATTCAAGGCCACAAAAACAATGTTTGGGGGAAAAAAAAGAAAAAATCATGCCAGCTAATCATGTCAAGTTCACTGCCTGTCAGATTGTTGATATATACCTTCTGTAAATAACTTTTTTTGAGAAGGAAATAAAATCAGCTGGAACTGAACCCTAAATCTTGACTTTTGTCGTTATTATGCCCAATGCCTAAGATTGGAAAGGCCCTACAGTATCTGGACACTACACAATCTGCCTTAGCTTTAAAAAAATAAGTTCTCAGAGGAGTCTTGTCAAATGCTACCTTATCGAGGAACATTAAATGTCTCTTGGCCAGATTTCCTCTGACCCTGAAAATGATGGCATCAGCTGAATATGTGTCAACTCAACACATGCTTTCTAGGAATTTTCTGAGTTTACCATATTTAAAAACGCCCTTTGTCTTGGAATCTGAAAGAGGGGGAGGGGCAACGTGGACAGAATTCTTCACAGATGAAACTGGCTAGATGATCTTTTTTTCAAGTTGGTGCTCCTGGAGCTGCTTTCTCCTTGATTTGCCCATGCTTACCTCCAGCAGTGGCTGTAATTGGTTTTCGTGGGTTAAGGACAAATAAACTGTTATTATCAGTAGATTATACAGGAGGAGGCTTTTACCGATTATGAAATGCAAAACGTATGCATTTATGCATTTTTTTTCTCAAGCAGAAAGGTTGATGTGCTACAATCTTCATTTTTTGCCATGCCCAACATGGTGTTAATGTAAGAGAACTGCAGCAATAAGGATGACCTGGAGAAGCTGGCTGCATGTGGGCTCAGAGGAAAGCCCCCTCTCCAAATAGCACTTACTTTGGCTGCTGGAGATTTGTGCTTTTTCTAAGAATCAGGAAGGATTGTTGAGACTGCAAGGTGAAAAAGTACTTGGATTTCTTAAGGCCCATTACTCTTGGGTTTGGAACATACAACTTGCTAAGTGGCACTATTTCCTGTTTATTTTGAGAGTTAACAATTGCTATTAACTAACAAAAGCCATCTTCCAAATGTTAATTAAAAATGTGTCTTTTACTTGTCTTGAGTTTTTCAGCACTGGAGAGGAGGGGTTAACAAGCAGAAGTGTTTGGAAATTATCCCTTAGTCATTTGGATTGCTTGTAGATAAGGGAGTAGTATCCTGGAAGGTACATCTGGAAAAAGAGACCTTTTGAAGACTAGTCTAACAGGAGGGGGTTTTGTGGTTGTCCAACGAAAAGCAATAATGCACCCCCAAAAACCAGTATAACTTGTGTTTCAATATAATTTATCTCTTAAAGATAGCTACTAGTTTTCAACATTTTTTTCATGTGTGGTGCTCATATATTTAGTTTTAATTGCATTTGCGTTCTGCAATTGGAATTCCATTTTTTAAAATGACCTTAGAACAACATGGCATCTAAGTTTCTTCAAAGATCTTTGTAAAAGGAAGAACTCTTCTTTAGAAAAGTGCTTTTAATTTTTGTTCATTGCAGTGATAATATAATGGTTTAGCTTTTTTCAGATCCAAGGTATCAATACCATGACATAAATGAAGCCTTAAATGATGCCTTTTTTAAATGATGCATCTCTTTTAAAGCATATTTTTATTTCGGAGGGTTCTCCTGTTAGAACTGTTTCTTTTCCCTTGACTCTCTATGTAAAAGCAGATGTTTTAAATATTTCCTTTAAGAATTTTGATAACATTGGTTTAAAAATAAAAGCTGAAATGTGTGTGTCCTTCCTGTCAGGTGGTAAAGTAAGAAGCATTTTTGTACAATGTCTTTTTCTCTGAGTCTGTTTTCATTCGTAAGGGATACTTACTTGTTAGGTGGTACAAGGCATCCTAAACCTGCGAAACCAAACAGTTTAGTGTGATTTTTTTCTTACAGATAATTTGGATCAATAGAAAAGAGTAAGTTTCAGATTTTCTTTTAAGAATATCCAGCAATTGCTTCTGGCCCTGTGTTCCATCACAAATGTGAATCAGTGATACTTGCTTAAGCAAGTTTTGTCAATTCCTAGTTGAATTCCTTTAAGTGCCAAGAAAAAAAATAAAAAGCATGTAAGCTGAGAGGGTGGGCCCAGCTCCTGGGAAGGCTTTTAGGGTTTGTGTTTACCCTGCTTTTGAGGGTACTAGGGGAGCTAAGGGATTCTGAGGAAAGCAAGAAAGCAAAGGGTTAAATGGACATCAACATTTACCAAGGGTTTCCTGTGTTTGTAGGGTACACACAAATTAGAAGACATGGTCTGGGGAATACTATGGGTCAGAATGCTTAATCATGAATTTAAAACAAATTCAGGGATCCCAAGGAAGTATTTGAAAAGAGAGAAATGTTTAAAAAAAAATTTTTTTTTTTTAAGAATACAAACCCATCTGGCCGGGCGCGGTGGCTCACGCCTGTAATCCCAGCACTTTGGGAGGCCAAGGCGGGCGGATCACTTGAGGTCAGGAGTTTGAAACCAGCCTGGCCAATATAGCGAAACCTCCTCTCTACTAAAACTACAAAAATTAGTTGAGCGTAGTGGTGCACGCCTGTAATCCCAGCTACTCGGGAGGCTTAGGTAGGAGAATCTCTTGAAGCCGGGAGGCTGAGGTTGCAGTGAGCCAAAATCGCATCAGTGCACTCTAGCCTGGGTGACAGAGTGAGATTCTGTCTCAAAAACAAACAAAAAAATACAAACCCATCTACCCATTTGGATTTCTCAGAGTGTAAGGTTGGTATGCTTTATTTCTCTTTCTGGTGGTTTTTGTTTTGTGCCTCCTCCTGGCACCCCTCCTATTAAGGCCTACAAAATACCTCTCTAACCCATATTCACTAGGGTTTACTCCTACCCCTCTGATTCTTCCTGAAAAATGATATCTCCATACGCATTTCTCAATTTTCACTATCATTTGAAAGCTAAAGTGGAGGGGTGGGAAGAAAGCATCTCCAGACATCCGCATGGTGTTTCAGGCTCTGCCAAGTGTCTACCACCATTCCCCTGTGCCCAGGATAAAGTGCAGAATTCACATGCTGCTCTTCAAGGCCCTGCACAAAAGGGTTTTAAGCCCAACTTTCCAGTTCTTCCAAATTGCAGTATAACCAAACTGCTCTTTCCTGATAGACTGGAATTCTTGAAGGACAGAAACTAGGCATTGAATACTTCTTGCATTCCCCAGTTTGCTTTCCCTGCTTCTTTTCACATAATAAATGCTAAATTCTTATTTCTTGACTTTACATGGTTTCCATGGGTTCCTAAGAGCTTCCAACAGGCATTTGCATTTTATGCTGCTTGTGGTAAGCGCCAGCGCCGGATTGCATGAAAACCTGGATTAGAATGCTGCCTCTGAGACCAACAAGCTGGAGGACCTTGGACAGATTTCTCAGCCTTTTTAAGTTTCCGTGTTTTAAATCGTCATATAGAAAGAGAGCTATCTAATGTAGACAGCTGTGTTGGGAATAGAGTGCAGCGGCACGTGTGTGACATGTCGTAATGCCTGGCCTACCCCATGGGCTCGGTGAATGCTAGAACCTGACCTCATGGGTGGTTCTAAAAAGCTAATGTGTGTAAAGCCTAACACAGTGCCAGCAACACAGAAGATGCTTTAAATTCTAAAAATGGGGAGCAAAGCAGCGTGGCCGGGGTCCGAGCTGGGGTTCTGTCCCCACTGGGCTGTCGCCCCAGCTGGACTACCACCATGGAACTCAGGGCCGAATACCTCAGGGAGAAGCTGCAGCGGGACCTGGCGGCGGAGCATGTGGCGGTGGAGGACAACACGACCCTCAACCATTGCGCCTGTAGCTTCTGGCGGTGTCGGCCAAGTTCGAGGGGAAGCCGCTGCTTCAGAGACACCGCCTGGTGAACGCGTGCCTAGCAGAAGCGCTCCTGCGTATCCATGCCTTTGAACAGAAAACCCTAATCCCAGAGCAGTGGGCCCGTGAGCGGCAGAAATGAGGGACTGGGACCTGCACAGCCATTAAATTACAAATCTGGAAAAAAAAATTTCTAAAAATAAATCTCCTGAATCAATGTTTCTCAGTCTGCTACACGAATCCCCAGCATCAGAATTACCTGGAGATTCTTGTTAAGGGTAGCGATTATACAGATCGCCAGCCACCGTCAGACTGTGGGGATGGGGCCTTAATGAGCCCCCCATAGATTTCCAGTGCTCACTGAAGTTTGGAAATCAGTACCCTCACTGTATTTTAGCATATTCTCACAATAAGTATGCAGGCGAGGGATTATGACGCCCTCATTGTTTTAACATGGAGAAATTGAGTTGAGAATGGCCCAATGGCTGATCTGAGGTCACAAGATCAGAAGTGCCAGAAAGGGTATTGGAACTCTATCTCCTGAGCCCTAGAATCAGCCTAGAACTTATTTCTCTAAATAGATGTCTTCTCCATTTCTACCCAAGGCTTGGTCCCTTGGCAAAAATTGGCAGTCCCTGCACTTCCCTCAGCCCTCTGACTCCTATCCATTTTCTCAAGGATGCCCTTCCACCATCCTTGTTAAAAGTTTAAGTTTGGGCCGGGCGCCCGTCGCTGGTGCCTGTAATCCCAGCCCCTAGGGAGGCGAGGCAGGGGGATCACCTGAGGTCAGGAGTTTGAGACCAGCCTGACCAACATGGTGAAATCCCGTCTCCATTAAAAATACAAAAAAATTAGCTGAGTGTAGTGGCACATGCCTTTAATCCCAGCTACCCAGGAGGCTAAGGCAGGAGAATCGCTTGAACCTGGGAGACAGAAGTTGCAGTGAGCCAAGACTGTGCTATTGCACTCCAGCCTGGGCAACAAGAGTGAAAATCCATCTCAAAAAAAAAAAAAAAAGTGTAAGTTTAAGTAATTAGCCAAGTTAATGTGTGTGTGTGTGTGTGTGTGTGTGTGTGTATTCCAGTTAAACAAATGTGTGCTAAAAGATGAACCCAGGGACTGATTTTTGGTAGAAGTATCCAAGGCAGAGAACAGAAATAATATAAATATAGTGCCTGGAACTTCTGCTTTGTTGTTTAAAAGGCAGAGCTTCCAGCAAGTGAGAAAATTGGAAATTATTCAGAGCACACTCAGCCTTTATAGAGAGGGCTATCGTCTACCCATTATATCCTAATGAGATTGACCGTTGGCTACAGTTAACTTGAAGGGTTTTATGGTTTCCTGCATGTGTTGTTTTCCTTCTCTATGTTAAAAAGAAGAAAAAAAAAAACTCTCACATCACTAAACGGTATTTCCCAGGGGGATGTCTGACTAGGCTGCTGCATTTTGGTTTGGGCCTTAGTTAACAATGGACCTCTATGTGTGTATGTTTGTGGATACAGGTGATAATAAATTTAGCCCATTTTATTTTCTTTTGACAGTTTCAATTCAGGGCAGTTGGTTTATGGGGTACCGCCAAACAAGCCAGGCCTAAGTCAAGTCATGGCAGGAAGTTTCTTGTAGGGCCTTCCTTTACCCTGCAGATTTTTTGTTGAAGGACAAAGTTCTAAGTCATTTGTGGACCAATATACACAGCTGCTTTGCATCATACGTAAGACATTCTAAGGGTATTCCATTTGAGTGTTTTTTTTAAAGGGCAGGACATTAAGAAACAAATGAAATATCATTTACTTAGCCCACTTACTTCTTTAGATATTTTTCCAAATACATAATTCTTTGGATTAGTTTTTAAACACATAATGAATGTGCTATTTCCTGACATAACATGCAGTTGAAAGGCAAGTGAAAACACTATTATCCTTAGTAGGTAGGCTCTCTCCAGGCAGTGAATGCCCAGCAGTGTAGGGCGATGGTTGGCTAATACATGTGATGCATGTAACTGCTTTTATAAGAGCTAAGCAGAAGGAGCCTGTTGAATGATCAGTTAGCTCCCGTTGTATATGTGGTTAATTGTTACTTTCTTTCCTACCGGCCCCTGCCCTAACTTCCTCAGATCAACACCTAAAGCCTGTGAAAATAGTCTCTTCTGGAACCCCTGACCTTCAGTCTCTGCCCCTGCTTTCTCTCTTCCCATTCCCACACTTTCTATGTGGACCTTTTATCTCTCCTGTTTGCCAATCCCCCTCAGACTTTGAATAATTTATCTGAAGTTCCTGGGAAGTTGTGGGGCTGTCTGTAGTCTCAAAATACACTGCACTTTGTTCCTTCTCTAGGCCGAGGTAGGTCCAAAAGCCTGTCTTTGAAAGAGGTGGTACTAAGTACATTGAGGGATTTACTAACAGTTTTAATTTTTTGGATGAGCACCCAATGAATCCAAAAGCTGGAGGAAAGAAAAAATAAGGGGCAAAAGATGAAGGTGAATACTACTTTGTAATTCTGATATCTCCCAAAGAATGTCAAGTAAATTAAGGGAACACTGATTAAGATTTCCAGTTCCTATTGTTATAACAATGTATTTTATACATGTCTTTTCAAATACATGAGAGTTTTCCTTGAGTAGTTACTAGAAGTGGAAAGTGCTGGATCTTAGTCTTATAGACATAGGCTTTTGACAGTTTCCGTACCCTGGAGCTGGTTAGGCGTAAAGTGGTTTGAGGAGAGAAAAACTAGTGATATGTCTAAATGAACACAGGTTAAAAAGTAAACCAAACTTTGAAACAATCATTTTAACCCCCGGAGAAGGTGAATAGATTATTTTAATATGTAAGCAGATACATCTGCAAATCATACTGAGATGATTTTTCTATCCCAAGTGTCTGATAACATATATGAATAGAAAAGCGAACAATTACAGAAACAGCCTTGACACTGACATGGTGACAAAGTATGGGGATTTTAGTACTTCCGAAATAAACATCAGAACAGAGATCAACTCTCTTCGGTCTTTTTCTTCTTCCATTAGAACTCATCAGGCTGATTCCCATTTCTGCATTACTAGCCTTACTTTTTTTTTTGCTAGGCTCTGTGATGCAAGGAACAGAATCACTCAAGTAACCTGAAATCATGGGGCTTTATTACAAAGAGACACGGGGCTTTATTACAAAGAAACACAAGACTACAAGGGAACTGAAAATGTCATGGTAGTTCTGGGAGAAATAGTGTTCAAGATCCACGGCAGCTCTGGAGAGATTAAGTGGTTACCAATTTAGCATTAAGATTATGCAGATAATTAATATTGCTCAGGTATTCTCTTAGTATTCCTGTGTGTGTTGATTTTCTCCCAATACCAAATCTTGCTTCTGTTCTCCATATTTTGTCCTTCATATTCCCTTTTAAGACAGCTCTGGGCCGGGCACGGTGGCTCAGGCCTGTAATCCCAGCACTTTGGGAGGCCTTGGTGGGCGGATCACTTGAGGTCAGGAGTTCAAGATCAGCCTGGTCAACATGGTGAAACCCCGTCTCTATTAAAAATACAAAAATTGTTGGGAGGCCGAGGCGGGTGGATCACGAGGTAAGGAGATTGACACCATCCTGGCTAACACGGTGAAACCCCGTCTCTACTAAAAATACAAAAAAATTAGCCGGGCGTGGTGGCGGCCGCCTTTAGTCCCAGCTACTCAGGAGGCTGAGGCAGGACAATGGTGGTGAACCCAGGAGGCAGAGCTTGCAGTGAGCTGAGATCGCGCCACTGCACTCCAGGCTGGGCGACAGAGCAAGACTCCGTCTCAAAAAAAAAAAAAAAAATTGGCCGGGCACTGTGGCTCATGCCTATAATCTCAGCACTTTGGGAGGTCAAGGTGGGCATATCACGAGATCAAGAGATCGAGACCATCCTGGCCAACATGGTGAAACCCCATCTCTACTAAAAATACAAAAATTAGCTGGACGTGCTGGCACAAGCCTGTAGTCCCAGCTACTCGGGAGACTGAGGCAGAAGAATCACTTGAACCCGGGAGACGGAGGTTGCAGTGAGCCAAGATGGTGCCACTGCACTCTAGCCTGGCAACAGAGTGAGACTTCGTCTCAAAAAAAAAAAAAAAAAATTTGCTGGGCATGGTGGCATGCACTTGTAATCCCAGCTACTCTGGAGGCTGAGGTAGGAGAATCGCTTGAACCCGGGAGGTGAAGTTGCAGTGAGTCGAGACGGTAACCACTGCACTCCAGCCTGGGTGACAGAGCAAGACTACATCTTAAAAAAAAAAAAGACAGCTCTGCATGGCAGTTATTTCATCAATTACTTACCAAGCAATGAAACGGCTGCTTTGGGGTTGTGTGCCTACTTTTGGACAAATCACTTATTAATGTATTATATTCTTCACTCTCCCATCCCTCTTTGTTTTGCTTTTGTTCCTAGGGTCTCATGGCCCTCATACGTCCTCTTATATTTTTTCTTTGATCTTCATATACTAAGGGAGGGTGAACCCCAGGCTTCATGGAACATCCACCCTTCCTCCTCTACCATCCACAATATCCTCATTTCAAACAGACTGGCTTGGCTTTTATCTATTTAAAATTCTAACCTTTTCCCTATAGCTCGAATTTTGGCACTCAGGCCTAGAGATATAAAGAGTAGAGATTAAATATGCCACATTCTAAAGGGAAGCCAGGTGATGCCCTTACCCCAGTAATCCAGAGCAGAAAGGATCCTACCATAGTCAGTATTCCCCTCCTCAACACGGCTCCTCCAGTCCAAATAAGCACAGGATTGGAAAAAGGGAAGGAAGAGAGCCAAGGAGTCCTGAAACATCCTCGAGGGGAACCCAGTGCTTCCTCACCCCATTCCAAAACCAAGTGACGGGAAAGTTCCAAAGGATTCTCCAGGAGAATAATTCATAAGAGAGTGGGGTGTCTGCAGGAAGGGAAGACTGGCATTTTATTTGTAGTCCGTCATCTGCTTAACCAGCTGAGTTGTTCTACCAGAGAGAGAGGGGGTCGGGAATGTGCAGATGGGCTGGAGAGGATTGTTGACTATCTGCTTTCTACCATTCGACACAGCAAGGATATGCATCTCCATGGGTCAAGTACATGGAAGCAGGAATTGATGAATCAAGAAGGTTGTGGGGAGTACTGTGGTGAGCGGGAATTAGAGTGGTATAGAAGAATTCTGTCTGGAGTTTTCCAAGGCAGAATGGACTTGGAGGAAAGAAGGACCCACCTATGCGCTCTTGGGAAAACCAGCATTTGGATGCCCACTTTTAAAAAGGCCCATCAATGGCCAGTAGGTGTTAGCTGGAGAATCAGCTCACAGCGACAGCCACAGGCCTCTAACGGTGACTGGTTAAGTAGAGGGATACTTGTATTTTTCCCTGTCCTGCATCCTTTCCCCAACACACTAGAGGAGCTAGGCTTTGAAGTAAGAGGGGAGAAAGTATCTTCCTACTCCAAGCAACTCAAGTTGACTCAGAAGTAGAAGAGAGTGACTTAATTATTCATTTCGAGACAGGGCCCCTCTCTGATCCCCAGGCTGGAGTGCAGTGGCACAATCACAGCTCAGTACAGCCTCAACTTCTTGAGCTCAGTCGATCCTCCCACCTCAGCCTCCCAAGTAGCTGGGACTACAGGCATGTGCCAACACATCTAATTTTTGTCTTTTTTGTAGAGAAGGCAGCCATGTTGCCCAGGCTGGTCTCGAACTCCTGAGCTCCAGCAGTCCTCCCACCTGGGCCTCTCAAAATGTTGGGATTACAGGTATGAGCCACTGTGCCAGGCAAGATGAGATTTAAGTCAGGTTTGAGGGTAAATTTTAAAACCGGATTAACATTAAAAAAATAATTAAAGGAGGCTGGGCACGGTGGCTCATGCTTGTAATCCCAGCACTTTGGGAGGCCGAGGTGGGCAAATCACCGGAGGTGGGGAGTTCGAGACCAGCCTGACCAACAGAGAAACCCCGTCTCTACTAAAAATACAAAATTAGCTGGGCATGGTGGCGCATGCCTGTAATCCCAGCTACTCAGGAGGCTGAGGCAAGAGAATTGCTTGAACCCAGGAGGCAGAGGTTACGGTGAGCCGAGATCGAGCCATTGCACTCCAGTCCGGGCAACAAAAGCCAAACTCCGTCTCTAAAATAAAATAATAATTGAAAGCCGGGCGCAGTGGCTCACGCCTGTAATCCCAGCACTTTGGGAGGCGGAGGCGGGCAGATCACAAGGTCAAGAGATTGAGACCATCCTGGCCAACATGGTGAAACCCCGTCTCTACTAAAAACACAAAGATTAGCTGGGCGTGGTGGCACGCGCCTGTAGACCCAGCTACTCCGGAGGCTGAGGCAGGAGAATTGCTTAAACCCAGGAGACAGAGGTTGCAGTGAGCCGAGATTACGCCACTGCACTCCAGACTGGTGACAGAGCAAGACTGTCTCAAAAAAACAAAACAAAACAAAAAAAAAAACTACATAATTTAAAGTGACTAGCAAGTTATACACATACCACAACGTTATCTGGTATTCCTTCGTTTTGTTTTGTGTCGTATCATGATGCCGATCATGTAACACTATATCCTACTGTTGGAACTGAGACAGCAAAATATAAGGAAGTCCCTGGAGAACCCCTGACTGGCCTGCCCAGTGGGAGAACGGGGTGGAGTCGCGGGAAGTTTTCACCCTTTTCAGTGGGGAAGGAAGCTGACCTCTCCTGTTCCCTGGAATTCAATCTATGAGATGGGGGCCTGTTAATAGGAAGCTCTCTCGCTTTGCTGAGTTTTTTCTTCTTTTCACCTAATAAATTCCATTTTTATCACCCTTCAAAGTGTCAGCGAGCCTAATCTTTCTTGATCGTGTGTGACAAAGACCCTGTATTCAGCTGAACCAAGGAGAAAGTCCTACTGTGTCCGGAATTGGTAGGTTCTTGGTCTCACTGACTTCAAGAATGAAGCTGCGGACCCTCATGGTGACTGTTACCGTTCTTAAAGGCGGCATGTCTGGAGTTTGTTCTTTTTGATGTTCGGATGTGTTCGGAATTTCTTCCCTCTGGTGGGGTTCGTGGTCTCACTGGCTCAGGAGTGAAGCTACAGATCTTTGCAGTGAGTGTGTTATAGCTCATAAAGGCAGTGTGGACCCAAAGAGTAAACAGCAGCAAGATTTATTGCAAAGAGCAAAAGAACAAAGCTTCCGCACTGCAAAAGGGGACTCGAGTGGGTTGCCACTGCTCGTTGGGGCAGCCTGCTTTTTTTCTCTTATCTGGCCCCACCCACATCCTGCTGATTGGTCCATTTTACAGAGAGCCCGGTGGTCTGTTTTGACAGGGCGCTGATTGGTGCGTTTACAATCCCCGAGCTAGACACAAAGGTTCTCCACTTCCCCACTAGATTAGCTAGATACAGAATGTCCACACAAAAGTTCTCCAAGTCCCCACCAGAGAAGCTAGATACAGAGTGTCGATTGGTGCATTCACAAACCCTGAGCTAGACACAGGGTGCTGATTGGTGTTTACAAACCTTGAGCTGGATACAGAGTGCCGACTGGTGTATTTACAATCCCTTAGCTAGACAAAAAGGTTCTCCAAGTCCCCACCAGACTCAGAAGCCCAGCTGGCTTCACCCAGAGGATCCCACACCAGGGCTGCAGGTGGAGCTGCCTGCCAGTCCCGTGCCGTGCGCCCGCACCCCTCAGTCCTTGGGCGGTTGATGGGACTGGGCGCCGTGGAGCAGGGGGCGGTGCTCGTCAGAGAGGCTCGGGCAGCACCAGAGCCCAAGGGGAGGGGGGTAGGGAGGCTCAGGCATGGCGAGCTGCAGGTCCCCAGCCCTGCCCCGCGGGAAGGCAGCTAAGGCCCTCTGAGAAATTGAGCACAGCAGCTGCTGGCCCAGGTGCTAAGCCCCTCACTGCCTGGGGCTGGCGCGGCCTCCCGGCCACTCTGAGTGCGGCACCGGCCAAGCCCACGCCCACCCGGAACTCGCGCTCTCCAGCAAGCATCGCGTGCAGCCCAGGTTCCCGCCGGGGCCTCTCCCTCCACACCTCCCCACAAGCTGAGGGAGTGGGCTCCGGCCTTGGCCAGCCCAGAAAGGGGCTCCCACAGTGCAGTGGCGGGCTGAAGGGCTCCTCAAGCGCGGCCAGAGTGGGCGACAAGGCCGAGGAGGCCCCGAGAGCAAGCAAGGGCTGTGAGGGCTGCCAGCATGCTGTCACCTCTCACTACAACAGAACATCCATGTGACAAACTGGCAAAAGATATTTTGGGCTAGGTTTGGGTCTGCTTTGTGGGAGTTCAATCTTATCTAGTCATCATAGAGACCAAGATACACTACCCCCTTTCTTTCTCCTTTACACAGATATACTCAGAGAAAATCCACACATAACCACCCAGAGCAGTTCCTCTTTCATCTGTTTTACATAAATGATTCTGCTTTAAAAATGGAGAAAAAAAACCTACTATTTTGGGATGTGATCATAGAGTCACTGATCACAGAATTTTGAACTTTTTAGATGACAAAGAATATTTAGGGGCCATTTGACCTAGCTCCCTGGCTTGATCCTACCAAATTCCCCAAACATATTAACATAACATAACATAACATAACATAACATAACATAACATAACATAACAACATACCAAACATCATAACATAATGTTCAGGCCTGTTCTGTCTTGGATGCTGGTTCATGCTCCAAAATTAACTATTATCAAAATCGTTATAAAAATCCCTGTCCCCTCAATAATAAATAATAATAATCATAATAAAACACAATAAAACCCACTGTGTTTTCCTTTAAGACTGCTGTTAGGTAGGTGTTTTAACATCAATATGACTGAAACTTTTTTTTTTTTTGAGACAGAGTTTTGCTCTTGTTGCCCAGGCTGGAGTGCAATGGCGCAATCTCGGCTCACCACAACTTCCACCTCCCAGGTTCAAGCAATTCTTCTCCCTCAGCCCCCCAAGTAGCTGGGATTACAGGCATGTGCCACCACACCTGGCTTATTTTGTGTTTTTTAGTAGAGGCGAGGTTTCTCCATGTTGGTCAGGCTGGTCTCAAACTCCCGACCTCAGGTGATCCGCCCACCTCGTCCTCCCAAAGTGCTGGGATTACAGGCGTGAGCCATTGCGCCCGTCCTGACTGAAACTTTTTGATTAAATGGTTCTCAGGTGAGGACCATTTAATAATTTATTTGAAGTTCCTGGGTAGTTGTGGGGCTATCTGTAGTCTCAAAACACACTGCAGTTTGTTCCCCCACCCCCAGGCAGAAGTAGGTCCAGAAGCCTGTCTTTGAAAGAGGCAGTGCTAAATACATTGGGAGATTTACTACTACATAAATGCACATTTAAAAAAAAGAAGATTGTAGTTAAGTTCAGATTGTTCATTTGTAGAAGGATGGGTAGTTTGACAAAATGAAGTGAGAACATTCATTCAGAAAGTGTGGGCGGAGATCTCTTTAGCTGTAGGTTGGTAATTGGCGGCCATTTTGGCAGGCTAAGTGGTAGCAGGCCTTGGGAATCTGCCCGAGGGTCAATTCCTCTAAATTGTTTCCATTTCTCCCAATTAATTATCCTTCTCCACCCAAACCCACCTGTTCTTTGAAAGAGTAGGAGAGTACTCAGGGCAATGTTTGCAGGTTCAAGTACCTACCACTAACAGAATTGGCTTTAAGAACTTCTCAATAAACCACAAGCATTTTATGAACAAAACAGCCCCACATATTTAAGGAGTAGAGAAATTAAAAATATTTTCATTTCCTCCATGCCCATTTGGAAGAAGACAGACATATGTAAACTAGGGACTGCCAATTGTATGCCAGTTTCTCTTACCTTTAATAGAGGCCTTAACAACTGTGGAGCGTTTAAAAATAGCGCTGACAAAGGATGGTTGAAACTATTCCTTTCTAGTCCTTCCTCACATAAGTAGCTGGAGCCCATTGTAGATGTGGGACCTGTGCACACGCACTGTGCAGTCAGGGGAGACCCTCAGAGAGCATTTTCCACCCCTGGACTCCTGCGTGGCTTGGTTCCTGGGGAGGGAGCACTTTTCCTCTATCTCCTTGCCATCTCTCATTCAAGTTGGTCCATCTGGAAGTAATATTATCTGAGCATTATACCCCAAGCCTGGCTCTCCACAAGTGACTGCATGTTTCCTGAAACCAACTATTGGCAGCTGTTACACAGGCATTTTCTGCTTTTTAGATACCTATAATTACACCAATTATGCGAATCATTGATGTTTATAAAGGATTTAAAATTTTACACACCCAGAAATGTCTATCAGAAAGCAGCATCTGAGGCAGAGTGACACCCTACAGAGGGGCCTATTTGGCCTTCACAATCGCTTCTGAGAGTCCCTTAAACTGAGCCATCAGCAGGGTAGGCAGCTTCTTATGAGCCTATATGTCTTTGGCAAGTTAATCCTGTCACTGGAGTACAATTCTGTTTGGTTAAGAACTACAGAACTCAATCTAACTTTTATTTTCAAAGGAAAGAATGATGTGTCGAAGTTAGTAAAATTAGGCATTTGACTTTAAACTCTCTGAACTGCAACACGAGGATAAGATGGTTGACATTCCCCTGTTCCAGCCTCCTCCTTTAGATACAGTGAGATAGGACAAGTACTGTCCCGTTAGCACACAGACTGGACAGCGAAGAGCCGTCCTGGCAGTGCCGGAGAGTGCCATAGTGGAGCCCGAAGCAAAAGGAAAACATGGGTAGTACTGATCTAGTCTTCATTTAAAGTTTTCATGCCTTTGTTCATTATGAATATTTTTGCATTGATTTTGACTTTTAAAAATATTGCACTGGCTAGGTGCAGTGGCTCATGCCTGTAATCCCAGCACTTTGGGAAGCTGAGGTGGGTGGATCACCTGAGGTCAGGAGTTCAAGACCAGCCTGGCCAACATGGTGAAACCCCCTCTCTACTAAAAATACAAAAATTAGCCAGGCATGGTGGCATGCCTGTAATCTCAGCTACTCGGGAGGCTGAGGCAGGACAATTGCTTGAACCAGGAGGCAGAGGTTGCAGTGAGCCGAGATTGCGCCACTGCACGCCAGCCTAGGTGATAGAGACTCTGTCTCAAAAATGTATATATATATATAAAATATATTATATATACTATAATTATAATATAATATATAATATAATTTAATATTATATATATATTTATGTCACTAAGCATTATTTGTCCCTATTAATGAGTTTTTTAGCCCCATTTAAATTTTGTACCTGCCCCAACTCAGAGTCTCTGGTGGTGGGTTTGGTGTGTGATTTGCTAGCTCCGGGATGGTCTATACCTCTGAGTCCTTTTTGTATTTCTCTATTTTTGTATTTGCCTTTGTCCAGCAGCCGGCTTCGCAGGATTTAACTATTTTTAATTGTGCTCCTGAAACATGAGAACAATTGTCCTTAATTGTTAGCATGCATAAGGATCATCTGGGGTGCTTGTTAAAAATGTAGATTTCCAGTCCTCCTGCCCTGCAATTTGGATTAACTACCCTGAGGTGGAATCAGGATGTCTGAACCTCTGTATGTCTACATTTTTAAGCAAACAAACAAAAATGGTTCTGATGCAGGTGGTTTGCAAACCGCACTTGAGAAATTCATGACAAGTATGTTTAAAAGTGTCTATTTCAGGAATAGTTACGTTTGGTGAGTTATGCCCTGTCTCATCAGAGGCAAAAAGGGTTACTAGGAAATGGCAACTGACTATGGAGTAGCTACCAAAAATGGACAATAAGAAAGTTACTCTCCAAGCCAACCCTATAAGGAACAGAAAGCAAGGGCCAGAAACCAGCTCCAGTAGGCTGGTAGCAATCTCTGGCAGGTAGAATTTCCTGATAATTCAGCAGACAGTAAATAAACCAGCACATGTGTAAGCACTTGGTGTCTATAGGCAGCTCACAAATGCAAGGAGATATCGTTATATATTTATTCAGTGTTTTTAGAGACACTTAATGTTCCACAGAACATTGCATTCCTTTACAAATCCTCATTCTGCCAAATTTTCTAAATTTAATAGGATTATCCCCTAATGGAAGGCTTTAACAATATTTCTCAAATTGAGGTTTGAGAACCACCTATTTAGTATGTAATCCACAAACGATAGGTGACTTTTTCTGAAAATGTTATCTGGAGCTCCCTAAAACACTTCTTTGCAGCCTCAGGCACTTGTGGAAACTCGCCAAATTATTTAAATCAAGATGAGAGGAATTTAATAACAGAAGCTAACACTCAACAGTTCCTATGGGCAGGTCCCATGCATTTGCATGGATTCTCTACCACATGTATTTCTCTCAGAGTGGACAAGAATCTTAGTTCTTAGTCAACAGGCAAAATTCAAACTCTGTAAGTAGGAACCAAGAACGGAGCGCTTAACTACTACACTGCTCCTAGCAGTGACAGAGGGTGTGCTCCTGTGACCCTAAGCCTCCCCCTCACCAGGGTAACATTCTCAACCAGTTTTATCACTGCTTCTTTACAAGACATTATTCCAGATGACCCCCGTCTTAGTTCTCTGCTGTGGACATTTCACATTTTTGAAGGGTCTTTGAAGACTGAAGACCGCATCCCTCAGCATAAAGCTTACATGTGTCCCATCAGCCCCAAACCTTCCTAAAGTCACCCTGTCTTCCCAGAGGTGGTCACACTGCTGCTGTCTCAGAGCTTCGCCCTCCACAAAGTGGACTTTTTCTCTTATGTGGCTGCTAAGCTTCAGCATCCCTATCTGATGCTCATGGGACCCATCATTGATCCCATCTGAATTGTATTTGATAGTGGTTTTAGTTGGTATACAATGATTTTGATCCTGTTTCTCCAACGGGGCATCCACACTGAGTCTCTCCAACGCATCTCCATTTTGCTGGCCCACACTGGCTTTGGGTGAGGCATGTGCTGTGTTTGGGAATCCTTATTATCTTCCTGGAACAAGATGCAGGACAGCTGGTTAGGTGAGTGCCTCAGTGTGCTTCCTTTGAAAGGCAGGAAGCAGAAGAGGGTTTTGCTGTCACTCCGCTGTCTGCTGTGCCGTAGAGAGGGAGCTTCCAGCCCTGGCGATTTCTGCTTTCCTTTTTCAGAGGCTGGAGATCTTCTTAGCCCCCTACCCTTTTCTTTTTTGGCAGGTGGGGAGCAGGGAATTCACTGGGCCAGGGATGGGAGGTGTGGGGAAGAGTGGAGAGTGAGCTGAGCCTCGTGATTACCAGGAAGGTATTGAAGTATTTTGTATGTTTGGAAGGTAACAGGGTGAGGTTAAAAGGTAAATCTAGTTTTTCTCTGTCCACATTCCCTACACACACACACACACACACACACACACACACACACAGAGCACACTCAAGCCCTCATGTTGTACTGTTTCTGCCACCGTTTCCCTGCTGTTGTATTGCTAGAAGAGGAAGGTGATATTTTGGAAGACATTTGATCCATCTAATGGAAGAGGAAGAAAACAGAGAGATGAGATCAGGGGAATTTCTGAAAAAGAAATTCTGAAACACAAGGGACAAAAGAGTGAGTCATCGAGTCAGCAACAATCATGGGAGACCATCTGGCTCACGGCTTCCCAATTTTGTTTTTAGGGTTTTTAAAAATGTCTAAATGGCTTGACAATTACCTGCTCTGCTGCATTCAGGAGGGAGGAAGGGTTATTTACTTATTTACCTCTGACAATGAACATTTGTATAGAGATTGAGGTGGCACATTATATTTTGGGCTAGGTCTCTGAAATGAACCTTTGAAAACAATATATCTGGTTCGTAATGAAAAGGAAAAATAAAGTTAAAATAAGGTGGCAAGCCTTGGTTCACCTTTTTTCCTGGCTGGCAGATCTGCCTCCCCTCTGTTGTGGCTGAAAATTGCAGATGCTCAATTCCCAGACTCCTTTTCTGCCAGGAGCACCCTGTGTCCGAGAAGTTGACCTAAGGGCAAGTCTGCCGGGGAGGGGAGGGAGATGTCTCAGAGCGATTTTCCTGCCTGATAATGGGTGAGAGGCCACTGATGAGTGCCTATTCCTGTTTCCTTCCTGCTTAGCGTGCACAGGGTGTGATGTTTGGAGCAGCTACGTGGCTGTCCTGTGGCCAGGAGCAAATGCCCAGAGAACCCTGGGAAGGCTGACCCAGGGCCCTGACATGATGAACTATGGAACCAATTCAAGAACAGCACCACCAAACTTCTTATGTGGGGAAAACAAATTCATGTTGACGAAGTCATTTTTAGTCCAGTGGTCTGGTTTTTTGTTTGTTTGTTTGTGTTTTGTTTTGTTGTTTTGTTTTTTTTTGAGATGGAGTCTTGCCCTGTTGCCCAGGCTGGAGTGCAGGCTGGAGATCATGGCTCACTGCAACCTCTGCCTCCTGGGTTCAAGCAATTCTTCTTTCTTAGCCTCCCTGGTAGCTGGGATTACAGGCGCCTGCCACCACGCCCAGCTAATTTTTGTACTTTTAGTAGAGACGGGGTTTCACCATGTTGGCAAGGCTGGTCCCAAACTCCTGACCTCAAGTGATCTGCCCACCTTGGCCTCCCAAAGTGCTGGGATTACAGACATGAGCCACCATGACCAGCCTGGTCTGTTTCTTGAAAGTAATTTGTTACCTGGTAGAGACAGAGAAAACAATTTTCATGCAGGATTTTATTGAGTGGCTTACTCTGAGCCCAGTGAAATTACTACTAAACTTTATCACCACCATTTACCACCACTAATGGCATCAATAGCAACATTTATTAAGCATTTATTATATACTTGTCCTTTATATATATATATATATATGTATATTATTTCATTTAATTTCAACCCTATGAGATAGTTATTATTTATCCCCATTTTATAGGTAAGAAAATAAATAACAGAGAGTTTGTTAAGTAATTTGGCCAAAGTAATAGCTGATAAGAAATAGAAGTGAGGCCAGGTGCTGTGGCTCACGCCACGCTTGCTTTGGGAGGCCAAAGCAGGTGGATCGCTTGAGCCCAGGAATTTGAAACCATCCTGGGCAACATGGTGAAACCCCATCTCTACAAAAAAAAAAAAAAAAATTAGCTGGGCTTGGTGGCTGATGCCTGTGGTCTCAGCTAAGGCAGGAGGATCACTTAAGCCCAGGAGGTGGAGGTTGCAGTGAGCTGAAATCACACCACTGAACTCCGGCCAGGGCAACAGAGCAGGACCCTGTGTTAAAAAAAAAAAAAAAAAAAAAAAAAAAAAAGTGAACGTAGTTCCACAGTTTACCATCTTTTCCATAGGCATTAGACAAAAATTTAAAGTACAGCATATGTTTTAAAGTTAATTTTAGAAAGCAGTTAGTTATAAATGTTGTTCATACATAATAGCATCCACTTAACCATGTTTACATTGATCAGTGTATCCATTTTTATAATTATTTTGTTTTGTTTTTGAGACAGGCTCTCACTCTGTTGTCCAGGCCAGAGTGCAGTGGCATGATCACAGGTCACTGCAGCCCTGACCTCCTGGGCTCAGGCAATCCTCTTGCCTCAGCCTCCTGAGTAACTGAGACTACAGGGGTGCAACATCATACCCAGCTAATTTTTTTATTTTTATGTTTTGAAGAGGCAAGGCCTCAGTATATTACCCAAACTCCTGGGCTCAGTGATCCTCCTGCTTCAGCCTCCCAAAGTGCTGAGATTACAAGCATGAGCCACCGTGCCTGGCCCATTTTTACAATTATTTTGAATAGCAGTTTATTAGAATTCATTTAAAATATTTTGAAGGAATAAAAGTTTGTCAAGAATGAAGAACAAAGAATCAAGAATGAAGAACCATCAAAAGACAGTCTTGAAGAACCATCAAATCTCAGATTTGGAGAATGTCATGTGACTGAAATGTTTCGCTAACATCAGAATTTACCTTAAATATAATATTCATAGCTACCTGATTAGCAACCCCTATTTGAAAAAAAAAGAAAGAGAGAAACAGCTCGTGATTTTACTGAATGTATTTGGGTTCCATGTAATTGCTAAATTATTTTCTCAGTGACCACAACCCCGTTAAATAGAAATGAAAATATCAGGCTGCGTGCGGTGGCTCACGTCTGTAATCCCAGCACTTTGGGAGGCCGAGGCAGGCAGATGACCTGAAGTCAGGGGTTTGAGACTAGCCTGGCCAACGTGGTGAAACCTTATATTTACTAAAAATACAAAAATTAGCCAGGGGTGATGGCACATGCCTGCAGTCGCAGCTACTTGGGAGGCTAAGGCAGGAGAATCACTTGAACCCAAGAGGCAGAGGTTGCAGTGAGCCAAGATCGCACCACTGCACTCCAGCCTAGACAACAGAGCCAGACTCCATCTCTTAAAAAAAAAAAAAAAAATTAAAATCCCGAATTTTTTTGGCACTTAATGTGAAGCACTTTGGTCTGTGGCTAATCTTACTCCTTCCCTTCCCTCTTGGAAAACCAGAATGTTTGCCCTTCTCTGAGATGCCCAGGGGTAATACTTCCGTCATCTCTGGGTCTTTCTGCTGGCTGGGATGTATTCCTTGGGAACCGAGAGACTCAAACTTGGGGAGACACTGGAATTGAGCTCTCACTCACTACCCCTCACCATTTGGGAACTTTGTTGCTTTCTGGAGTACAGACTCCTGATGAAGATAGAAACAAAATGGAAGTGAAATTGATCTGATTTGTCTCCATGGCAAGCCACGGGCCTGTGCCTTTGTTTTTGCGCTTCATTTCTCAACTGCAGACCGTTTTGCTGTCAGGAATTTTGCTTCAGAGGCCTCTGGGGCTAAAACTTTCTGAATCTGCTTCAGGTCACTGGCCTTCTCCCCTCATCTACGGCAATGTGTCCTTGCTTTCATCTTTGGCCGCCGCCCTTTGAAAGTCTAAGAACACCAGAAAGCTTCTCATTCAGTTTTCTCTCGCCTGTCTCTACCTTTTCTTCCTCATGCAAGTTCTAATAATACAATCACGAATGGGCTGGGCGCGGTGGTTCACGCCTGTAATCCCAGCACTTTGGAGGTCAAGGCAGGCAGAGCACTTGAGGTCAGGAGTTCGAGACCAGCCTGGCCAACATGGTGAAAACCCATCTCTACTAAAAATACGAAAAATTAGCTGGGTGTGGTGGCTTGCGCCTGTAATCCCTGCTACTTGGGAGGCTGAGACACGAGAATCACTTGAACCCAGGAGGTGGAGGTTGCAGTGAACCAAGATTGTGCCACTGCACTCCAGCCTGGGTGACAGAGTGAGACTCCGTCTCAAAAAACAAACAAAAAAAATCACAAATGATTCAAATGTTGAGAGTCCACTGTGTTCTTGCACCATTTCTCATTCTGGAGTCTCTGGTCCTCTAATTGTACCTGTACTTGAATATATTGAAATCTGCTTTTCTAATCCCCAGAAAAGTGTGTTGGATTCAACTTTTCCTCTTTCTGCGGGATAATTCTGATTCCATGGTCTCCTTCCCACCAGCTCCCCTTGTCGTTTCTACTCTACTAGGGTATTATTTTCCTGACAAGAATTAAATCTAGAAAGAACATCCAAATTTCACGTTAGAAGGGAAATTCTAATTTCTCAACACTCTAGATTAGAAAGGAAATTCACATATTTCAAAATTAATTAAAATCTCAAAACAAAGGAAAAAAATTACTTATTTTTAATTCTGTATCTCTTTCTTACTGGAATAATATGTGTTTCTCTTAGGATGTTACAATTGTAAATCAAAAATTATGCATAGTTGTGTTAATCTAAAGACTTGGAAGCAAATTTTTTCTATTTTTTTCTTCTTTGACAATTTAATGGACACAAAACTTTAAAACCTAATGTGTATTATTATTAGTTATAACTGATTCTTTTAAAAATACTATTGTTATGGGATTTTGGGGGCATTGATTTTCTGGCTGAAAACCTCTGTGGCCATGGCACCTTTGCCCAAGTTCTCATCCTTCGTTCAGGAAGAATGAGGTATGCAGACAGGAAGAATGAGATATGCAGACAACTGAAGGGTGAACAAGAAAAAGATGAGCTTTATTGAAAGGAGGCCCTAGAAAAGACGGCTCCCTCTCTGCTGGCAGGTCATCTCTGCAGCTCTCTCAGCAGAGAGGGTAGCTCCATCTCTGCAACTGGTTGTTCCCTCACCTGCAGCTATCAGCATAGAAGGTAGCTCCTCTCTGTAGCTGGTCATCCTATAATCTCTCTGCCTTCTTCTTCCTCTGGCCATCCTCTGCCCTGCTCTGGCTGAACCCTGGGCTTTTATGGACCTCAGAGGGGAGGAAGTACATGCCAATTTATCCATGGGCAGCCATAGGTGGCCTGGAAGAGGCATCATGAGTCCCCACTCTGGTCCATGGGAATGGCAGCCCAGCCCTCAGCCTTCAGGCCCTCCCTGGCCTGAAGGAGGGGCCTTACTGTGAACCCACCCCCTTCTGCCCTGGAATCAGTCTGCCTCTGCTGCCATTCTTGACCCCAACCCCTGCTCTGAAATCATAGCAGGTGCTGGGAGTGGAGAGAGGCCAGGCAGCAGGAGCAGACACCCCCAAGCCTGCAGGGAGATGGGGGGGATGTCCTTCCTGGGGCCCCCAAAGGTGCAGGCTGCAGAGATGCCCAGGTCCTGCCACTGGATTTGGGCAGCTGCAGCAGCACCCTGGGAGCCCCTGCCCCAACTCAGAAAGGGCCGGGCTCCCACTGGCTCCATGGAGTGTGCAGCCCTAGCCACGCCACCCTGCTGCAGCCAGCATGATGGCAGCAGCCATTGCCATCACTGTAATCTTGGTTGCATTATGGCCAAAAATCATGTTAATTTTTAAGAATCCTAACTTGATTGTTTCCTGCTATTCTTTTAAATGGAAGCTGCTTTTCTACTCTAATTTTTCATCAAAGTAGCTCTTGCTACCTTTGTGTTGGAACTGGATAGCCTTTTCTACACTTTTAAGAGTGATCAACTTAGACTAAATGGTGCAACTTGCCATGTGCAGTGGCTCACTGCTATAATCCCAGCACTTTGAGAAGCCCAGGTGGGAGGATAGCTTGAGGCCAGAAGTTCAAGATCAGCCTGGGCAGTACAGTGAGACCCCCTCTTTCTCTACAAAAAAAACTTTAAAACTTGACTGGGCCGTGATGGTGAGCATCTCTAATCCCAGTTACATGGGAGGCTGAAGTGGGAGGATTGCTTCAGCCTAGGAGTTTGAGGCTGTAGTGTGCTATGATCACACCACTGCACTCCAACCTGGGCGACAGAGCAAGATTCAGTCTGAAAAATAAATAAATAAATAAATACAAGGCATGGCTAAAATCTCCTTTGTTTATTTTTTTCAAATGAAATTCTTGAGGTGCATAATGTATGTGTGTGTGTTTGAGAGGTGGTGTATCAAATCAGTTCTCTCCATTGAAAGAAATCAAAATCCTACTAAAAATGGGTTAAATTATACAGGTCACTATTTCACCCAGCAAGAAGTCAGGTGAACAGTTCCTGGTTGATTGAGTAGCTCTCCAGTATCATGAGGGACCCAGTCTCTTCCCTTCCTTCTGCTCTGTCATTACCAGAAA
This sequence comes from Homo sapiens, assembly GCF_000001405.40. Taxonomy (NCBI): domain Eukaryota; kingdom Metazoa; phylum Chordata; class Mammalia; order Primates; family Hominidae; genus Homo; species Homo sapiens. Next base: position 21,621,689 of record NC_000006.12, read on the forward strand.
AATATGATGGGTTAACCAACTCCAAGCATTTTATTCTCACTGAAGACAGACAAAAGAAGGGAGGACAAGGAACTGCTCCTCATCTGTCCTTCTTTTTTTCTGTGTTACTCTCCGTCTCTCTAATCAGGGAGGAAAAATTTTCCCAAAAGCATCCCCTGTACATGCATATGCATGCGTGTCTATTTTTATGTCTTTTTTTTTGAGACAGAGTCTTGCTCTGTTGCCTGGGCTGGAGTGCAGTGGCGTGATCTCAGCTCATTGCAACCTCTGCCTCCTAGATTCAAGTGATTCTCCAGCCTCAGCCTCCCAAGTAGCTGGGAATACAGGTGTGTGCCACCACGTCTGGCTAATTTTTTGGTATTTTTAGTAGAGATGGAGTTTCACCATGTTGGCCAGGCTGATCTTGAACTCCTGACCTCAAGTAATCTGTCCACCTTGGCCTCCCAAAGTTCTGTGATTACAGGCATGAGCCACCACTCCCAGCCCTTTTTATGTCTTTTTTTTTTTTTGAGATGGAGTTTTGCTCTTGTTGCTCAGGCTGGAGTGCAATGGTGCAATCTCAGCTCACTGCAACCTCTGCTTCCTGGGTTCAAGCAATTCTCCTGCCTCAGTCTCCCAAGTAGCTGGGATTACAGGCATGCACCACCACGCCTGGCCAATTTCGTATTTTTAGTAAAGGCAGGGTTTCTCCATGTTGGTCAGGCTGGTCTCAAACTCCCGACCTCAGGAGGTCCACCCACCTCGGCCTCCCAAAGTGCTGGAATTACAGGCGTGAGTCACTGCACGTGTTATATATATGTAGTTAAATACTGAAATTTACAAACATAGGGTAAAATTAAGCAGTGCCATGAAACACTATTACAACAGGAAAAATTAATTCTATTGCCCCCGTTCCTTAAAAAATTAGATAAGTAACCCAGGTGCAGTGGCTCAAGCCTGTAATCCCAGCACTTTGGGAGGCCGAGGTGGGCGGATCATGAGGTCAGGAGATCGAGACCATCCTGGCTAACACAGTGAAACCCCGTCTCTACTAAAAATACAAAAAAATTAGCCAGGTGTGGTGGCAGGCGCCTGTAGTCCCAGCTACTAGGGAGGCTAAGTCAGGAGAATGGCGTGAACCCAGAAGGCAGAGCTTGCAGTGAGCCGGGATTGCACCACTGCACTCCAGCCTGGGCAACAGAGCAACACTCTGTCTCCAAAAAAAAAAAAAAAAAAAAGGTAAGTGAACTGAGAAAGAAGAAGCAATCTTTGAAATGATACAAAGCAGTGAAGGACTTTATTACCCTAATTTAGGTGAGCATATTGATAGATAAACCACATAACCTGAAAGAAAATCGTATTAGTCAAAACGTAATATAATATATTTAACTATACATTTGGAGTTAATTCTAACCTCCAGCATCAACATTTAAAAAACAATTCTATTAAAATAATCTAAGGTAGGCTGGGCATGGTGGCTCATACCTGTAATCCCAGCACTTTGGGAGGCTGAGGCAGGCAGATCACTTTAGGTCAGGAGTTCAAGACCACCCTGGCCAACATGGTGAAACCCTATCTTTACCAAAAATGTAAAATATTAGCCGGATATGGTGGCACATGTCTGTAATCCCAGCTACTCGGGAGGCTGAGGTAGGAGAATCGCTTGAACCCGGGAGGCGGAGGTTGCAGTAAGCCGAGATCGTGCCACTGTACTTCAGCCTGGGCAACAGAGCGAGACGCCAGCTAAAAAAAAAAAAAAAATCAATAAAAATAATAATAATCTAAGGTATATGTGCATGTGAAAGACAACAAAACAGTTCAGGACTTAGTTTTGAGCTAATCATTGTAGTGTGTCTGCAAATTATAAAATTTTAGAATCATGTTCTTGATTTCTTCTAATCATATTCAATATAAACAAACTGCATTAACAGGTTTGAATTAACAACAGCTTTTGCATGTAAGCCCAGTTTTAACCCAGTGCTGGAGCAAACCCATCTTACAGATGAGGCTGTTTGTACATGCAAGTTAATTCATTAGGAAAGCTGTAATTAAGAAAAGGGTATGTACAAGTACTTTGCTTATTTAATTACAAACTAAATGAAAGTGCTTGAGAAAAGTGTAAACTTTACAATTGGCTCAAAGCCTTTAGCAAATAAGAGTTATGGATGATTTCTTTGTTTCATTCAGGAAATTTTATCAGATGAGAACTTTGGTCTGGCTTCCATTCCCACAACTCCACTGACCCAGTTCTCACCAGGTTAGTCAATGTCATTTTTGTTGCTAAATCCATCATATGCTAGTTTGTTTTGTTTTGTTTTCTTGAAACAGAGTCTCACTCCGTCACCCAGGCTGGAGTGCAATGGCACCATCATAGCTCACTGCAGCCTCAACCTTCCAGGCTCAAGTGAGACTCCCACCATAGCCTCCCAAGTAGCTGGGACCACAGACATGCACCACTATGCCCAGCTAATTTTTTGACTTTTTTTGTAGAGATGAGGTCTCATTATGTTGCCCAGGCTAGTCTCTCAAACTCGTGAGCTCAAGCAATCCTCCTGCCTCAGCCTCCTGAAGTGCTGGGATTGCAGATGTGAGCCACCACACCTGGCTCATAGTTTAGTCTCTATCTTACTGGCCCTGTCTGAAGCAATGGATACTGCTGATTGTGTCCTCTTTCTTGAAGCTCTCCTCCTGTGGCTTCTATGACTCCATATTCTCCTGGTTTTCTGTGTCTCTAATTTGCTTTTCTTGGGCTTTTCTGCTGTTGACTACTCCTTAAATATTGATGGTCTGTGGTTCTCTATTCTTACCCTCCACCACCTTCTCCAGTGAGTAGGAGCATCCAACTAACGTGCTGTTGTTATTCACTTCCATGGCTTCAAACATGGCATACAAACTGCTGACTCCTGGAATCTGTGTCTAAGTGGCTTTGCCCCTCTCCTGAGCTCCAGACCCACTGAACAGCTCCACGTGGATGTCTCACATCAATCTCAAACTCACATGTCTACAGATGAATTCCTGGGCTTCCCCTCAGACTGCTGTGTCTCTAACAGTCACTCTTTGATGAATGACACTGCTGTCACTCTCTTGTTTTGCTCATTAAAGGGAACCATTCTAGATTCCTTCTTCACCTCTCCTTCACCTCCAGGTCCAGTGATTCATAGTCATCCCCATTTTACCTTGTCAGTGTCTCTGGAATTTTTTCTCCATCCTTTCTACCACTACTGTCGTTAAGATTTTATTACCATTTTATGGCCGGGCGTGGTGGCTCACACCTGTAATCCCAGCACTTTGGGAGGCCGAGGTGGGCGGATCACAAGGTCAGGAGATCGAGACCATCCTGGCTAAACACAGTGAAACCCCATCTGCACTAAAAACACAAAAAAATTAGCTGGGCGTGGTGGCAGGTGCCTGTAGTCCCAGCAACTCGGGAGGCTGAGGCAGGAGAATGGTGTGGACCCGGGAGATGGAGCTTGCAGTGAGCTGAGATCGCGCCACTGCACTCCAGCCTGGGCGACAGAGCGAGACTCCGTCTCAAAAAAAAAAAAAAAAAAAGATTTTATTACCATTTTCTAGCCTTAGAAATTGAGGTAGTCTTCTGACTGTCCTTCCTATCTACTCTTGCTCGATGAATGGATTCATCACACAGTTCCCAACATGATCTACATATTTAATTTTTTTTTTTTTTTGAGACAAAATCTCGCTCTGTTGCCCAGGCTGGAGTGCAGTGGTGTGATCTTGGCTCACTGCAACCTCGGCCTCTAAGGTTCAAGTGAATCTCCTGCCTCAGCCTCCCAAGTAGCTAGGATTATAGGTGCCTGACACCACGCCTGGCTAATTTTTGTATTTTCAGTAGAGACGGGGGTTTCTCCATGTTGGCCAGGCTGGTCTTGAACTCCTGACCTTAAGTATCTGCCCACCTCGGCCTCCCAAAGTGCTGGGATTACAGGCGTGAGTCACCGCACCTGGCCTATTTTATTTTTATTTATTTATTTTTTTGAGACAGGGTCTCACTCTGTCACTTAGGCTGGAGTGCAGTGGTATGATCATAGCTCATTGCAGCCTTGAACTCCTGGGCTTAAGCAATCCTCCTGCCTTGGGACTACACGTGCATGCCATCATGCCTGGTTAATTTCTGAATTTTTTTGGTAGGGATGGGGTCTTGCTATGTCGCCCAGGCTGATCTCAAACTCCTGGGCTGAAGTTATCCTCGTGCTTCAGCCTCTCCAAGTGCTGGGGTTACAGGAGTGAGCCATCACACCTGGCCAATTACGTCATTTTTAGATGAGGGAAACACATCATTTGGTCTTTGGCTAATATTGATTATAGAATCTAAATATCAGGCCGGGCGTGGTGGCACACTTTGGGAGGCCGAGGTGGATGGATCACTTGAGCTCAGGAGTTTGAAACCAGCGTGGCCAATATGGCAAAACCCCCTCTCTACTAAAACTACAAAAATTAGCTGAGCATAGTGGTGCACGCCTGTAATCCCAGCTACTCGGGAGGCTGAGGTAGGAGAATCCCTTGAAGCCAGGAGGCGGAGGTTGCAGTGACCCAAGATCACACCAGTGCACTCCAGCCTGGGTGACAGAGCGAGATTCTGTCTCAAAAAAAAAAAAAAAAAAAAAAAAAGAATCTAAATATCTAACAGTTGTTATTCTTTAATTATGGTAACTTTGTAAGTTGTGGAATAAACTCACTTTATAGTAACTAATCTATAAATTTTTGGTATCATAGAAAAATTATCTATAATTTTCCTGATTATCTCTTATAATAACTAGTCTATTATATTGACTAGTGGCCTAATTCCATTCTCTTCTTGAAAGCATTTTTAAGTATACTAAATAATGTATAAGTGTGCAGAGTTAAAAATATGTCCAAATCATAATGCATATATTGAAAATTACTAGGTATAAAGTCTTACATTTTATAATTTATTTCTTTGCTATTGCAAATGGCATAAAGACAGCTCATAAATCTGGAAAGTAAATCACATTAATGTGGGAAATGAGATTAAAAGAGAAACTATAATTCAGATGTTACTAAAATAAGTTTTCAGATAAATAAGCCAAATCTGGGCAATAAATTGGACAATTGAACATTTTTTCAGTGTTCTGCAAACACCTGAGATGGCTTTTTAAAGATTTCCTGAAGTCATCTCTGTTCTTTTCTAGGGTAAATAACTGCTTGACTTGAAAGCCTTGGCAAAGGAAATAAGGCTCCTACCCCTAGTCTCCCTCAGTTTATGAGTTTTTTCACCCACAGATCTCGAGCAGGTTAAACTGGCTTCTTTACACATTGGCTTCTTTTCACAAGATGTGACTAATTACTTTAAATTGCTCTGGTTTATTAAGTGAAATCCAAAGTCACTTCTGTGCTCACCTGACATTTAGTTAATGAGCACAGTGCTACCTCCAGGAGATTAATGGAACTTTGATAAAGAAGTAGTTTAATTGGTGAAATAGCATATTTGGATTTCACTAGAGAAAGGGTGAAATAATCCATATATTTGAATCCAATTTAATGTAATTACATTGTAATTTTGGTTATTGCCAAAAGATGGTTTGTCATTTGAACTGAGAACTAGAGGTTAACTAATATATGCAATTGAAATCTATCAGGGCCGGGCGCGGTGGCTCACGCCTGTAATCCCAGCACTTTGGGAGGCCGAGGCAGGCGGATCACGAGGTCAGGAGATCGAGACCATCCTGGCTAACACGGTGAAACCCCGTCTCTACTAAAAATACAAAAAAAAATTAGCTGGGCATGGTGGTGGGTGCCTGTGGTCCCAGCTACTCAGGAGGCTGAGGCAGGAGAATGGCATGAACCTGGGAGGCGGAGCTTGCAGTGAGCAGAGACCGCACCCCTGCACTCCAGTCTGAGCGACAGAGCAAGACTGCATCACAAAAAAAAAAAAAAAAAAGAAAAATCTATCAGCAAATATTGAGTACCTACTATATTCAAGCTTCTAGGGTATTACAAGTACAAAGAAACATAGGACTTAATATCTATTGTCAAGTAACATAAAGTATAGTAAACCAATTACTTGGGAAGGCTATACATATGCATGATATCATCCTGGAGATTTCTAGCCTACTTTGACTTTATGTTTTAGTAATCAAGTTGTTGCTATTCTTTATGTGTAGGACATTGTGTTGGTGATCCCAAGAAGTATTAAACATGATTTATTTCACCGTGAGTTTATTTAGGGAAATAGAGCATTAAGGTAAAAATAAATAAGTAAGGCCAGGCGCGGTGGCTCACACCTGTAATCCCAGCAGTTTAGGAGGCCAAGGCAGGTGGATCACATGAGGTCTGGAGTTCGAGATCAGCCTGGCCAACATGGTGAAATCCCGTCTCTACTCAAAATACAAAAAATTAGCCAGGCGTGGTGGTGGACGCCTGTAATCCAAGCTACCCAGGAGGCGGAGGTTGCGGTGAGCCGAGATTGCCCCACTGCACTCCAGCCTGGGCAACAAGAGTGAAACTCTGTCTTAAAAATGAATAAGTAAAAGGCAGCATATGGTAAGGCCAAATATTAATAATCTTTTATATTTACATAACACTTTTAAAATGCTTTCCTATGTGCCTTCTATTAAAATCACTCATCTTGGTTCTGCTTTCTCCTTCAGCTACACATCAGCTTCCCCCTTTCCTGTCACTGTGGCTGAGATTGCATGAAAGTCTACTTTATGCTTCTGTCTGGCCGCTTCACTGTTCCCCAGCCTCTCGGTCTGCTGTAAGGCAGTTGCGTTCCTGTACCCTTCTGAAGCTTTTCTCCCGTCAGCCAAACTTAATCACCCCTTTCATTTCTCTTACCACTGGATTCTCTGTCATGGCTGATACCAGAAACTATTCTCTCCTGTTCTGACTTCCCTAAAACCACTTTCTGCTGCTTCTCCTCCATCTCCTTCATGAGCGATGGAAGGAATTACCTAGTGTGGTGTTCCTAGAGCCACAGTTATACCTCTCGTAGCACAGAGGGAGTGAGATGACCTTTCCTGGTACACAGACCCACACAGAAGTGGGGGTAGCTGCCTAGGGAAGCCTTGAAGGACAAGGGGAAGGAGAGTGGGGGTGATGAGGTGAGAATTTTAGGAGAATAAGGATGGTGCAGGGAAAAGGTGGCGGTTTCTCTGACACCAGGCCTTCAGTGGCGGGTCTTTGCATTTGTTCAAACACTGATCCCAGATTTCCTCCTCTCTGGTTGCTCTGAGAATCTATTTGCTGAGCATCCCAAGGTTCAGGGTTTGGGGGGAGCCCATGCTATACAAAGGCTTAATGCTGGGAGTTTGGGATTAAGTGGTTGGGGAAGACCAGAGAGCAATCACTTTGGGGTTCAATTCAGCAGCCACCAAAAAAAAAAAAAAATTGGAGTCAAGAGTGGCTTTGAAGCCAGAGAGCCTTGGTTTTTTTTTTTTTTTTTTTTTTTTTGAAACGGAGTCTCCCTCTGTCTCCCAGGCTGGACTGCAGAGGCGCAACCTCGGCTCACTGCAACCTCCGCCTCCCGGGTTCACTCCATTCCCCTGCCACCATTCCCCAGCAGCTACAGGCGCATGCCACCATTCCCGGCTAATTTTTTTTTTGTATTTTTAGTAGAAACGGGGTTTCACCGTGTTAGCCAGGATGGTCTCGATCTCCTGACCTCGTGATCCACCCGCCTCGGCCTCCCAAAGTGCTGGGATTACAGGCATGAGCCACCGCGCCCGGCGAGCCTTGGTTTTAAATTGGGCTCTGCTGCTTCCTAGGCTGTGAAACCAGAAGAAATTTTCTCATGCCGGAAGCAGGGAGTCTTTTCTGCTTTTTCTCTCTTCTCCTAAATCTTCCCGCACACATCAGCCAGTCCAGTCGACTCTACCCCCAAATCCATTCACTTCTCTATCTCTACCACTGCCATTCTCCTCCAGGCCACCATTGCTTCTTCTTTTTTTTTTTTTTTTTTTCCTTGAGACGGACTGTCACTCTGTCGCCCGAGGCTGGAGTGCAGTGGCGCCATCTCAGCTCACTGCAACCTCCGGCTCCCAGGGTTCAAACGATTCTTCTGCCTCATCCTCCTGAGTAGCGGGGATTACAGGCAGGCGCCACCACGCCCGGCTAATTTTTCTATTTTTAGTAGAGACGGAGTTTCACCATGTTGGCCAGGATGGTCTTGATTTCTTGACCTTGTGATCTGCCCGCCTCAGCCTCCCAAAGTGCTGGGATTACAGGCATGAGCCACTGCGCCCGGCCACCATCGCTTCTTGCTGAGCCAACAGACAAGCCTTTGACTTTGTGTCTTCTTTCCCTTTTCACACAGCATCCAGAAGGATATTTTTGAAATGAAATCAGATTATGTCATCCCCCTAATTAAAACCCTCCACATGTTTTTCATTGCAAAGAATAAATTCCAAGCTCCTCATCATAGTTACAAGGCCTTATGTGACTATAAAGCTCATCATGGCTCAGTAGATCCCAGCCATATATTCTTTGCTTCCTGGACATGCCGGTCTTGTTTTTGTCCTACGGGCTTTGCAGTAGCTGTTTCTTATGTCTGGAATGCCCCTTCCCAGTCTTCACAGGACTGATTGCTCCTCCAGATATCCCAGACAGGACTTCTTTGAGTGACCTCTGCTCCTCTTCATAGCTTATCAATATTGGAAATTACCTTCTTTCTTCTCTCTTCTGCCTCAACCGTCACTAGGACACAAACGACGTGACTGCGTCTATTCTGTTTCTCTTTGTTGTCTCAAAGCCTAGAATGGTGCCTGCTACCCAGTACACAGTCAACGAATATTTGCTTACTGTTGATTGAATGAGATCACTACATCTCTTTGAACACTAGTTTCCACTGAGAGAGATTTAAATAAGACTTCATACATATATGATAAAGCTATGATAGATATGTTTATATGTGTATTTCTGTACATATGAATATATGTATATCTCACTTACATGTTTTATATGGTAAACTCAGGATCCTAGGAACAGATTCTGAAACGGACATTCATTCCACCAGCAGTACTTATTGAAAAAAACTTAGGCTAAGCGCAGTGGCTCACGCCTGTAATCCCAGCACTTTGGGAGGCTGAGGCGGGCGGATCACGAGGTCAGGAGATCGAGACCATCCTGGCTAACACGGTGAAACCCCGTGTCTACTAAAAATACAAAAAAATTAGCCGGCCATGGTGGCGGGCGCCTGTAGTCCCAGCTACTCAGGAGACTGAGGCAGGAGAATGGCGTGAACCCGGGAGGCGGAGCTTGCAGTGAGCCAAGATCGCGCCACTGCACTCCAGCCTGGGCAACAAGCAAGACTTCGTCTCAAAAAAGAAAAAGAAAAAAAAAAAAAGAAAAAACTTGTAGTTTCTTAAAAAAAATTCATCTGAAGAATTTGCTGAAGACGTTTCAAAATTACCAAGAAACCACTTGATAAAAGGTCTTATAGCTATTTTCTCAAACCAGACGGCAATGATTCAGGGCAAGAAAATCTTGGTAAATCACTTTTCTGGGTTTTACCAAATAACCAGACCCATTTGAAAGATTCAAGATTTCACTTTAGAACCCTATTGGGAAAAATAAAATTTGTTGAACAAATGCCTATATAAATTAAATTAGGAATTAATTGTCAATATCCAACCTTTCTTGAGAAGGACATTAAATACCTTTTAGATATTCAGCTCATCTTTGACTTGGACTGAGAAACATTGAGCTAAATATTCATTTTTAATTGATTGATAAGAAAGAAAAAAGCAGTTAGTTTCTTAATACTTTTTGCTGATTTTCAGGTGTGCACTTTTCCAAACCCACCAGATTTGTCATTACTCAAATATTATTATTTTATTATTTTAAATTAAGTAACATTACCTTGTTTTCATAGTATTCTATTTCATAGTAATTTTCTATTTACAATAGTGATGTAGTACTTATGGTGGTGATATAGTATCATTAAAAATGTACTTAAGGGCCGGGCACGGTGGCTCAAGCCTGTAATCCCAGCACTTTGGGAGGCCAAGGTGGGTGGATCACGAGGTCAGGAGATCGAGACCATCCTGGCTAACACGGTGAAACCCCGTCTCTACTAAATATACAAAAAAATTAGCCGGGCGTTTTGGCGGGCGCCTGTAGTCCCAGATACTCGGGAGGCTGAGGCAGGAGAATGGCGTGAACCCAGGAGGCGGAGCTTGCAGTGAGCCGAGATCGCGCCATTGCACTCCAGCCTGGGCGACAGAGCGAGACTCCGTCTCAAAAAAAAAAAAAAAAAAAAAAAAAAATATATATATATATATATATATATATATATATATATTATATATGTATATATACATATACACTTAAGGCTGGGCACAGTGGCTCACTCCTGTAATCTCAGCACTTTGGGAGGCTGCTGCTGGTGGATCACCTGAGGTCAGGAATTTGAGACCAGCCTGACCAACATGGAGAAGCCCCGTCTCTACTAAAAATAAAAATTAGCCACGCATGGTGGTGCACGCCTATAATCCCAGCTACTCGAGAGGCTGAGGCAGGAGAATCACTTGAACCCAGGAGGAGGAGGTTGCAGTGAGCCAAGATCGTGCCATTGCATTCCAGCCTGGGCAACAAGAGTGAAACTTTGTCTCCAAAAAAAAAAGAAAAAAGTATTTAAATTAAAAAGTAATTTTTGTTTAAAGAAAGATATTGAATAAATGATAAAATAGGTATACAGATATGACAAAATCATGAGAGTAGTACGTGACCACTGAAGTTTGAGAAACAGAGATCTAAAGTACGTTTTTATCTGTGGTAAAGAACAAGTTTTGTTTTTTAAATTTTCAATCTGTTGCAGGATGCCACTTTTATAAAACACAATGAAATTAGAAGAAAAATAAAAATATTAAACATATTAAAAGGGTCACCTTACATTTTATTTTATTAGATTCAATATTCAAAAGTAATTCTGTCAAATTATTTTAAATGCTTACTCTCAATTTTGCAATTGACCTCCCTGCATTCCAGTAACAGTCAGTCTGCAGATCGGCAGTTGGTCCACAAACCAGACTTTGAGTAACATCGACTTAGAGAAAGCCTAGAGGAAGGGCAGTAGTTACAGGGTGCTAAAGAGAAAGGGTGATTGCAAAGGCTTCTTTAACAAATTATTACTTGAGTAGTCACTCCTAACTCCTATTCATACTCTCCTCCCCATTCCTACCACCTGAAGTCGGCTCCACCCCCTTTTTTTTTTTTTTTAAGGCGGAGTCTTGCTCTATCACCTAGGTTGGAGTGCAGTGGCATGATGTCTGCTCACTGCAACCTCTGCCTGCCAGGTTCAAGCGATTCTCCTGCCACAGCCTCCTAGGTAGCTGGGATTACAGGTGCGCCACCACCCCACCCAGCTAATTTTTGTATTTTTAGTAGAGACAGGGTTTAATCATGTTGGGCAGGCTGGTCTTAAACTCCTGACCTCAAGTGATCCACCCACCTCGACCTCTCAAATTGCTGGGATTACACGCGTGAGCCACCGTGACTGGCCAGGTCCACCATTATTGAGTATAAATGTATTATTATTATTATTTTGTATAAGTGTTCTCTCGCTGGGCACGGTGGTCAGGAGTTCCAGACCAGCCTGGCCAATATGGCGAAATCCCGTCTCTACTAAAAATACAAAATTTACCCAGGCGTGGTGGCGTGTGCCTGTAGTCCCAGCTACTTGGGAGGCTGAGGCAGGAAAATTGCTTGAACCTGGGAGGCAGAGGTTGCAGTGAGCCAAGATCGCGCCACTGCATTCCAGCCTGGCAACAGAGTGAGAGTCTGTCTCAAAAAAATAAATAAATAAATAAATAAATAAATAAAATAAAATAAAATAAAAGTGTTCTTTCTCACCAAGTTGTTAAAGAAATGAAGCCCATAAAGGTTTACGAAGAAATTATCAAATGACTGTTTGTCCTGTATATAGTTCAAAATCTCTTTGAAGATGGATCTGTAAAAGTTTTACTTTTGCATTTAGTACCAGGAAAATATTCTCTTCTCAAAATCAATATGTGTTTAGCCGGGCGTGGTGGCATACGCCTGTAGTCCCAGCTACTAGGGAGGTGGAGGTTGGGGGATCGCTTGAACCCAGGAGGCGGAGGTTGCAGTGAGCCCAGACTGCGCCACTGCACTCCAGCCTGGGCAACAGAGGGAGATCCTGTCTCAAAAAAAAAAAAAAAAAAAAAAGTGTATGTTTTTTTATTTCTTTGATCAAACAATGACTGTTATACAACATATCCTGTCATATATCTCATGGTTCATTTGCAAGGAAAGTCAGGGATAGGTTTAATGTACAACCACAGAAATTATATTGGTGTTTGATGTGTTTATATTGCTCTTCTTTTCCATAGGTTTTAGTTTCCCATTGTATGCGTGCACAAATTGAGAAAAGGAGTAGCCACTGGAAAATCAAGGATATAATTACTTTTAAAATATTTTACTTCAATCTAGGTAACCGAGGTGATCTCTTTCTTCAATTTTTTTTCTTTTTTAAGACGGAGTTTTGTTCCTGTTGCCCAGGCTGGCATGCAATGGCCAGATCTTGGCTCACTGCAAGCTCTGCTTCCCTGGTTCAAGTGATTCTCCTGCCTCAGCCTCCCAAGTAGCTGGTATTACAGGAGCCTGCCACCATACCGGCTACTTTTTGTATTTTTAGTAGAGACGGGGTTTCAGCACATTGGCCAGGCTGGTCTTGAACTCCTGACATTAGGTGATCTGCCCGCCCTGGCCTCCCAAAGTCCTGGGATTACAGGCATGAGCCACTGCCCCCAGCCTGTTGCTCAGATTTTATGAAAGAGAATTAATAGACAATGAACCTAAAATAACCCATTATTCTACTTATATTTGCATATTTCTGATGTCTTCTATAATAAAACTTGAGTAGATAAAAGTTACAGAGCTAGAGATGTGAGTGCTGTTTTTTAAAAAATTGTATCTATTTCATTGGCATGGAATCTAACTTATTCTCTGAGATTGAAACAGTTAACTCGTGATGGGCTCATGATGCATCTAGTTCTGCGTGTATTTTCTGGTTATTGTTAGTAGACTGTTGGAAGTGGACCTAGATTTGCTCAGGATATGAAGCAGGCATGATTCATCTAGCGATTTTGTAAGGGTTGTCTGCCCTAATTCCGGGAGAGTTGCTGTTGTTTGCCTGCTCCATTAAAGAGGAAAGCAGACATGAAGTGGATTGTGTGACACCATGATTACTGGTGTTAGATATGGAGTTGAAACTACAGTGTCAACTCAAGGTCATCCAAGCAACAGTGGTGGGAAATGGGATTTGGAAATACCAGGAAGCAAAGTCCTTGCCTAAAGTTAGTTTAAACCTGTCTTTTTCTAGGTACATGCCTTTTTGGGGGATTTTGTTGTGTTTTCTGAATGAGTTTGATTTGCCACACATTCTTGTGGGAAGTCCAATATTGTCTTTAAGTTTTTTTGTTTTTTTTTTTTGTTTTTTTTTTTGAGATTGAATCTTGCTCTTGTCACCCAGCCTGGAGTGCAATGGTGTGATCTCGGCTCACTGCTCCGCCCCCTGGGTTCAAGCAAGTCTCTTACCTCAGCCTCCTGAGTAGCTGGGATTACAGGTACCCACCACCATGCCTGGCTAATTTTTGTATGTTTAGTAGAGACAGTGGTTCGCCATGTTGGCCAGGCAGGTCTCGAACTTCTGACCGCAGGTGATCTGCCCACCTCGGACTCCCAAAGCGCTGGGATTACAGGCATGAGCCACCGTGCCCGGCCATTACTTTATAAATGTTTCCTGGCTGCTGAAGAAGAGTTACCATTCCAGGCCTATCTTTAAGGTGGCCAGGAGGAACCAGTGAACTGAAGGTGAAGTAGGGTGTCAGGAAGATTGGTGCTGTAAGGTGATATATTCAATGATAAAGTGTCAAAAAGTAGGGACAGATCATGGTTTTGGTGACAATGATTAATTTATTGCAATTTGAATTGATGTTTGGATTTGTCATCCATCATGAACATTGATTTAGAAATCAATATCGAGATTATCATTCATGACCGGGTGCGGTGGCTCATGCCTGTAATCTCAGCACTTTGGGAGGCCGGGTGTGAGGATCACTTCAGCACAGCAGTTCGAGACCAGCCTGGGCAACGTAGCAAAACCTTCTCTCTACTGAAAATACAGAAAGTTAGCCAGGTGTGATGATGCACCCTTGTAGTCCGCTACCTGGGAGACTGAGCTGGGGGGATCGGATCACCTGAGCCCAGGAGGTTGAGGCTGCAGTGAGCTGTCATAGCACCATTGCACTCTAGCTCGGGCAACAGAGCAGGACCTTATCTAAAAAACAAACAAACAAACAAAAAACCCAAACAAACAAACATTCTGTAGTAGTGATTGGGGTCTGGGAGTTCTTTAAGGTGCTAATCAGTTGACTTAATGCAGAAGAGATGAGAGAAAAAACAAATTCCTGAAATACTAATACTTACACTAAAACAAAGTATTGGCTGCTTGATCATATAAAAAAAAAATAGCCGGGTGCGGTGGCTCACGCCTGTAATCTCAGCACTTTGGGAGGCTGAGGCGGGCAGATCACGAGGTCAAGAGATCGAGACAATCCTGGCCAACATGGTGAAACCCCGTCTCTACTAAAAATACAAAAATTAGCTGGGCGTGGTGGCATGCGCCTGTAATCCCAGCTACTTGGGAGGCTGAGGCAGGAGAGTCACTTGAACCCGGGAGGCGAAGGTTGCAGTGAGCCGAGATAGCGCCACTGTACTCCAGCCTGGCTACAGAGCAAGACTCCCTCTCAAAAAACAAAAAACAAAAACAAAAAAAACTAAAGACCGGGTGTGGTGGCTCACACCTGTAATCACAGCACTTTGGGAGGCCGAGGCAGGCGGATCACAAGGTAAGGAGTTCGAGACCAGCCTGACCAACATGGTGAAACTCTGTCTCTACTAAAAATACAAAAAATTAGCCGGGCACGGTGGCAGGCGCCTGTAATTCCAGGTACTTGGGAGGCTGAGGCAGGAGAATCGCTTGAACTCGGAGGGCGGAGGTTATAGTGAGCCGAGATCACACCACTGCACTCCAGCCTGGGCAACAGAGTGAGACTTCATCTCAAAACAAAAATAAAAGAAATAAAAATAAGAAAACTAATGCATTTAAGACATTTATATAAAAGTTACTTTAAGGTATTATATGTGAATCCTTGCCTCATGGATTGTCCATTTTTACTGGAAAGAGCTTTAGTACAGAAACAGTGACTAAATTAGTGCTTCACCTGTGATAGGATGAAAGAGATAACATCTATTAGCTTCCTTTAATGGAAGAAAATCTTCTCCCACTGCATTAGAAATGTTCTGGAATAGAGCTGCAACAACATACCAGAAAGTCTTGGCCAATAGACTAAACATTCTGTTTTATAATTTTAAAAAATATGATAAAGAGCAATGGGATTTTGGTGTAGTAATACTATTCATTGCAAAAAAAAAAACAGTGTAAATTTGGCAAGGCAGTTAAGCAAAATATGAACAGAAGAGTGCATGCTAGTTATATTAGTAAGTGAGCAGATTTCACAAATAATAGGAACACATCTCATGGGAACTAGACTATTTCTCAGATTTTGGCAATAATCTAAAAAGTGGTACCTTTAAACATTTTCTTTAACTCACACTATTTATATTGCCTAAGTCGACTTAAGCTAATGCTTCTACTGTTATAATTTCATTTTAAAGAATTATGTGATTTGGATGCTAAAAATAGCAACAAAATAGTAATAGTTCCTTCTGACCATAATGAGAATTGTTCATAATTTATATTAATATCCTTAAGTTATTCTTTGTTCCAAGATAAAGATATATTCCTTTCAAGCTAAATGGTTACTTCAGGAGTCACTTTTTAAGATAGCTAATTTATATCTTGAGATTACTTTGACTGTGCAGGTATTCTAGTATAAAATATTTAGTCACTGGGAAATTAGAAGTCAGAAGAAATTGTTTTCTTCTTTCATATCCCATATTCTCTGGACAGTTTCCCACTCAGATGAAATATTTCAAAAGCATGAGAGAAAATAAGAACTTTCTCTATAAATTATTTTTATTTTTTATTTTATGTTTTATATATATACATACATACATATATATATATATATATATATATATATATATATATATTTTTTTTTTTTTTTTTTTTTTTTTTTTTTTTTGAGACAGAGTGTCTCTTTGTCACCCAGGCTGGAGTGCAATGGTGGTGCAATCTCTGCTCACCACAATCTCTGTCTCCCGGGATCAAGCGATTCTTCTGCCTCAGCCTCCCATGTAGCTGGGACTACAGGCGCACACCACCACACCTGGCTAATTGTGTATTTATAGTAGACAGGTTTCACCATATCGGGCCAGGCTGGTCTCGAACTCCTGACCTTGCGATGTACCCGCCTTGGCCTCCCAAAGTGCTGGGATTACAGGTGTGAGCCACCACGCCTGGGCTATTTATTTATTTTTGATACAGAGTCTTATCTGTCGTCCAGGCTAGAGTGCAGTGACATGATCCTGACTCACTGCAGCCTCAACCTCCCAGGCTCAAGTGATCCTCCCACCTCAGCCTCCTGAGTAGCTGGGACTACAGGTGTGTGTCACCATGCCCAGCTCATTTTTGTATTTTTTTGTATGGATGGGGTTTCACCATTTGCCCAGACTGGTCTCGAACTCCTGGGCTCAAGTGATCCACCTGCCTCGGCCTCCAAATTGCTGGCATGAGCCACTGCACCTGGCCCAGGGAATGTTTTTAAACACAGTTTGAAACTTTGTCTTTTCATGGTGTGGATGAAGCCTAGCAACAGAGGAGAGAAGATAAGCAATTGACTTCACAATCAGTAGGAATCAGACTGCGTAAGCTTTTCATATTCACTTTGCAAATATCTAGTATTTTTCTAGACACTTTGGTTGCTACATCATCGTGGTTTTCTAGACTCTTAATATCTCCATAAATTTTTTTTTTTTTTTTTGAGACGGAGTCTTGCTCTGTCACCCAGTCTGGAGGGCAGTGGCACAACCTTGGCTCACTGCAACCTCCGCCTCTCAGGTTCAAGCGATTCTTCTGCCTCAGCCTCCCAAGTAGCTGGGACTACAGTCATGCGCCACCATGCCTGGCTAATTTTTTTTGTATTTTTACTAGAGATAAGGTTTGACCATATTGGCCAGGCTAGTCTCAAACTCCTGACCTCATGATCTGCCAGCCTCGGCCTCCCAAAGCGCTGGGATTACTGGCGTGAACCACCACGCCTGGCAATATCTCCATAAATTTACTTGAACTGCTATTCTGTATCTTTTGCTACTATAATGTGCCACATTTTTGTGACTTATCAGGGCACTTAGGTTATCATGGTCATCTCTAGCTCTGAGCTCCTCTCCTTTTTTTTTTGTTGAGTTATTTTAGGATTGAGACTGTCCATTTTTATATTTTTCCCTCTTCTGCATCATGTCCAGCAAGATAGGAAATGCATTCATTTTTTTTTGTAAGCTCCACCAAAAAGATCACTCCCAGAAGTTACCATGTGTAGAAGCCTTTACTAAAGATTTTGGTGACAGCAAAGAGACTTATTCATGGAAATACAAATAACTTTAAATGGAATGTTAAGAACACCTGACCCCAAGATCCTTTGACACTTTCTAAATCTGGGCTTTGGCCTCAAGCAATAGAGCCCGTCCTCTCCACTCCCTTCAGTCTCATCTTCTCAGGCCCAAATGCTCTTTCTTTCCAGCAGAGAGCTGTTGAACTACCTTTTCTCGTTGCATTGGCCTGAGCCCTCGCTTCCCCACTAGTAACTTAGCAAGAGAATTTCCTAAACAAAGACAGTTCCTTCCGTAAAACCACTCATCCTCCTATATTAACAGTAGTGGATGCCAAGATGACATTCCATGCCCCCCGATTTATTTTTCTTTCTTCAACGTTCAGTGCAGAACTTCCAGTACAATGTTGAAAAGAAATTGTGAAATCAATATCTTATCTTTTTTTCTGACAATCAAGAAGTGTCCAGTATTTCACCATGATGTTAGCTATAGTTTTTGTGGGTTTTTTGTTTGTTTAAAACTTATATTAAGGAAGAACCAATTCATTCCTAATTTGCTAAATTGTTTTTATCACGAATGGGTCTAGAATTTTATTTTATTTTATTTTATTTTTATTTTTTGAGACGGAGTCTTGCTTGGTTGCTAGGCTGGAGTCAGTGGCGCGATCTCAGCTCACTGCAACCTCCACCTCCCAGGTTCCAGCGATTCTCCTGCCTCAGCCTCCTGAGTAGCTGGGTCTGCAGGCATGCACCACCATGCCCAGCTAATTTTTGTATTTTTAGTAGAGACGGGGTTTCACCATGTTGGCCAGGATGGTTTCGATCTCTTGACCTCGTGATCCGCCCACCTCAGGTGTAGAATTTTAGTAAATGTTTTTCTGAAATCACTACGAAGATCTGATTGTCATTCCTCTTTACTTGTTGTTTTGTTAAATAACTGTAATCTTTTTTTTAATGGTACAGGTATCCTTAGGGTATATCATACCTCTGCATGATTTATTACTTTTTAAAATATGGTGATAAATTAAGTTTTCCATATTTCACAGGGTTTTTGAATATATGTTAATAAGTGAGATTAAACTATAATTTTTCTTGTTTACGTTGTCCTTTATCAACTTTGGTATTAGAGCTGTTTGTCTTTTCCTTTTTTCTTTTTCTTTCTTCTTTTTTTTTTTTTTTGAGAAGGAGTCTCCCACTGTCGCCCAGGCTGGAGTGCAGTGGCGTGATCTCGGCTCACTGCAAGCTCTGCCTCTCGGGTTCACGCCATTCTCCTGCCTCAGCCTCCCGAGTAGTTGGGACTACAGGTGCCCGCCACCACGCCCGGCTAATTTTGTTTTTGTATTTTTAGTAGAGACGGGGTTTCACCATGTTAGCCAGGATGGTCTCAATCTCCTAACCCCGTGATCTGCCTGCCTCGGCCTCCCAAAAGTGCTGGGATTACAGGCATGAGCCACCATGCCTGGCCTCCTTTTTTCTTTTCTTTTCTTTTCTTTTTTCTTTTTTTTGAGACAGAGTCCTGCTCTGTCACCCAGGCTGGAGTGCAGTGATGCGATCTCGGCTCACTGCAACATCAGCCTCCCGGGTTCAAGCGATTCTCCTGCCTCAGCCTCCTGAGTAGCTGGGACTACAGGCGCCCGCCACTACACCCGGCTAGTTTTTGTATTTTTAGTAGAGATGAGGTTTCACCATATTGGCCAGGCTCATCTCGAATTCCTGACCTTGTGATCCACCTGCCTTGGCCTCCCAAAGTGCTGGGATTACAGACATGAGCCACCACGCCCGGCCATCTTTTCCTTTTTTTGACAGGGTTTCGCCCTATCATTCAGGCTGGTGTGTAATGGTGGGATCATAGCTAACTCCAGCCTTGAACTTCTGGCCTCAAGCAATCCTCCTGCCTCAGCTTCCCAAGTAGCTGGGATTACCAGCATGAGCCACTGAGCCTGGCCTTTTTTTTTTTTTTAATTTAGTAAAAACTCACTATAAAGTTGGCTTTGATGCCCTTTTTGGGTGGATAGATTTATGTTTACTGATTACATTCCCTCCCTCCCTCTGTCCCTCTCTCCCTTTTCTTTCTTTCTCTTTCTTTCTTTTTCTTTCTTTCTCTTTCTTTCTTTCTCTTTCTTTCTTTCTTTCTCTCTCTCTCTCTTTCTCTCTCTCTTTCTCTCTCTCTCTCTCTCTCACTCTTTCTTTCTTTTTCTTTTTTGAGATGGAGTCTCGCTCTGTTGCCCAGGCTGGAGTGCAGTATCACCATCTCAGTTCACCGGCACCTCTGCCTCCCAAGTTCAAGCAATTCTCCTGCCTCAGCCTCCGGAATAGCTGGGATTACAGGCACGCACCACCATGCCTGGCTAATTTTTGTGTTTTTAGTAGAGACAGGGTTTCACCATATCTCTCACTTTAAGTCAAAAGCTAGAAATGATTGAGTTTAGTGATGAAGGCACATTAAAAACAGAGATAGTATAAAAGCTAGGTCTCTTGTATCAAATAGCCAAGTTGGGAATGCAAAGGAAAGGTCTGGAAGGAAATTAAAAATGCTACTCTAGTGAACACATGAATGATAAGAAAGCCAAACAGCTTTATTGCTGATATGGAGAAAGTTGCAGTGGTCTGGATAGTAGATCAAACCAGCCACAATAACTCCTTAAGCCAAAACCTAAACTAGAGCACAGCTCTAACTCTCTTCAAGTCTGTGATGGCCCAGAGAGGTGAGGAAGCTGCAGAAGAAAGTTTGAAGCTAGCAGAGACTGGTTCATGAGGTTTAAGGAAGGAAGCTGTCTCCGTAACATAGAAGTGCAAAGTGAAGCAGCAAGTGCTGATGGAGAAGCTGCAGCAAGTTATCAAAAAATCTAGCTAAGATCAGTGATGAAAGTGGCTGCACTAAACAAACAGATTTTCAACATAGATCAAACAGCCTTCTATTGGAAAACGATGCCATGTAGAACTTTCCTAACTAGAGAAGAGAAGTCAATTCCTGGCTTCAAAGGACAGGCTTTTTTGTTAGAGGCTAATGGAGCATTTAAGTTGAACCTCATTCTCATTTACCAATCTAAGAATCCTAGGGCCCTTAAGAATTATGCTAAACCTATTCTGCCTTTGCTGCATAAATGGTATAACAAAACCTGGATGATAGCACATTTGTTTACAGCATGATTTACTGAACATTTTAAGTCCACTGTTGAGAACTACTACTCAGAAAAAAAGATTCCTTTCAAAATATCACTGCTCACTGGCAACACACCTTGTCACCCAAGAGCTCTGATGGTGATGTACAAGGAGATTAATATTGTTTTCATACCTGCTAATACAATATCAATTCTGCAGCCTATGGATCAAGGAGTAATTTTTTTTTTTTTTTTTTTAGACAGAGTCTCCCTCTTTTGCCCAGGCTGGACTGCAGTGGTGCTATCTCGGCTCAGTGCAAGCTCCGCCTCCCGGGTTCACTCCATTCTCCTGCCTCAGCCTCCCCAGTAGCTGGGACTACAGGCACCCATCACCGCGCCCAGCTAATTTTTTGTATTTTTAGTAGAGACAGGGTTTCACCGTGTTAGCCAGGATGGTCTCAATCTCCTGACCTCGTGATCCACCCCCCTCGGCCTCCCACAATGCTGGGATTACAGGCGTGAGCCGCCACACCAGGTCGATCAAGGAGTAATTTTGACTTTCAAGTCTTATTATTTAAGAAATACATTTTATAACGCTATAGCTGCCATAGATAGAGATTCCTCTTATGGATCTGGGCAAAGTAAATTGAAAACCTTCTGGAAAAGATTTACCATTCTAGATGCCATTAAGAACATTTGCAATTCATAGGAGAAGCTTAAAATGGCAACATGAATAGGAGTTTGGAAGAAGTTGATTCCAGCCTTCTAGGATGGCTTTGAGGGGTTAAGATTTCAATGGAGGGGCCAGGCGGTGGCTCATGCCTATAATCCCAGCACTTTGGGAGGCCAAGGCCGGTGGATCACAAGGTCAGGAGACCAGCCTGGCCAACATGATGAAATCCTGTCTCTACAAAAAATACAAATATTAGCTGGATGTGGCAGCGGGCACCTGTAATCCCAGCTACTCAGGAGGCTGAGGCAGGAGAATCGTTTGAACCTAGGAGGCAGAGGTTGCAGTGAGTCGAGATTGCGCCATTGTACTCCAGCCTGGGTGCCAGGGCGAGACTCCGTCTCAAAAAGAAAAAAAAAAAAGATTTCAATGGAGGAACCTACTACAGATTGGATAGAACTAGCAAGAGAACTAGAATTAGAACTGGAGCCTGAAGATGTGTCTCAATTGCTGCAATCCCATGATTAACCGTGAATGAATGAGGACTTGCTTGTAGATGAGCAAAGAAAGTGGTTGCTTGAAAGAGAATCTACTCCTGGTGAAGGTGCCGTGAACATTGTTGAAATGACAAAACAAGCTATTTAGAGTAGTACATAAACTGCGTTGATAAACAGCTGTGGGATTTGAGAGGATTGACTCTAATTTTGAAAGAAGTTCTACTGTGAGTAAAATGTTCACATGCTAGAGAGAAATCTTTGTGAAAGGACGGGTCAATCAATATGGCAAACTTTATTGTCTTTTCTTTTTCTTTGAGACAGTCTCTCCCTGTTGTCCAGGCTGGAGTGCAGTGGTGTGATCTTGGCTCACTACAACCTCCACCTCCCGGGTTCAAGCAATTCTCTGCCTCAGCCTCCTGAGTAGAGACGGGGTTTCGCCCTGTTGGTCAGGCTGGTCTTGAACTCCTGACCTCGTGATCCACCCGTCTTGGCCTCCCAAAGTGCTGGGATTACAGGCATGAGCCACCTCGCCTGGCCTATTGTCTTATTTTAAGAAATTGCCATAGCCACCTCGACCTTCAGCAATCACTACCCTGATCAGTCAGCAGCCATCCACATGGAGGCCAGACCTTCCACCAGCAAAAAGAATATGACTTGCTGAAGGCTCAGATGATCATTAGCAGTTTGTAGCAATAAAATATTTTAAAATTAAGGTATGTACATTTGTTTTAGGCATAATGCAATTGCACACTTAATAGTTATAGAGTAAACATAACATTTATATGCATTGGGAAACCAAAAAACTGGGACTCACTTTATTGCAGTATTTGCTTTATTGTGGTGGTCTGGAACTAAACCTGTAATTTCTCTGAGGTATGCAGTATTTTCTCATGATTAAACACGATACATATAGATACATATAAACCCGTGCCTTTTCTTTTTTTTCCGGTATCAGTGTTGTCCCAGTCTTTCTAGGTTGGTTGTCTCTGTAATGTCTTTGTTTTCTGCTTCATTAATTTCCTTTTTTTCCCCATATAAGTAACCAGTTGTTCCCACATCATTTGTTGTAAAAACTTTTCTTTCCCTGTTCAATTGTTTTGATGCCTCAGTTGAAAATCAAATGACTGTATAAGTGTGAGTCTTTTTCTGGGTTTGTGATTCTATTTCATTGATCTCGTTATGTGTATTTACATTAATACTGCACTGTTTTGATTACCATAGCTTTAGAGTAAGTTTTGGTATCAGGAAGTGTAAGCCCTACCCTTATATTTAACATTCATATTTTACTAACAGTCTGAAATTGAACTTTAAATCACCTCTGTCCTCCTCCTCCTGAACTATACAAAGCCTGTTAGAAAGTTTTAATTTCAATCTTGTCTGTCAATATTTGGTGTTATGTAGTTTCCCCTTGTTTTTTACCCCCTGAGTAATTTTTATTATTGCTTTTGGTTTTATTGTCAATGCTTATTTACATTTCTCAAGGCAGAGCAATTGCTTTGTTTACTCTTGTTAGGCAAGCATCTTTTTTTGTTGTTAAAAATTGGTGAATGGAGGCCGGGCTTGGTGGCTCACACCTGTAATCCCAGCACTTTGGGAGGCCAAGGAGGGAGGATCACCTGAGGTCAGACCAGCGTGACCAACATGGTGAAACCCCGTCTCTACTAAAAATGCAAAAATCAGCCGGGTATGGTGGTGCAAGCCTGTAATTCCAGCTACTCGGGAGGCTGAGGCAGGAGAATCGCTTGAACCCTGGAGGTGGAAGTTGCAGGGAGCCAAGATTGTGCCACTACAATCCAGCCTGGGCAACAAGACTGAAACTCCATCTCAAAAAAAAAAAAAAAAAAAAAAAATTGGTGAATGGCAGTGTTTACATCTTTGTTAGTTTGAAATGTCTTTTTGTTGCCCTCATTCCTAGATGAAAGTTAAACTAGGTTTAGGGTTCTGTTATTTTCCCTGAGCACTGATTATATTATCATATCATTTTTTTTGTCTATACTGTTGTTAATGAGAAGTTTGCTGTTCTTATTATCACGTTTTTGTGTATGCGTGTTATTTCTATTATTCCCTCTGGTTGCGTCAATAATTTTGTTTTTTAAGTTTCACTGTGTTGTGTCTGGACTTATTTTTATTTATCTTGAAGACTTAATTATTATGTCTGTTGATTCATGTCTTTCATCAAGACTAAATTCTCAGGAATTTATAACTATATACTCATATTTATTTATACAAATGTGGAATCATAAAATTATATATAAAATATATCTATAAATAAATAAATGGGCTGGGTGTGGTAGCTCATGCCTGTAATCCCAGCACTTTGGGAGGCCAAGGCAGGTGGATCATGAGGTCAGGAGTTCGAGACCAGTCTGGCCAAGATGGTGAAACCACGTCTCTACTAAAAATACAAAAATTAGCCTGGCGGGATGACGGGCGCTTGTAATCCCAGCTACTCAAGAAGCTGAGGCAGAGAATTGCCTGAATCCAGGAGGCAGAGGTTGCAGTGAGCTGAGATCACACCACTGCCCTCCAGCCTGGGAGACAGACCAAGACTCTGTCAAAAAAAAAAAAAAATAATAATAATAATAAATGTACCCTTTATTCATATAAACTGCTTCTCCCCCTATTTTCCTATGCTTTCCTTCTGAAAAATTATGCAATGTATGATTGTCCTTCTCACTCTAGCCTTTAAATCTTTTCATTTCTCTTCCTATTTTTTTTTAGATGGAATTTCGCTCTTTCGCCCAGGTTGGAGTGCGGTGGCGCCATCTTGGCTCACTGCAACCTCCACCTTCCAGTGTCAAGCCATATTCCTGCCTCAGCCTCCCAAGTAGTTGGGATTACAGGTGCCTGCCACCACGCCCAGCTAATTTTTGTATTTTTAGGAGATATGGGGTTTCACTTTGTTGGCCAGGATGGTCTCGATCGCCTGACCTCGTGATCCACCTGCCTCGGCCTCCAAAAGTGCTGGGATTACAGGCGTGAGCCACCGCACCTGGCCTCTCTTCTGTATGTTTTAATCCTTATCTGTTTCATTCTGGGATATTTCCTTTGGTATTTCTTCTACTTTATAATTCCTGTCATTAGCTGTGGTCTACTCTGCTCCTTAACTGAATATAGTGTCAGTGGCCCACACATTTCCCTGGGACCTTTCAGTGTTTTCTGGCTGACGTGCAGCTGCCAGTATTCCACTTTTTTTTTCTTCCTGGAACAGCAAGCTGGAAGTGTTGGGAAATAAATACCCTTTCTATCAGCTCTCTAACAACGATTCTCAAGAGTTGCTGTATAAATACCCTACTCCCTTACCCCTGTGGGGATAATTCTCAGGCCTGCGTTTTGTACCACATCTTGATGGTGTTTCCCTGTCTCCAACTAGTGATCCACCCACCTCAGTCTCCTGAAGTGCTGGGATTGCAGGCATGAACCACTGCACCTGGTCTCCAATACTAAATGCTAGTAAGTAGTATTTTTCCTTATACTGGGGTATATGTCAAGCATGAGTTAATTTTTCCTTATACTGGGGTATATGTCAAGCTTGAGTTAATTTTTCCTCATGCTGGGGTATATGTCAAGCATGAGTTATAGAGGCTAACCAGGAGTGGTATGTTATTGCAGTATCTCTGCTCACTTCTGAATTTTCTGAGTTCTAACTAACCCACCATCTATTCCTTTTAGTTATAATCAAGAGCTCAAAGTTCAACTAGCCATTTCATAGAAAAGAAAAAGATTGAATAGTACATTCTTCTCTCAAATGATTTTAGTGATCTCAGTACAGAAATGAAAAATAGATGAGAATTCAAGTGAGGTGTATCTAGATTTGAATTCTAGTTTTGTCCCTCACTCTTCCATGAACTTGAGCAAGTTGCTTCACTTCTACAAGAAGTGGGCATGATAGATAATGCCTACCTTTTTGGGGGTAATGTATGCATTAAATGAAATTGCTAATATTGAGACAGCATAATTATCTGGCACATTATAAGCCTATAATAAATACTTTTCTTCCCTCATTTTACAACATATTTTCTAGTTTCCCTATGCATTTAAATTGTATTATAAAATTTGTCCAAAATGAGGGTTTTTTTCTGAATTTGTTTCAACCAAATGTTTAATAGGGACCTTTCATCTGTCAGCAGAGGCTACACACAAGTAAATAATACAGATTCTCAAGGAGCTCATAGACTGTGCCTGAAATTGATTTATGTCTCTATTTAATGTATTAACCTTCATAAATGAACTTGTGTTTCAAGTGAGTTTGTATTGATTTGCCCATACTGCTTCCCTTTGTCCTCCATGTGACCCAGGTCACAAGGGCTTCAGAGTGGACAGGGCTTAAGACAAAAGCAGTCTCACTATGGAAAGAGCAAGGCCAAATCCATGAGATTAGTATATTAGCAGGGCATACTAATTGGCCAAGCTAAGGTTTGAATTTACATGCTGTATTCTCACTTATGCCCAAAACATCAAAGCAAGCACTAAATATTTTTAAAAATTGAGGAGTATCAGAGGACAAAAATAACCCAGTACTTGGATAAAAAGCCACTTTTCATGGAAGGGAAAATGAGAAGCATATATAGAAGGGAGTTTAACCTTGTGATGGGTAAAAATGCCATGCATGTGACCAAAGACCTTTAAAATAGAGCCTTGTTGGAAATAGAGCCTTCAATGATAGAAGCTGATTAGGGAGGTTTTTTGTTTGTTTGTTTGAGATGGAGTTTCGCTTTTGTTGCCCAGGCTGGAGTGCAGTGGCGTGATCTCGGCTCACTGCACCCTCCGCCTCCCGGGTTCAAGTGGTTCTCCTGTCTCAGCCTCCTGAGTAGCTAATTTTTTGTATTTTTAGTGGAGATGGGGTTTCACCACGTTGGCCAGGCTGGTCTCGAACTCTTGACCTCAGATGATCCACCTGCCTTGGCCCCCCAAAGTGCTGGGATTACAGGCATGAGCCACTGTGCCCGGCCTGATTGGGAAGTTATTGTTTAATGGGTATAGAGTTTCAGTTTGAGATGATGAAAAAGTTCTGGAAATGGATAGCAGTGATGGTTGCACAACAATGTGAATGTACTTAATGCCACTGCATTATACACTTAAAAATGGTTAAAATGGCAATGTTTACATTATATCTGGTTTATAATTAAAAAATAAAAAGCACAATGTAGATACAGCAAAGAAATAGTGGAACCTGGCTGATTGAATGTAGGGGTTCTCTAGGAAACTACCTCACTTCCTTATTTCTGTGGCTAAAATGGTAAGGCACTGTGCTTTTTTTTTTTTTTTTTTTTTGACTTGTCAACCTACATGTGAATGTGTATTTATGCTTCCTGTGACCCGCTCCACTTAGAGAAGTCAGAAGCTTTGTATATAAAGTATTATTATGTAGAGATGATAATAATGTGTTTTCTGACTCAAAGCCTTTCTCTGATAATCATCTAGCACTTATTTCTCAAGGTGCTTTTACATCTATTTTCCCTGTTGAGCTACAGAGCCCGGGAGGCATTACCATTGTTTCATGGATTTGAGGAAATGTAAACGCAGAGAGGTTGGTGCCTCAACACAAGTCTTAGTACAAGCAGGACTGGAACTTGTGACTTCTGGGTCCTGAGTTAACATTCTTTTTTTGTTTGTTTGTTTTTTGAGACCGAGTCTCACTCTTGTCACCCAGGCTGGAGCACAATGGCACGATCTTCTCTCGCTGCAATCTCCGCCTCCCGGGTTCAAGCAATTCTTCTGCCTCAGCCTCCCAAGTAGCTGGGATTATAGGCACTCACCACCTGTGAGTGCTTGGCTAACTTTTGTTTTTTGTTTTTTTTGAGACGGAGTCTCGCTCTGTCGCCCAGGCTGGAGTGTGGTGGCGCCATCTCGGCTCACTGCAAGCTCCGCCTCCCGGGTTCACGCCATTCTCCTGCCTCAGCCTCCTGAGTAGCTGGGAGTACAGGCGCCCGCCACCACGCCCGGCTAATTTTTTTAAAAATGTTTTAGTAGAGACGGGGTTTCACCGTGTTAGCCGGGATGGTCTCGATCTCCTGACCTCGTAATCCGCCCGCCTCGGTCTCCCCAAGTGCTGGGACTACAGGCG
Source organism: Homo sapiens (assembly GCF_000001405.40). NCBI lineage: Eukaryota > Metazoa > Chordata > Mammalia > Primates > Hominidae > Homo > Homo sapiens. The sequence goes on from NC_000006.12 coordinate 21,649,510, forward strand.
TGAGCCACTGCGCCCGGCCTAACTTTTGTATTTTTAGTAGAGACAGGGTTTCACCATGTTGACCAGGCTGGCCTCAAACTCCTGACCTCAAGTGATCTACCCGCCTCAGCCTCCCAAAGTGCTGGGATTACAGGCGTGAGCCACCGCGCCGGCCTACACTCTTTACACCATATAATGTTTGAACTTTCATGACTGGTCTTGACACTAAAACTTTTGTGTAAAGAGGAAAAAAACGATCAATCACATGAATGTAAGAAGGAATAATAAGGTATGACCACCACCAAGATAACTGAAATTTTGACTTGCTGTCCAAATGTTTTGGCATTAGGTAGCCATAGCGTGAACATAAAAAGAATTGAACACAAATGTTAAATTGAAATAATTCTAAACCAGGCCATGCTTGTCATTCCAGCTAGCAAATACAAAAGGTCAATTTGAAAAGCTAGGCATCACTGGGTTAATCAGTCATAAAACACCTTTCCCTAAGCTTATCAGCTTATCAGGGCATTCAATTTCCCTATTTGTAAAAAGAGACTGAAAATTATTTGTGCCCTGATTCATGTGCTACATTTTACATAAATGTAAAAGATAAAACTGAATTTTTGAGATAACTGTTCTATAGGAACTAAGGGTAGGAAAACTAAATTAATGAAAGAAGAGATGAGATTAGCATACACAATGTTTACCTTCTCACCTTGAATAGATGCCAGAGAAGAGCAGCAAATCTGACTTTATGCTTCTGAGGAGTAAAGCAAAGAGGGAACCTGATTAATTGCAAGATTTATCCATAAGATTAAAGCCAAACTATAGGTGAAACACTTTTTGATCCTAAAACCTGTGAAATATTTATCCTATGGATTCTCATAAAGAGGACATGGTACGAGAGAGTGAAAAATGTCCTTGGCAACATCGCTACAATAGACACAAAAAGAGCTTTCATGTCTCTGGTTCTTTGATATCGTTTAGTAAAGGCCAATGGTGTAATACCAAGGCACATTCTACAAGGGGTCAGTGAGGATCTGTGTTCTGAAGTTCTAATTTCATGTGTAGCGAAAATAATGGGAATATAATATAATTTGAGCTCAAACTCAATTTCAAAACATAGCTAAAATGCTAAGTTTTTATAGTAAAGTTTATCAAATTCCGTGTATGCAGACTATATAAATAACGGTGTATGGAGACACAGCAGGGGGTGGGAGAAGAGCAGTTACCTTACCATGGTCTTACCTTGAAAGCATAACCCGATGGGTCCGATGTTCTTCCGAGCACGTTTCCCTGAGGCAGATACAGTTTAGGGAAAAAGAGTATAATGGGTTGGATGGCAATAGAATTTGTTGGATAAGTAAGCAGGTGAACTATGAAGGTAATTAGATAATGGATTGATATCAAAGTAGAGGGAAATTTTTAACGTCCTTCCTCAGGGCTCTCACCAGAACTTATTAATCCCTTTATGAAATCAATGACTTGGCTAAAGATATGGAATTTGTGATTGGCAGATTTATCATATTAGATCTAAGTGCCAGAACAAACAAACAGATTCTCAGCAGATTAGAGTGATGAGATAATGCTATCAAGATCAACATCAACAAGGATGAAAAGAAGGCCACATATTTTTGACCTGGTAGAAGGGGAAACACTGTCTTGGTATTGTTCCCCAGTCTTTTCATGTCATTCTTCAAATTAAACAAACATTGCATTGAAGGCCTGTTGTGTGCCAGGCACTATGCTAGGTAGCAGAAATACAACGATAAATAAGGCACACACCCTAGTATGGAAGACATATATAGAAAACGCCAGACTGTGTGTATTAGTTCGCTCTTGCGTTGCTATAAATAAGTACCTGAGACTGCGTAATTATGAAGAAAAAAGGTTTAATTGGCTCACGGTTCCTCAGGCTGTACAGGAAGCATGATGCTGGCATCTGCTTGGCCTTTGGGGAGGTCTCAGGACAGTTACAATCATGGCAGAGGGTGAAGAGGAAGCAAGCACATCTTACATGGCCAGAGCAGGAGGGAGACGGGGGCAGGGGTGGTGAGGGGTGGTGGAGTGAGGGCTACGTACTTTTTTTTTTTTTTTTTGAGATGGAGTTTGCTCTTGTTGCCCAGGCTGGAGGGCAATGGTGCGATCTCAGCTCACTGCAACCTCTGCCTCCCTAATTCAAGGGATTCTCTTGCCTCAGCCTCCCGAGTAGCTGGGATTACAGGCATGCACCACCATGCCCGGTTAATTTTGTACTTTTAGTAGAGACGGGGTTTCTTCATGTTGATCAGGCTGGTCTCAAATTCCTGACCTCAGGTGATCCGCCCGCCTTGGCCTCCCAAAGTGCTGGGATTATAGGCCCAGCCTGGTGCTGCATACTTTTAAACTACCAGATCTCATGATAACTTACACTCACTATTATAAGAACGGCAGGAAGGGGATGGTGTAACCAATTCATGAGAACTCCACCCCAGTGATCCAATCACCCCCCACCAGGCCCCACCTCCAACCCTGGGAATTACAACCCCACATGAGATTTGGTGGGGACACAGATCCAAACCATATCGGTGTGTAAGTGTTGTAATGAAGACAAATTTGGTACAATAGTGGCATGGAGTGTGGGGAGAGTTCAGTTCCTTGGAAGTTGAAGATCAGGAAAGGCTCCAATGAGAAGGCAAGCCCAAGTTAAAAAATAGACCTTCACTAGGCCTGGGCCTTGGGGAGTGGAGGGGTAACAGACAGAACAACACAGGAGAGGTGTATTCAGGGAGCTACAAGTGATTTTGTTTGGATGGAGACGTTGATGTGTGGGGAGGGGAGATGGTAGGCAATGATGTAGTGAGGGTAGATAAGGCCATTAGAGAGGAAACTGTTTGGACTCTGGCAGTGGAGACAGCCATTGATTGATTTTTTTTTTCTTACATATAGGAATAATGTGATCAAAATGGCATTTTTATAAAGGTCACTCTGGAATAGTGCTTCAGATGGTTTGGACATGGCGCTAGGGTAATTATGGAGAAGGAAACCAATTTGGAGCCTGCATTAGTCTGCTTAGGCTGTGATAGCAAAATATTGCAGATACAGACTAGGGGGCTTAAACAACAGAACATTAATTTTCTCACAGCTGTGGATGTTCGAAGTCCCAGATCAAGGTCTGGCAAGGTCAGTTTGTGGTGAGGGCTCTCTTTCTGGCTTGCAGATGGTCACCTCCTCACGGTGTCCTCCCATGGCCTCTCGTCTGTGCATGCACATGGAGAAAGACAGAGGACATGAGAGAGAGAGAGATATTTCTGGTGTCCCTTCTTTTTTTTTTTTTTTTTTCAGACGGAATCTCGCTCTGTCGCCCAGGCTGGAGTGCAATGGCACGATCTCGGCTCACTGCAACCTCCGCCTCCTGGGTTCATGCCATTTTCCTGCCTCAGCCTCCCGAGTAGCTGGGACTACAGGCGCCCACCACTACGCCCGGCTAAGTTTTTGTATTTTTAGTAGAGACGGGGGTTTCACCGTGTTAGCCAGGATGGTCTCGAACTCCTGACCTCGTGATCCACCCGCCTCTGCCTCCCAAAGTGCTGGGATTACAGGCGTGAGCCACCACACCTGGCCTGTCCCTTCTTATAAGGACACTAATCCTAGGGGATCAGGGCCCCACCCTTATGACCCCATTCAACCTTAATTACTTTCTTAGAGTTCCTGTCTCCAAATATAGTCACACTGGGGGTTAGGGTTTTTTATGGTTAATATTAAGTGTCAACTTGACTGGATCTAAAGATGCCAAGTATTGTTCCTGGGTGTGTTTGTGGGGGTGTTACCAGGGGAGATTAACATTTGAGTCAGTGGACTGGGAGTGGAAGACCCACCCTCAGTGTGGGTGGGCACCATCCAATTGGCAGCCAGCACAACTAAAAAAGCAGACAGGAAAAGGTGGAATAAGCTGGCTTGCTGAGTCTTCCAGCTTTCATCTTTCTTCCACGCTGGATGCCTCCTGTCCTAGAATGTCAGACTCCAGGTTCTTTGGCCTTGGACTCTTGGACCTACATCAGTGGTTTGCCAGGAGCTCTCTGGTCTTCAGCCACAGACTGAAAGCTGCACTGTCGGCTTCCCTACTTTTGAGGCTTTGGGACTTGGATGGAGCCACTCCTGGCTTCCTTGCCCCTCAGCTTGCAGATGGCCTATCGTGGGACTCCTTCACTTTGTGATCATGTGAGTCAATTCTCCTTAATAAACACGCTTTTCATTCGGCTCCAATGAGTGGAGGAACACCAGGGTTCTTCGTCTTGAGTCGGATTAGATAAAACGACACGGACACACGTGGAGTGGTTTTAAGGAGCAGAGATTTTAATAGGCAAGAAGGAAAGGAGAAGATGGAAGAAGCTCCACCATACAGAGACAGAGGGAGGGGGGCTCCAAAGCTGAGAGAGGAGACCCTATGTGCCACAGATACCAGCTGGGTATATGAAGAGGCTGGAGGAGGCGGTGTTTGATTTGCATGGGGCTCAGGGGATTAGTTTGACCAGGTATGTCATTCACGTAGCCAGTGAAAAAAGGCCCTCCCACCCTATTCTTTTAATATGCAAATGCAGGGAGCCATGATATTCTGCACACGTGGGGAAACCTAGGGGTGGCCATGTTGCCAGGCACATGTCTGGGCAAGGGCAAGAAGGCTGCCAGAATCTCCATGTTTGGGTGGACCCAGTTTCTAATGGCCTATATTTGCATATCAAAGGCTGCCGGCCTGGCTTTAAGAGCCCGGACTTTCCAGCTAGACAAGAAACGTTTCTGGAGCTGCTTTAAAAACGAAAACTTTCCAAGGACCCCTTTTCCTCTCTATCAGCCTAAAATAATTTCTTAATAACTCCTACCACGCTTTCATATATACATCTATCCTATTAGTTCTGTCCCTCTGAAGAACCCTGACTAATACAGGCTTCAATATGTGAACTTGGGGGGTACACAAACATTCAGTCCAGAGACCATTACAATTGTTTAGGTAAAAGAGGATGAGGGCCTGAACTAAGTAGTAGTCAGAGGGTAGGTGGGGAAGGATGTCAGAGATGCTAAGGAAATGAAATGAAAGAGAGGATTCTTTGCTGATGTAGGCAATGGCCGGGGCAGGGAGGGGAGAGTGGAGAGCACAGGGCAGCTCCCACATTTTTTGTTCTCTTGTAGGTTAGATGGTAGTACTGCTAAGAAGAATAAAGATTGTGGGGGAGGGTTTCTGATCTTGAAGAAATGCTGGTCAGAAGAAGTGGCTCACGCCTGTAATCCCAGCACTTTGGGAGGCTGAGGCGGGTGGATCACTTGAGGTCAGGGGTTTGAGACCATTCTGGACAACATGGTGAAACCCCCATCTCTACTAAAAATACAAAAATTAGCGGGGCGTGGTGGCGCATAGCTGTAATCCCAGCTACCTGGGAGGCTGAGGCAACGAGAATCGCTTGAACCCAGGAGGCAGAGGTTGCAGTGAGCGGAGATCGCGCCATTGCACTCCAGCCTGGGCCTGGGTGACAGAGTGAGACTCTGTCTCAAAAAAAAAAAAAAAAAAGAAAGAAAGAAAAATTGCTGACAAGATCAGTTTAAGATATGTTAAGTGTGAGATATCTGTGAGACATGTGCTGAACATGGAGGAGGTAGTTGCAGTTATAGGTGTTTGTTTCAAGAAAGAATAACCTGGGCTGGAGGTACAGAGACCGGAGTCATCAGCACTCAGTGCCCCATTGGATGCAATCGGCTTGGATAGACAGTGAAGAATAAGAAGAGAAAAGGACCAAGGATTGTTCTTGGAGGGAAACTGTACATTGAGACACCAAAAACTCTTGCTAATTGTCTTATTACTTCATTCTAAAGCTAGGAGAGGCCGGGTGTGGTGGCTCATGCCTATAATCCCAGCACTTTGGGAGGCCAAGGCAGGCAGATCACTTGAACTCCGGAGTTCAAGACCAGCCTGGCCAACATGGCGAAACCCCGTCTCTACTAAAAATATGAAAATTAGCAGGGCGTGGTGGTGCACGCTTGTAATCCCATCTACACGGGAGGCTGAGGCACGAGAATCACTTGAACCTGGGAGGCAGAGGTTGCAGTGGGCTGAGATCATGCCACTGTACTCCAGCCTGGGTGACAGAGCAAGACTACATCTCAACATAAATAAATAAAGGAATAAATCAATAAAGCAAGTTAGGAGAAAGACTATAGAAATACTTTTGGATTAATAATTTATATTTTTCCATATCAGGCTCTCACCCACATTCTTAACAATTTTGTCTGAGCACATACCCACTTTTATTGTTGACTCATAGTGATATTTTTTGCTAATAAATGAGAGAAGCCTCTGGAAGGTGCTGTAATAGGTAAAGGATTATACTTAGCTGCAAATTTAACCTCTGTAATTCCAGCTGCAGAATGTAGTCATTTATTACAGGGAAAAATTGCTGGCTATGAAGAAGACAAATGGTTGCCTCTTTGCCCTAGTTTAAATAGGATGATGGCCCTTGTGTATTCCCCTAAGATGAAGGTCTGACCACCTGTGAGCCAGGCTGGGAAGGTCTGTTATCAGAGTCCCTGCCTGTGTTCTGGATCCAGGTATCTGTTTCCAGCTTTTTTTCTGAGGGCTCAGCTTGCCAGCAAATAAAAAGCAAATATAACTAATAAAGAGAGAAAAAACTACTACAAAACTGAAGGAAACCTCGTATGACATTAACATAAACCAGAAGGAAAAGTAAATATCGAAACTGAGTATATAGAGCAGGCAATAACCCATGCAAATGTACAAGATTGCCTATTCCAAATAGGTAGAGAAAGTGTGATCAGTGTAATTGTTCATACACAGGGCAATATATTAGAAAGCATGGGATAGAAAGCAGGTGGCCGGAGGAAAAGCCACCTTGTTTATTCCTTATGCTTCTCAGTTGTGTCTATTGGTGATAGGCTTCCCAGATTGAGTAAGTCAAAGCTATAATAAAAATGCCTCTCTGAGAAGCTTTTATGCCTAGGATAACCTTGAGCTTTTTGTGTTTTGTTTTAGCCCAGAGGAGAAAGTCTAATAATACCTCTCTCCACAAAACAAAATATTCACCAGTTCTATTCTTGTTTAAGGCTGTTATCATCTCAAATAAGTATTTCCATAGGAAAAATAAAAAGTCATGGCAAAGTTACATGAATTTTGGAGCACAAATATAATGCAGAATCAAAAGAAAACAGGTAAGACTGTTTCCATTCAATTGTACTGCCTTTGGGGTAAAGATTTTATCTAAGTCAGATATAAGGGATAAGTGTTATGCAACAGAGAGCCAGGAGTGGAACCCCCAAATAATGCCATTTAGCATCATTAGAATAGGATCAGGATCTTTTTTTCTCCCAGGAAGTTAAAGGTATTTCTGCTGCATAATCATGTTAGCCTGAAGACTGCTTTATATCTACATAGGGTGATCATCCAAGAACATGAGTTTGAAATCAGAAGCTGTGATGTACTTTTTACTGAAAAAGGTACCACCCATTCATCTAACTAATGGCGAGGTTTCAGAGAAAGCACTATAATGGACAGAAAACTGATTCCACATGAAGTGTATATTATAACAGCACAAATGTTAGGACAGTTATCTGATAGGATCTGGGAGTGAAACAGCAGGACTGCAAAGGTGCTGGGGAGGAAAGGAAATAAACATCTGTAGGGAGAAATATTTCAATCTGTATTTAAAAGATATTGGCTGGGCGTGGTGGCTCATGCCTGTAATCCCAGCACTTTGGGAGGCCGAGTTGGGCACATCGCTAGAGCCCAGGGGTTCAAAACCACCCTGGGCAATATGGTGAAACCCTGTCTCTACAAAAACTACAAAAAAACCGGCTGGGCATGGTGGAGCTCACCTGTAGTCCCAGCTACTCAGGATGGGGAGGATTGCTTTAGTCCAGGAGGTCAAATCTGCAGTGAGCTAAGATCACACTACTGTACTCCAGCCTGGGCAACAGAACAAGACCCTGTCTCAAAAAAAAAAAAAAAAAAAAAAAAGAAAAAGAAAAAGAAAAAAAGTAGTGCTGCTGATTAGGGAATCTAGTTTCTGATGTAACTTATGTAGATCAGAGATCTCTTGAGAATTTGTGTAGCTTTTGTTTTCAACGCCCATCATCCTTAAGGAAGATCATTTACTGAAATTCCAGACCTTTATAGTTGAGAAGAAAAGCTGAGACTCAAAAGGAAATTTACCATCTACTATCTCACTGCTTTAACTTTCTTTCTAAACGATAGAACTCAATAAATGTCAGCTGTTTTTACTTGTCAGGTTTATGTGGTAAGCACTTTACATTTTGGATGACATTTTATCTTTACAGTCTTACAATGCAGGTAGTGATATTTGTTTTACACATGGTAACAGCGGTTCAAAAAGCTGAAGTAGGCCAGGTGAGGTAGCTCATGCCTGTAATCTCAACACTTTGGGAGACTTAGGCAGGCGGATCACTTGAGGCCAGGAGTTGGAGACCAGCCTGGCCAACATGGTGAAATCCTATCTCTATTATAAATACAAAAACAGGCCGGGAGCGGTGGCTCACGCCTGTAATCCCAGCACTTCGGGAGGCCAAGACGGGCGGATCACGAGGTCAGGAGATGGAGACCATCCTGGCTAACACGGTGAAATCCCGTCTCTACTAAAAATACAAAACATTAGCCGGGTGTGGTGCCGGGCGCCTGTAGTCCCAGCTAGTTGGGAGGCTGAGGCAGGAGAATGGCGTGAACCCGGGAGGCGGAGCTTGCAGTGAGCCGAGATCGCGCCACTGCACTCCAGCCTGGGCGACAGAGCGAGACTCCGTCCCTCCTCCCCAAAAAAACAAAAAAACTAAAACAAAACAAAAAAAATACAAAAAAAAAAAAAAAATCGCTGGGTGTGGTGGCACATGCCTTTCATCTCAGCTGCTTGGGAGGCTGAGGCATGAATGAGAATCGCTTGAACCCGGGAGGTGGAGGTTGCAGTGAGCCGAGATCGCACCACTGCACTCCAGCCTGGGCGACAGAGCAAGACTTTGTCTCAAAAAAGGAAAAAAAAAAAAAGTGAAGTAATCTGATCATGGCCACAAAGCAAGCCAGGTTGTGCACACCAAGCAGGTGATTGAAAAATTCATTCTTAATAAAAAATTCTGTCTCCTGAGAGGATAGAGATCTGCAATGTGACCACTGAGGAGGGACACTTAGTCTAACCTGGGGGGTTCTAGAAGGGCTTCCCTTAGGAGATGAGGGCTTAAAAGGATCTGAAAGGTGAATAAGAATTAGAAATAGGAGAAAGGTAGGATAAATGTCATCAGAGAGAATAATATGAGTAAAAGCACGTAGGCCTGCCACAGCGTTGCTACAAGCAGTTTAGCATTATCAGAGTGTAGCGTGAGTCAGAGATTGATGGAAATTAAAGATTGAGGGAGGGGTAAAGAGAGAGCCATAGCAGGAGGGCCTCGGTATGCTATGAAGCTTAGATTTTACCCTAAGAAATGAAAGTAATTAGAATAATATAGTAAAAACAACAAGTGTACAAGGAAAAACCAACAATCTGTAGGGCTTAGAAAAAAAAACAGGATTTTAGTCTTCTAGATACCTTTTGGGAAAGGAAAAAGATGGACTGTTCATTAATCTTTTTTTTTTAATTTTTTTTTTTTTGAGACGGAGTCTCGCTCTGTCGCCCAGGCTAGAGTGCCGTGGCGCGATCTTGGCTCACTGCAAACTCCGCCTCCCGGGTTCACACCATTCTCCTGCCTCAGCCTCCCGAGTAGCTGGGACTACAGGTGCCCGCCACCACGCCCGGCTAATTTTGTGTATTTTTAGTGGAGACGGGGTTTCACCATGTTAGCCAGGATGGTCTTGATCTCCTGACCTCGTGATCCGCCCACGTCGGCCTCCCAAAGTGCTGGGATTACAGGTGTTGAGCCACCGCGCCCGGCCCCTCATTTTTCTTAAAAATATTTTTGCAATAAAATGATCATTGCCTGGAACCAAGAAAATGAAAAACATTTTAGAACAGGCAGCTGTCCTCAGTAATGTTTCTGACTGCAGGAAAATTGTTAGGCAAGCCATGGAGTATTTGAAACTGAATGGTAGCTGTTATTATATGTAGCTCCTAGATTAAGCACTTTAGTTAAGTATCTCATTTAATCGTCATAACAACCCTATGCAGTAGGTAATTACTTCTCAGTTTCAGTAGGTAAATAAAACCAATGACTTGTCTAAAGAAATATAGTTTAAAACAAAGTAGGATAAAGAATTGCTGAGTTCCCAGTGTTAGTAAAATAAGTCCTGAAAACTGGTAAGCCAACCATAAAGATTGAGGAGAGTTGATTATCTCTGTGGACAGATACAAAAACGAAATATACCAAAGTCTGAAAAATCCTACCTTTCTTTCTTTCTTTTAAATTTTTTTTTTTTTTTTGAGATGGAGTCTCACTCTTGTCACCCAGGCTGGAGTGCACTGGCGTGGTCTCGGCTCACTGCAACCTCCGCCTCCTGGGTTCAAGCGATTCTCCTGCCTCAGCCTCCTGAATAGCTGGGACTACAGGTGCATGCCACCACACCCGGCTAATTTTGGTGTTTTTAGTAGAGACAGGGCTTCACTATGTTGGCCAGGCTCGTCTCAAACTCCTGACCTCATGATCCGCCTGCCTCGGTCTCCCAAAGTGCTGGGATTACAGGCATGAGCAACCGTGCCCGGCCTTTTTCTTTTTCTTCCTTCCTTCCTTTTTTTTTTTTTTTTTTTTTTTTGAGACACAGTTTCCTTCTGTTCTCCAGGCTGTAGTTAGTGCAGTGGTGTGATCTTGGCTCACTGCAAGCTCCACCTCCTGGGTTCAAGCAATTCTCATGCCTCAGCCTCCTTAGTAGCTGGGATTACAGGTGCGTGCCACCACACCCGGATAATTTTTGTTTGTTTGTTTGTTTATTTATTATTTATTTTGAGACAGAGTCTTGCTCTGTTGCCCAGGCGGGAGTGCAATGGCGCAATCTCCGCTTACTGCAACCTCCGCCTCCCAGGTTCAAGCTATTCTCCTGCCTCAGCCTCCTGAGTAGCTGGGATTACAGGCACACGATACGACGCCTGGCTAATTTGTTTGTTTGTTTGTTTGTTTATTTTCTTTTGAGACGGAGTCTCGCTCTGTCGCCCAGGCTGCAGTGCAGTGGCGTGATCTCGGCTCACTGCAAGCTCCACCTCCTGGGTTCACCCCATTCTCCTACCTCAGCCTCTCGAGTAGCTGGGACTACGGGCACCTGCCACCGCCTGGCTAATTTTTTGTATTTTTAGCAGAGACGGGGTTTCACCGTGTTAGCCAGGGTGGTCTCCATCTCCTGACCTCGTGATCCGCCTGTCTCAGCCTCCCAAAGTGCTGGGATTACAGGCGTGAGCCACCGCGCCCGGCCGACGCCTGGCTAATTTTTATATTTTTAGTAGAGATGGGGTTTCACCATGTTGGCCAGGCTGTTTTCAAACGCCCGCCTCAGCCTCCCAAAGTGCTGGGATTACAGGCGTAAGCCACTGCGCCAGGCCAACTTTTGTATTTTTAATAGAGGTGGGTTTTGTCATGTTGGCCAGGATGGTCTTCAACACTTTAGCTCAAGTGATCCGCCTCCTCAGCCTCCCAAAATGCTGGGATTACATGCATGAGCCACCACGCCCGACCTCACTCCTTTCTTATTAATTGGTTGGTGGTCTTTTTTAAAAAGATAAACTAATATTTCATAAAGAAAACAATTTACCCTGCACATTACCATTAAACTTGAAATCCTCCTAGACAATACTGTGGGAAGTTCATGTGGGCTTCTGAGTAAACTTTCCAAGATCTAAAACCCGTAAGGAAACCATACGTGTAACTTAGCAAAGATAAAAGACTGACAGTGTCCAAACAAGTAAGAATCAACCAGGTTAGACTATGATTACAAACAACCCTAAAATTTCAGTGGTTTGTTATAAGAAAATTTCTGTTCACACTAAATGACCACTGAGGGTTGCCTGGTGGGTACTCAGTTTGGTATCCAGGGTAAATCAGCATCCCTATCCAGCACGGTAGCAGATGGAAAAGGGGCATGTCAAAATCATACACCAAAATCTTAAAGCTTCCACCTGGAAGAGACAAACATAGTTTATGCTCGCATTTCATTGGCCAGAACAAATCATGTGGCCACATCTGACCCAGGGTAGGCAGGGAATTGCATTCTACCATGTAGCCAGAGAGTAAGAAAAATTTGCTGAATAGTACTAATGACTACTACGGTGATAACTTCAGAAAAGCAGAGGTGAAAGGAACCTAAGAAAGAAAATTCTGGAGCTAGGAACAGCATTAGGCGCCTATAATTATGTGAACAGTTGATGACCTATTCATAATGGTGGCTAAGAGGATATTTAATATATCATTTCACACATATGAAAAAATGTTGTGGCTGGGTGTGGTGGCTCACGCCTGTAATCACACCGCTTTGGGAGGCCGAGGCGGGTGGATCACCTGAGGTCAGGAGTTTGAGACCAGCCTGACCAACATGGTGAAACCGCATCTCTAATAAAAATACAAAAATTAGCTGGGTGTGGTGGTGCACACCTGTAATCCCAGCTACTCAGGAGGCTGAGGCAGGAGAATCACTTGAACCCAGGAGGCGGAGGTTGCAGTGAGCCGAGATGGCACCACTGCACTCCAGCCTGGGCGACAGAGCAAGACTCCGTCTCAAAAAAAAAAAAAAAGGAAAGAAAGAAAGAAAGAAAAATGTTGCATTAAGTAGTTGGCCAATCAATGCTATAAGAAGTTTGCAGAAAGACACTGTGGGATCTCTCACTGGTCATATAGTATGGGAAATGTTTATTATACTCCTTCACTCTCACTGGGGATTCAATCAAAAGCTATGTTACTTCTAACTAATTTTTCAAAAGTGTGATTCTAACAGTATTTCCTGTTGCATTGCTGATTGCTAGCATTAGACTTACGGAGCTTCTTTCTGTTTAATGACTCTCTGTGCAAAACTTTCACGTATGACATATGATCCTACTTATTGCTACTTAACGTTTCCTTCAGTAAGCTATCTAATTTTAAACTATTACATAGAAAATGAACTAGATAACTCAAGACATTTCTCATTAATTAAATAACTTCTTTTTTAGAGAAAATCGGATCTTGTAACTTCATTCTCCAAATAGAACAGAGTCCTCCCTTTAGAAAGAACATATATAAGAGGTTTCTTAGTTGTGTTTCCCCAGAAACTGACCCAAAGGGTAGGATTTGAGGGCAAGTATTGTAATCTATTTGGGATGAGATCCTAGAAAGCATTGGCAGGGAAGAGAGTGAAGGAAATAAGTAGAGAAACCAGGAGGGAAGGAAGAAAGGAAGGAAGGATGGCAGGCAGGTAACACTGTTCCCTAAAGGGGAGGTTACTGCTGTGTGTATCTGAAACTCAAAGTTGGGCACCTTTGGGAGACTAGAGTACAATTTACCGTAGTCCTAAGCTCAGTGGGGAAGCTGGAGTATTTTTATATCAACACCTTTTTTTTTTTTTTTTTGAGATGGAGTGTCACTCCGTTGCCCAGTCTGGAGTGCACTGGCACTATTTAGGCTCACTGCAACCTCCGCCTCATGGGTTCAAGCAATTCTCCTGTCTCAGCCTCTCGAGTAGCTGGGTTTACAGGCACATACTACCACGCCCCACTAATTTTTGTATTTTCTAGTAGAGACAAGGTTTCACCATGTTGGCCAGGCTGGTCTCGAACTCCTGCCCTCAAATGATCCACCCACCTCAGCCTCCCAAAGTGTTGGGATTACAGGTGTGAGCCACCATGCCTGGCCTCAACACCTATCTTTGATTGGTTGAGGGCTGCTCTGAGAGGAATTAACTGCCTGGCTCCTCTGCCCTGCCCCTCTGCACTGGCAAAGTGGGGTCTGGCAGCCACAGGAAGCCCTTGAATGGGGAAGCAGAGAGGGAAGAGTAAGATGCCATTGGCCTGCCAGTAGGAAGCCCATGACATACTGGTGGAGCCCCAGCCCTGTTAGTACAGAAAAGATACCTGGCTGATATGCTCTGCTATATCCATCTTTGAGCCTAGATGATGTTAATTAACTCTTTAAAAATATATTAAAGCTGTGGTGGCATCTGAGAAAAGATGGTATGCTTTTAAAAGGTAGGAGTGAACAGCTCATACATTGTCCCAGGAGTGGGCTTTATTACAGAGATGGGGGAGCTCTGACCTGTTGAAGACCAAGATTCCAGGAAGAAATGTTTGTTCACAAGCAGGTTGGGAAAGGGAGATACTTCAAACAGCTCTGAGAGCAATATTTCATAAAGACAGGCAGCAGGAAGAAAGCCTTCTTAAGGCCATATTGACTTTTGCACCTAGCAAATGACCCTTACTCTTCATTCCCATAAAAAAGAGAGAAACAAACAGTAAACATTTTCAAAGGATCGGTAATGTTTTAATAGCTCTGATTAGTAAGCGGAGTATTGGGTGTTATTTCGAAGTCAAAAATTCTATCTTGGTTGATTTACCCTATAACCTGGAGCATTTTCGAGAGGCAACAGAATGGAATTGTCTCAAAGTACTGACTTTTCATTATTTTCCACGCAGATCCCTGAGGATAACAGAAGGAAAGGTTTTGTCTGGGGGAGGGTAGGCTTCTCCCAAAAAGAGAATTCTGGAAGTCAACATAATTAAACAAAGAGGAAAATGTGCCAGACAGGAGTGGGTGGGGGCTGTTTTCTCTTTGTGGTTGGTTGTGGTGCGTTCAAGATTCCTCGCCTAAGATGAGGTTCCTGAGCTTCCAGTAGGCGACTGACTGCCCAAGAGACCCAGGGCTCCGCAAGGAGACGGCGCAGGTGTCGGGGCTCCCCGCAGGTGAGGAGGCCGACGTTCCAGGAGGTCCGCCCGGGCGGTCCCTGAGTCCTGCCTCGCGGCTGCTCGCTGGGATCCGAGGGCGGAACGGGACGCGCAGGAACCCGGCCCGACGGGCGCGGCTCACACCCGTGCTCTTCCTGCGCTCTCGGCCTCACTTTGCGGCCAGAGCCGCGGCCCTGCGCGTGGCCGGCGGCCGCTTCTTTATCTCCGACCCCACTGCCCAGTACTGTACGCGTCCAGACTAAAGAAACATCATTCGCTTAAGGGGCTGGGAAAAGCGCGTGCTCCGCTCGCCCTGGCACCGCGGGTCGCCCAGCTCGCAGACTGGGACGGGCGGTGCAAGAGGTGGTGCTCCCTGTCCAGGAGGGGACGCGGAAGAGGGCATCTCTGGTCCCGGGATGCGATTGTCCCGGTTTCTCCTTCTGGCCCACTCGCCGCGCGCACGAACTCTAGGGGAAGTTGGTTGTAAAGTTTCCGAGAGCGGCGTGGGCTGGTGCGAGTGAAGCGCGGGGCGGGGGAGGCGAGGACAGAAGCTCTCCTCGCGGCGTCTTTGTTCTGCTCTGGAGGAGAGACCTTGGCAAGGAGTCGCCGGGCGGGTGCAGGGACCTACCGCCACCACATTCCGGACCCAGCGGGAGCCCTCCTCTTAATGCCCCTCCCCCCGCAAGCCAACCCAGGACATAGCCCCCAGGTCCCCAAGGTTCCGTCTACCTCATCCTTCTACCCCCAAACTTCACCAACCCGAAAGGATTCCAAGTCTGGGATGGGGAGAAAGGAAAGAGGGTGGAGGCAAAGGTGCGCGACGGGCTGGATACCAACTGGAGGGTGGGTGTTCGCATTGAAATGTTTTTTTCTTTTGCCCTAGAAATTGCTTCCCCATGCGGGCCCCTACTCTCTCCCATTTCCCCCACCTCCCTGCTTTCTTTTTCTTCAATTCTAGTGGATCTAGAAGGAAAACGAGTGCTGCTCTGAGTCACTCAGCGAGCTAATGCTATGGCCCGAAGTTGGGATCAGGGTCGAGGGGTGGGGGACCATGTGGATGGGGTCCCAATTCTGGAGGTTGAGAATGACTGGAAGGGACCTGGGGAAGGGTCGGGAGCTGTTCCTGGTCCGAGACACCTGATTTGTCCCGGACAAGGCAGTGGGGGAGGGGAAGGAAAGAGGGGATGCTCGGCTGGGACGTGTCGCGGCAGGGGGTGGAGGATGAGGAGGCGGCCTGGGACCCCGAGTCAGATCTTTGGGGTGAGCACGAGGACGTGGTGTAGGGAAGAGGACGAGTGAGCAGCGCCTGGCTGTAGGGTCAGAGGGCGCCTGGTCATCCTGAGAGCCTTGCCTTCGCAGTTTGAGATTAGGGGAAGTTCGGGGCCTGAGAAGGTGGGCGCGATGCTGGAGCTGGGAATTCTTCCTCGGAGCCCCTGGACCGAGTTGCGCTGCGCCTGCAGCAACAGGTAGCCCCGAGGGATGGGCGGAGGCCCCGGCCGAACCCGGAGCTGGCCTTTGTCCTGCCAATTAGAGGGCTCTCCAGAGGGACAGCGTGGGTGGGGGTAGGTGGGGAAGGGCGGGAGAGGAGTTTCCTAACACTTGGAGCCCCTTTGAGTTGTTCTGTGTATTGGGTGGAGGAGGGTGAATCCGAGAGGAGGGAGGAGGGTGAATCCGAGAGGAGGAAGGAGGATGAAGAGCCTAGCCTGCGCCCCACCTCTGATTGTGTAAGCGCCTTTATCTAGGGTTGACCCCCTACCCTTTGCATTTTGTCTCTTGGGATGACGAAAAATGGACAGAAACTCGACGCCCAAGTGAATGTTTCACATTGATTGGCAGGGAAAGTGCAAACAAAGAGGTGCATCTCCGGGAAACAATGATTTTGGAGATCCCCTGCCCACCACCCCAGACTTGTGCGCGGTGCGGAGGGGGCCAGGGCTGGCATCTCCCGGGGAAAGTTTCGAGCCTGGCAGTGGGAGGAGACCGTCTGGGCAGAGTTGTGATGAACTGGGGACCGAGCAGCCCCAGCTCGCCTCGGAGGTTCCCGAGCCGGGCGGGAGATGCGGGGAGAGGGAGGGGGCGGGGAGGGAGGGGAGGGAGAGAGGAAGAAGGGGTGAGAGGGAGAAACCTGCCGCCGCTCGCCGCCTCTTTGTCTGCTCCGGGACTTGGAACAAAAGGGGGAACTCTGATGAACTCTCTTTCCTCCCCTCTCCCCCGGACGCCGGGGTATCTCCCTCTCGCAACTTTGCCGCCCCGACTTTCTCTGCTGTCAGGCCGGGAAAAAGTGTCCGAACGCCTCGTGGACTGCAGCGGGGGAAATGTCCCTTAAAAGTGCGACGAAGTGGGGAAGAAGGTGAGTGGGGACTGTTGTCTTGTTTACCTCTCTCCCCTCAACTCGCCCCGCTCCCCGCCCTTCGGAGGGCAGAGGAGTAGCCCAGTGGCAAAGTTTGGCTGGTAAATTGTACCTCCTTTCCCCGTTCCCTTCTCTTTTGTTCTTTAAAGAACTCGCGCAATTGTTTCATTTGTTTATTTTTAATAGGCAAAAGCCAAGTAGGCATTTATCTTATGTGCTTCTTTATATGAGGGGCTGGGGGGATGGGGAGGAGGGTTTCAAAAGGGTGGGGTGAGGGGGTATTGCTTCGCGTTCTTCCAGCTGCACTCATGTAGGGATGAATATGCAGAAATTGAGAGGGTCAAGTCCAGCCTCGCCCCCACCCTAGCCCTGACCCTGGTCATGCAAAAGAAAGCGATATGGATATGGGGGTCGTTTGTATAACTTAGCTGTCTGCAGAGCGCTCTGTAGATACCACGCACAATATAAAAACGCTGCAACAATGGAAGGAAGAAAGGTTTGGGTTGGAGGGGATTGGTCCCTTGTGTTAGCGGTCAAGGAGAGGTTTACAACAAACAGCTAAGAGTTCAGAAAGTTTTCTTCGGGGCTGAGATGGGGTGGAGGAAGCCACAGGTTACAGACTGTCAGAGATGCAGGGATGGAGGGGATGGGGCCTGGACCACTAGTTAGAGCCATCCCGTCCGCCCCTTTCAGTTTCACGATCCACCCGGAATAACCCAGGCAATCCTTGGTATCCGTCCTCACCTCTCTCACTTTCCATCACCCCCCGCCCCCAACCCCACTTCAGTGTGTTTGAATAGAAAGCAGAACGTGAGCCCCAGAAGCTCCTCTGACCCAGCCTTCCGCCCCGCCTTTTGTGTTTTAACCTTTTGTTTCTATCTGCCACGCCCGTCCAAAAGAGGGATGGCTGTTTCTGCTGCTGCGGGGTGAAGAGGCAGCGCAGTCCACTCCGTTTTTATAGGCTAAGGAAGACGCCCTAACTTTGTTTCCTAAGTAGCTTAACTTAGGAATGTTTCTAGGTTGGGTCATGCGCGAATGAGGGGAACACTCAACACCCAGTAAACGTTGCCACTTTAGGTACAATTTCTCCCAGCGCTTTTCCACTTTATACAGGAGTTGTTTATCCCATACTGTCATTTGGTTTGTAGAAAAAGCATTTTGGGGGCCGGGCGCGGTGGCTCACTGTAATCCCAGCACTTTGGGAGGCCGAGACATGTGGATCGCTTGAGGTCAGGAGTTCGAGACCAGCCTGGCCAACATGGCGAAACCCCGTCTCTACTAACAATACAAAAATTAGCTGGGCGTAGCGGTGCGTGCCTGTAGTCCCAGCTACTTGGGAGGCTGAGGCAGGAGAATCGCTTGAACACAGGAGGCTGAGGTTGCAGTGAGCTGAGATCGTGCCATTACACTACAGCCTGGGTGACAGAGCCAGACTTTGTCTCAAAAAAAAAAAAAAAAAAAGGAAAAGCATTTTGGAGACTGAAGTTGGGGGTTTATTGAAAGTGGGCAAATGTATGCCTTATCTGAGGTGATATCTAAATATTAGGAATATGCAGAATAGGCTTTTTGAATTCTACATGCAGAATAACCTAAAGGTTATTATCTTCAGGTATGTTTTGTGAGATCATTTCTGATGCCAGGATAGTTTATTACCTTCTCCACTTTCTTCTCTCATATATTCCCAAGTGCTAGAGGCTTTCCTCACTTCCTTGGACTTACTTTTGACAAGACAAATGAAACATCAAAGCGCATGCACTGTCAATAACTTGAGGAAACGCCCAAACATTGTCTTTTAACTTCTTCAACTTTTGATTCTGTATAGTAGTAGTTACTATTGAAGTAGTTACTATTGTACCTAGAAATGATTCAACTGCTAGAACTATGTAGTTTTGAGTTTTCATATCAAAGACTGAAATATATTATTGCAACAATTACTTTCTTTTACAAAGTGAGGAGGCAGAATGACCTGGAAGCTAACTTTAATTAATTTCAATTGTATAGGTGTAATTACTATTATCAGCATCTAGAAAGCATCATGAATTTGCTGGAGTACTTCCTAGCACTGACCTCCTTCATTCTGCGTTGTTCTTACTGGATCTTTCCATCAGCCAACAATATGGAAGTACCAATACAAGGTCAAATCATTCCTGGATTCATCTGGAGTTGCTTAAAAGTTAAATCATTGGAATTTTTGATGATACCTTTTCTATATGGATTACAATTTGATCGCTGGGAATTCTCCACCTTAAAGAAGGTATGTTGCTTTTTAGATACTCTACGAGGACTTCATTTTTGGTCTGGGGCTTATACCCAGAGATTTGACTAGTTATTTTGAGCGGCTGTGTTATCAGAGTGATTTATGACTTTGGACTTCCTTGTTTTAAACTGTTTTCTGTAGATCCTTTCTTATTTAGGATGATGATTTGGGTATTTGTGATGGAATTTTATTAATTTTACCATCTGTTCTTCAACATTAGCACACATAATGAATGCAGATTATATGGTCACTAAGGAAATTTTGTAATGATGATGCATCCAGCAGGGAAATATCCTACTTTATTTGTGATTGATTTGCTTCTTAAATATTGCAGTAGATATTTCTAAGTTCTGTGTTAGCAGAACTTATGTTGTTTGCATTACTATTATTTTTCTTCATTTTGACACTTCATTTTGGTAAACAAAATCCAAAAATGGCCCAAAATAAATGTCTAATGACTGGGAGTCTATATAAAATACAGTAAGTTCTCTCAGAGTGAAAACCTTGAGTTTGTAATAACAGAGCCCGTACATTTGTTTAACCTTTATGGCATACATCAAGTTTTTATAGTGGTCATAAGAGTCTTCTATTCCTTCTTTTAAGTCTTACAATTAGTTTTTGTTCACCTCTGTGAGAAAGTAGTTAAAAATTCACATAACTACTGTTGGTAATATAAAAAGTTAATTTTGATATATTTACAATCCTTGTTTAAGTGATTGTTTGCCATGGAAAGTAAGAACTTTCTTTCTGTGGTCTGGTCAAATAAATTAACTGGGAATTGGAAACATTTTTATCTTGTTATGAGGAAAAAAGGAACATTACAACTTGCTTCTTTCTAGCTGTATAAACATAAACAAGCTACTTAACCTTCCTGGGCTTCTGTTTGTTACCAATAAAATGAAGGTTAAGTTAAATAACTTAAAACATTTTTGAAATCTTTTAACATTAAGATTCTATGATTTGTTACTTGCTTCTATAAATAAGATACATCCTCTCTTGTAAAGTTTGTTTTTACATCATTGAACAATAGAGTTAACAGCATCATCAAGTTTTTTTTTTTTTTTTTTTTTTTTGTGTGACGGAGTCTTGCCCTTGTTGCCCAGGCTGGAGTGCTGTGGCGCGATCTTGGCTCACTGCAACCTCTGCCTCCCAGATTCAAGCAATTCTCCCACCTCAGCCTCCTGAGTAGCTGGGATTATAGGTGCCTGCCACCATGCCTGGCTAATTTTTGTACTTTTAGTAGAGACCGGGTTTCCCCATGTTGGCCAGGCTGGTCTCAACTCCTGACCTCAGGTGATCTGCCTGCCTCGTCCTCCCAAAGTGCTAGGATTACAGGTGTGAGCCACCGTGCCCCGCCTTGGCATGATAAACTTAATGTGATTTAATTACAATTATTTTGTTTGAATGCTTAGCTCAGGTAGCATTAGTTCAGGAAATATGCTTTAAATTTTCTGTAAAGTATACTCTCAACTAAGTGTTCTGTATGGAAATTTCAGATTTCCTTAAATGTTCTCAATAAAAGTTTGTCTGCTGGAATTTTTTTTTTGGAGGTGGAAAGTACAGTATTATTTCTCGACAAACGTTTTACCTACAAATATCTGAAGTCAATATGTTTGAATTTGTTATAATGGCCACTCAGAGTTGATATCAGAGATTTAGAAAGAGACTTTGGAGTAAAACAGACCTGAGTTCGAATCACAGCCTAGGCAATTACTATGATACCTCCTCCACGTTACTGGATTTTCATGGCTCCGAATTTCCTCATTTGCAATGTGTATATCCTAACACTTATCTCATATGGTTGTTGTAATATTTTTTTATGTAGGAAAAAACAGAGGGCTAGGCATCTGTAAACATAATAAAAAGTACTGTTACTTGCTTTCACAATGACTTAATGATGTTTTGTTACTTCAAACTTTCTTTGTTGTCTCCCTTACAAGTTTCAGGCCCCATTAACCAAATATTCACTGAAATATTCAAAGTCAATTTGGACAGAAGTTTGTATCCGTTTAAATGTTTTTCTGTAAAACTATATTTAATTCAAATCTTATATCCAGTTGATTGCAGATTAATTTACTTCAACGAGCATTTATTAAATCGTACTATGCATGAGTATATTTCTGAAGGTCATGGCCTTACCTTGGAGTATGTGGCCTTTCCATTTTCTTACTGAAATATCTGTAGGTTGAGATAATAGTGACTTTCTATAATTGACTTACTGAAATTCTCTATTTTCAATGCTATCAATGATTTAGATATGGTTTAAAAACTCGTGTTTATTCACTTTTCAGCTAAAATATAAAGTGATGGCTCAGTGGTTTCTTGATGAGGAAATCAAGAACTGTAGCACATTTTCTATTACTAATTTTATAGAATGATCTTTAGTTAAATAAAAAACTTACAGTTAATATAAATAGCACTTAGAAGAATAGCATTTCATTTTGAAACGAAGTCTCAAGTCATGGATTTTCATTTTCTAGGTCTGTAATATAGCAATATGCATTGCCTTCTGAGTGATTATTTAGTTCAAGGAAGAGTATATTCATTTTATCTTTAGGAAGTTTCAGATAGGAATGTTAAGGTATTATTTCTCATTTGTAATTTACTAGCAGATATTTGCCTAGATATGATAATGTTAGGAATAAAAATATGGAATTAATCAATATTAAAATAGGAAAATATCTTTTTTTAATATGTTTCCAAAACTTTGTTGAAAGCATTCATTTTAATTAGCAGATTATATATCAATATAGCAACTACTAATATAATACTTTGTAATTACAGAGTTTAAAATAATACATTCATTTAAAAATGTCTATATGTTGTTAATGTTTGAAGTGATAACCAAATATACTTAAAAACTTTACTATAGATATCAAATTTTATAGTCTTGGTTATTTAAAACTGCCCGTTGACTTGGATCAGTTTGAATTACTGAACGTAGAACAACCCACCATGGTGTTCACAATAAACTTACACAGAAAGAAAACCTAAATATTTAGCTATGCCTTCTAAAAATAATGAATATAATGCATGCTAAACATCTCATAAGTAAATCAAAAGCATTTATTTAACTTTGTTTCTTTTTTTTTTTTTTTTGAGACGGAGTTTTGCTTTGTTGCCCAGGCTGGAGTGCAGTGGCGCGATCTCGGCTCACTGCAACCTCCGCCTCCCGGGTTCAAGCGATTCTCCTGCCTCAGCCTCCCAAGTAGCTGGGCTTACAAGCATGCGCCACCAGGCCCAGCTAATTTTTTTATTTTTAGTAGAGACCAGGTTTCTCCATGTTGGTCAGGCTGGTCTCAAACCCCCTACCTCAGGTGATCCACCCGCCTCGGCCTCCCAAACTGCTGGGATTACAGGCGTGAGCCACTGTGCCCGGCTTTAACTTTGGCCTTTATATTAAGTAAAGGAAGTGATTACCTGCATATTTAGTTGTATTCTGAGTACCATTTCTACTCATTTATTTGCTATAAGTTTCTTTTGGTACTTATTTGTGTTCCCAAATTTACTTTGATTTCTTCTTTGTGGCTCAAATTTGCTGATTTTTTTTTTTTTTTTTTTTTTTTTTGAGATGGATCCTCGCTCTGTCACCCAGGCTGGAGTGCAGCGGTGCAATCTCAGCTCACTGCAACCTCTGCCTCCCAGGCTCAAGCGATTCTCCTGCCTCAGCCTCCCGAGTAGGAGTAGCTAGGACTACAGGCGCCCGCCACCAGGCCCGGCTAATTTTTTTTTGTATTTTTAGTAGAGATAGGGTTTCACCATATTGGCCAGCTGGTCTCGAACTCCTGACCTTGTGATCAACCCACCTTGGCCTCCCAATGTGCTGGGATTACAGGCATGAGCCACTGTGCCCAGCCAAATTTGCTGATTTTTAGATTTCGTGCATGTCTAAGAACTTTGATTATAGTTCTTCCCATTATTGTTAAAGATACAGGTATTTAGAAGTACGTTTTTTGTGAATCTAGAAAGCCTACTTGGTTCATTTTTTCTCATTCATTCTTTTACATAATACTTATTTAGTACTTTCTGTGTGCATGTGCCAGGCATTGTTTTAACCATCAAGGACACAGAAATGAACTAAAGTCCCTGCATGCTTAGAGCTTTCACTAGTGACAGTAAAATATATGTTAAAAGGGAGCAACTATTAATACTATCGTGAAGAATAAAGCAGAAAGGAGGAATAGAGAGTAGAAGGGGAGAGAGTTGCAAACTTCATTTGGATGGTGGGGGATGACCTCATGGAGAAGGTGACATGTGAGGATGGATTTGAAGGAAGTGAAGGAATGGGCTACATGATGCTGGGGAGAAAAGCATGCAGGCAGAGGAAATGACAAGTGTCTGATGTTTCAGAGAAAGCAAGGAGGGTGCAGAGGCTGGAGTGGAGTGAGCCATGGGGACAGTGGTAGGAGAGGAAAGAGGAATATGGCGGGTAGGTGCCAAGGAGCTTCAAAGGCCATGGTAAAGGCTTAGGATTTTATACCGAGGGAGGTGGGATGTTACTGAAAGGTTTTAAAGGATGAAAGCTCTGCTGTAACAGGATAACTCTGGCTGTTGGGTTGAGACCAGGTGAAAGGGGTGGGCAGGGGCAGAAACAGGGACACCATTTAGGAAGCTGTTTCAGTTATCCCAATGAGAGGTGATATTGACTTGGTAACAGGGTAAAAGTAACATGGAGGTAGTGAAAAGGAGTTGAAGTCTGAATATATTTTGGTATTAAAGTTTTTCTGGTGGGTTGGATGGGAAGTACGAGACAGAGAGGAGTGGAGTATGAGTCCGAGATTTTTGTCCTGAGCTCCCAGAAGGACCAAATAGCTAATAACTGAGATGAGAATCAGGCTTGGGGCATAGGATACCAGTAGCTCAGTTCAGATGCATTAAAATTAAGATGCTTTTTTTTTTTTTTTGAGATGGAGTCTCTCGGTCTGTAGCCCAGGCTGGAGTGCAGAGGCGCCATCTCGGCTCACTGCAAGCTCCGCCTCCCGGGTTCCAGTGATTCTCCTTTCTCAGCCTCCCGTGTAGCTTGGATTACAGGCACCCGCTACCAAGCCCGGCTCATTTTTCTTTATTATTAGAGACGGGGTTTCACCATGTTGAACAGGCTGGTCTTGAACTTCTGACCTCAGGCAATCCGCCTGCCTTGGCCTCCCAAAGTGTTGGGATTACAGGCGTGAGCCACCACGCCTGGCCAAAATTAAGATACTTTTTAAGCATTTAGGCATTTGATAAACAAGTCTGGTTTTCAGAGAAGTGTAGAGACACAGATTTGTTAGTTGTAAGAAATTAAATGCTATTTAAAGCCAGGAGACTGGTTGGGATTACCCGGGAGTGAGTATAGAAAGACAAGAGGTCTAGATACTGAGCTTTAAGGCCTTCCAGATTTAGAAGTGGGCAGGAAGTAGTAATAATGAAAAGGGAGTGCCGCTGGGGTGAAAGCCCAGGGAAGGAAGTGTTTCCAGGAGGAAGGCAAGACAATCTGTGTCAAGTGTTGCTGAAGGATGAAGATGAGAACTGAGAATAAATCTGTGGGTTTAGGCATTTTGGAGGTCAGCGCTCACTGGGAGTCTTCACTAGAGCAGTTTTAACAGAATGGAGAGATCACATCTTTTTCCTAAATCGTGTGGTCCATTAAATACCTTTAAAAAATTCCATCTATTTGGCTGGGCGCGGTGGCTCACGCCTGTAATCCCAGCACTTTGGGAGGCCAAGGCGGGTGGATCACAAGTTCAGGAGATTGTGACCATCCTGGCTAACACGGTGAAACCCTGTCTCTACTAAAAATACAAAAAAAAAAAAATTAGCCGGGCGTGGCGGCTTGCGCCTGTAGTCCCAGCTGTTTGGAAGGCTGAGGCAGGAGAATGGCGTGAACCTGGGAGGCGGAGCTTGCAGTGAGCCGAGATCGCACCACTGTACTCCAGCCTGGGCGACAGAGCGAGACTCCGTCTCAAAAAAAAAAACAAAACTCATCTATTCAAACTAAAATTTGTCAGTACTTCATAATTGATAAAAATGCTTTCACATATATTATCTTAGTTAAGCCTCATTAGTAGTCTAAGAGAGATGGGATAATATCTGTGTTTACCTTAAAGAAGAAGAAATCGAGAGTCAGAAGTAACGTGACTTATCCAGAGTCGCACACATATAAGATAGAACTGCGTTTTAACTTGAAACCCTTTGCTTTTCACAGTAGGGGAGATGGCAATAATGAAATCAATTCCAATATTGTTTGCTAGAGGTGATAATGGTGGTACATACAAAGTATAGAGTTAAAGCAGAGGAGGGAGTGATTGTTTATTTGGTCAGGGAAGACTTTCTTGAGTTGGGATTTAAAAGATACGTAGCATTTTGAGAGACAAAGAAAGGAACATCTTAGGCTTGGAAACTGATATGCAGAAACATGGAGGGATGAAACAAGATGGAGTCTGGAATGTGTTTGGGATGTTCCAGGCATTTCATTCCTACTGACCCTGCAGGGGAGTAGGTGGGAGCTAGGCTGAGTGACAAGTGCTAGTTCATATTAAAATTGAAAGAGGGTTTTCTTTCTTTTTCTTTTCTTTTTTTTTTTTTGAGACGAAGTCTCACTCTGTTGCCCAAGCTGGAGTGCAGTGGCGTGATCTCAGCTCACTGCAACCTCCACCTCCCTGGTTCAAGCGATTCTCTTGCCTCAGCCTCCTAAGTAGCTGGGATTACAAGTGCTCACCACCATGCCCAGCTAATTTTTGTATTTTTAGTAGAGACAAAGTTTCACTATGTTGGCCAGGCTGGTCTTGAACTCCTGACCTTGTGATCCACCCACCTCGGCCTCCCAAAGTGCTGGGATTATAGGCTTGAGCCACCGTGCCCGGCCAGTTGTTTTTTTTTTTTTTTTTTTTTTTTTTTTTTGAGACGGAGTCTCACTCTGTCGCCCAGGCTGGAGTGCAATGGTGTGATCTCGGCTCACTGCAACCTCAGCCTCCTGGGTTCAAACAATTCTGCCTCAGCCTCCCGAATAGCTGGGACTACAGATGCCCGCCACCACGCCCGGCTAATTTTTTTTTTTTTGTATTTTTATTAGAGATGGGGTTTCACTGTGTTAGCCAGGATGGTCTCCATCTCCTGACCTCATGATCCGCCTGTCTCGGCCTCCCAAAGTGCTGGGATTACAGGCGTGAGCCACCACACTCAGCTGGTCTCGATCTCTTGACCTTGTGATCCGCCCGCCTTGGCCTCCCAAAGTCCTGGGATTATAGGCATGAGCCACCACACCTGGCCACACCTGGCTAATTTTTGTATTTTTAGTAAAGACAAGGTTTTGCCATGTTGGCCAGGCTGGTCTCGAACCCCTGACCTCAGGTGTTCTGCCCGCTTGGGCCTCTCCAAGTGCTAGGATTACAGGCCTGAGCCACCACGCCCAGCCTAAAATGGAGTTTTAACAGCACAACTTCTACGTGTCATTTTAATGTACCTCACAGCCCAAAAGTTGTAAACCTAATTAGAAATGTTTGAACATACGTACATTACCACAAATGCATTTTTTTTTTTTGAGACAGAGTCTCACCCAGGCTGTAATGCAGTGGCACGAATCTCGGCTCACTGCAACCTCCATTTCCTGGGCTCAAGAGATTCTCCTGCCTCAGCCTCCTGAGTAAGCTGGGATTACAGGTGTGTGTCACCACGCCCAGCTAGTTTTTTTTTTCTTTTGTGTTTTTAGTAGAGATGGGGTTTCACCATGTTGGCCAGGCTAATCTCGAACTCCTGACCTCAGGTAATCAGCCCGCCTTGGCCTCCCAAAGTGCTGGGATTACGGGAGTGAGCCACCGCTCCCAGCCACAAATACATATTTTCAAAACTCGATTTTTCCTCCAAAATTAAATGTGTGTCTGGATCATATACCACTGAATAGGGTGACACCATGTCTAGTTTATATCAATCAGGATGTATTTGTCCTCACGTAAGAAAATAGTCAACTAACAGTGGCTTAAAAAGTAAGGATTTTTCTTTTTCTTTTCTCTCTTTCTTTTTCTTTTTTTTCCTTCTTTCCTTCCTTCCTTCCTTCCTTCCTTCCTTCCCTCCTTCCTTCCTCCCTTCCCTTCCTTCCTTCCTTCCTTCCTCCCTTCCCTCCCTTCCCTTCCTTCCCTTCCTTCCCTTCCCTTCCTTTCCCTTCCCTTCCTTCCTTCCTTCCCTCTTTCTTTGTTTCGTTCATTTCACCTTGAAGGAATTCAGAGTATAGCTGTTCCAGGACTGGCTAATTCAGCAGATCAGTAACATCATGGTTCCTGGTCAGCTGGTAACCTGGACCTAGGAAAGAAACGGTGAATATTTGTCTTTTTTTTTGAGATGGAGTCTCACTCTCTCTCTCGCCCAGGCTGGAGTGCGGTGGCGTGATCTTGGCTCACTGAAGCCTCTGCCTCCTGGGTTCAAGTAATTCTCTGCCTCAGCCTCCTGAATAGCTGGGATTACAAGTGCCCGCCACCACACCCAGCTAATTTTTGTATTTTTAGTAGAGACAGGGTTTCACCATCTTGGCCAGGCTGATCTTGAACTCCTGACCTCATGGTCCACCCGCCTCGGCCTCTCAAAGTGCTGGGATTACAGGCGTGAGCCACCTTGCCCGGCCGAATATTTGTCTGAATACAAACACACGCGCACACATGCACACGTTTAAGTATACTATTTGATGATTTTTGGAGTGGGGAGACTTATAGAATTGTACTACTTTCACCATTTCCAGAACTTTATTTTTATTTTATTTATTTATTTATTTTTGAGACTGAGTCTCGCTCTGTCACCCAGGCTGGAGTGCAGTGGCGTGATCTTGGCTTACTGCAAGCTCCACCTCCCAGGTCCACGCCATTCTTCTGCCTCAGCCTCCCGAGTAGCTGGGACTACAGGTGCCTGCCACCATGCCTGGCTAATTTTTTGTATTTTTAGTAGAGACGGGGTTTCACCGTGTTAGCCAGAATGGTCTTGATCTCCTGACCTCGTGATCCACCCGCCTTGGCCTCCCAAAGTGCTGGGATTACAGGCGTGAGCCACTGCGCCCGGCCCCATTTCCAGAACTTTCTATCATTCCCTAAAGATCCCTTGTGTCCACTGTGGTCAATTTCTATTCCCATCCACCAGTCACAGGTAACTACTAGTTTCTATCTCTATATATGTCTACATTTTCAGAACAGTTTATGGAGGTGGAATCTTACAATTAGTGTGGCCTTTTTGCCTGGCTTCTTTTGCTCACCATAAAGTTTATGAGATCAGTCTGTGTCATAGCATGTATCAGTAGTTTGATCCTTTTCATTGGTGTGTAGTGGTGCATCGTGTGGACATACCATGTTTTGTCTGTCTAGTCACCAGGTGATGGATATGTTAGTTGTTTCCGTTTTTGCAGCTACCACGAATAATACTGCTATGAGCATATGTGCATAACTCTTTGTATTGGCTGGGCATGGTGGCTCATGCCTGTAATCCTAGCACTTTGGGAGGCTGAGACTGGTGGATTGCTTGAGCCCAGGAGTTCAAGACCAGCCTGGGCAACGTGGTGAAACCTCATCTCTACCAAAAATACAATAAATTAGGTGGGTGTGGTTGCACATGCCCGTAGTCCCAGCTATCCAGGAAGCTGCAGTGGGAGGGTCACCAGAGCCCGGGAGGTCGAGGCTGCAGTGAGCTGTGATGATGCCACTGCCCTCCAGCCTGGGCAACAGAACGAGACTCTGTCTCAAAAAAAAAAAAAGTCTTTGTATAGACACCCGTTTTTATTTCTCTTGGGTGTAGATACCCAGGAGTTGAATTGTGGATTGTATGGTAATTTATATTCAACTATTTTTTTCCTTTCTTTTTTTTTTTTTTTTTTTTGGGACGGAGTTTCGCTCTTGTTGCCCAGGCTGGAGTGCAATGGTGTCATCTCAGCTCACTGCAACCTCTGTCTCCCGGGTTCAAGCCATTCCCCTGCCTCAGCCTTCTGAGTAGCTGGGGATTACAGGCATCCGCCACCACGCCCAGCTAATTTTTTGTATTTTTAGTAGAGACAAGATTGCACTATTTTGGCCAGGCTGGTCTTGAACTCCTGACCTCAGGTAATCCACCCACCTCGGCCCCCCAAAGTGCTGGGATTATAGGCATGAGCCACTGCACCCGGCTATATTCAACTTTTTAAGACACTGCCAAACTGTTTTCCAAAGTGACAATACCATGTTACAGGTTGGAGGTTTCCGTCAGCAATATATGAGGGTTTCAGTGTCTCCAAATCCTGGCCTTTTATGAGTCAGAGGAAAAACTTTCGCAGAAGTCTACAAGAGGACTTCCCAGGGTAACTACAGTAGCCCATGACAAACACTAGTCACTGATAAGCAGACACATCTGAGAGGCTTAGACTGGTCAACTAACACCCCAGGCCCGGGAAGGGGCTCATAATGCTTATCAGTGCCCAGTGTCAGAACACAGTTGAAGGGGGATGGCTATTGGATACGAACCCAGCAAAGGCATTCATATGTCCATGCGTCAGGGTAAGCTTGGATTATTGATTTAAACATACAGATTGGAGCCAGATGCTGTGTGTATGTCACAATCATGATTTTATTTTATTTATTTATTTATTTAGACAGAGTCTCACTCTGTCACCCAGGCTGGAGTGCAATGGCTTGATCTTGACTCACAGCAACCTCTGCCTCCCTGGTTCAAGCGATTCTCCTGCCTCAGCCTCCCGAGTAGCTGGGATTACAGGCACCCGCCATCATGACCGGCTAATTTTTGTATTTTTAGTAGAGACGGGGTTTCACCATGTTGACCAGGCTGGTCTTGAACTCCTGACCTCAGGTGATCCTCTCTCCTCAACCTCCCAAAGTACTGGGATTACAGGCGTGAGCCACCGCGCCCAGCCACAATCATGATTTTAGAAGTTACAAACTCTAATGGAAACAATCCACTCTGTTGGAATTTAGGTTATTAAGGTATTCTATGACTAACATAGTAGGAGTTTCTGAGGCCAGGCATGGTGGCTCATGTGTGTAATCCCAGCATTTTGCGAAGCTGAGGTGGGAGGATCACTTGAGGCCAGGAGTTCCAGAGCAGCCTGGGCAACATAGTGGTACCCCATCTCTACAAAATAAATAAATAAAAATTAAAAGAGTTTCTGAAAAGTAACCTGTCCAAACGAAGAGCAAAACAAGCACAGCTTTGGTAAGTGACTCCATGGGCAGTTGCTAAGCCCCAGCATTCCTTTTCTATGAGGCAACATGTAACTTTTCCAGCATCCCAGCAACAGTTTTTCATAATCTTGGTTAAGTGTAAGTTAACAGCCACCAAATCCTTGGCTTAGGATGTAGAAAGGTATTTAGACAAGGTTAAGTATTGGGCAACTTGGCAGCAACTTGAGAAAAATTATTTGAGCTTGGATGGAATAAAAAAAGACTGTATTTTCATAGTCTTACCTTATTCTTATGTAAATGTCTTTTATTGTGAGGTATGCATGCGTAAGGATAGGTAAATCTACCATGTAGGGGGATATTGATACTCTGTTGTACCCTCTGTTGGAAAATCCAGAACATGCGGGTCAACATGTTTATGATCAGTAGAGTGATATGGTCTCAAGCAATTCATGCTTAGAAGTCCCTGAATATCTGAAGCCAAAATTTTTATAATTGGAATGCATGCATAGATAATTTTGATAATTTATGCATAGCTTCAGATCATTGTGGGGGAAATAATGTTTGAAATGGATTTCTGTGACACTTGTCTTAAATTAATGGGATGACTTTCCATTTTTTCTTCAAATTTGAGTTGGTACCATTACAGACTGTGATAGAATTTTGAAACTGTGGTTTTAATCCTAGTATTTTGGATTACGTAGTGTCTTTTTTTTTTTTTTTTTTTTTTGTCTTGAGACAAAGTCACTGTGGCCCAGGCTGGAATGCAGTGGTGTGATTACGGTTCACTGCAGCCTCTACCTCCCCGGCTCAGGTATTATCCAATCTCAGCCTCCCAGAATAGCTGGGGCTACAGGCATACACCACCATGCTCAGCTAATTTTTGTATTTTTTGTACAGACGCAATTTCACCATGTTACCCAGGCTGGTCTGGCACTCCTTGGCTCAAGCAATAGCAGTCTGCCTGCTGCAGCTCTCCAAGTGCTGGGATTACAGGTATGAGCTACCAAGCCAGGCCATGACTTTTTTTTTTTAACCCAAACAACTCCAGTAGTTCTCTCATTGTAGACTATTTCATTTTAGAAATAAGGAAAACCAAGAGAAATTTAAAGGTTTTTTTTTTTTTTTTTTTGAGACAGAGTTTCACTCTTGTCACCCAGGCTGGAGTGCAGTGGCACAATCTCGGCTCACCGCAACCTCCTCCTCCTGGGTTCCAGCGATTCTCCTGCCTCAGCCTCCTGAGTAGCTGGGATTACAGGTGCCCACTACCATGGCTGGCTAATTTTTGTAATTTTAGTAGAGATAGGGTTTCGCCATGTTGGCCAGGCTAGTCTTGAACTCCTGACCTCAGATGATCCACCCACCTTGGCCTCCCAAAGTGCTGGGATTACAGTGTGTGCCACCATATCTGGCCAAGGTTCTTAATTATTGGTGTTAGTGAATATGAAGTATACATCTTAAAATTTATAGTTCAGTATTCTATTTTTCTCAGAGAAGTGGTAGAGAAGCATTACAGAAGTACTTGTGCAGCAGTATCTTATGCATCATCTTATTTGATTCTCACTGGAATTCCATATAATAGCTGTTAGTAACATTCTCATTTTATAGGCGAAGAAACTGGGGTTCAGCAAAATGTCCAGTTCAAGTTATCAAACTAGTAAATTGCACAATGCAGCTCTTTTGACTTTGCACTAGATATTAGGGATCAGTAATGTAAACCAGGAAGAGAGAATGTTTCCTTGAGAGCTCCCACTCACCCTGATAATTTTTCTAGTTTCACCTTGAGACTTACTCTTATTCTGCAAATACTGTGACTGTATCTTGAGACCCAAACATTTAATGAGGCTTAAAAAGAGGATGGTCTACTTTGCTGGTGGTTTTTTTTTTTTTTTTTTTTTTTTTTTTTTTTGAGACAGAGTCTGGCTCTGTCGCCCAGGCTGGAGTGCAGTGGCACAATCTCAGCCCACTGCAACCTCCACCACCCAGGTTCAAGCGATTCTCTTGCCTCAGCCTCCCAAGTAGCTGGGACTACAGGTGCCTGCCACCACGCCCAGCTAATTTTTTGTATTTTTAGTAGAGATGGGGTTTCACCGTGTTAGCCAGGATGGTCTTGATCTCCTGACCTCGTGATCTGCCCGCCTCGGCCTCCCAAAGTGCTGGGATTACAGGGGTGAGCCACCGCACCCGGCCCTCTGCTGGTGTTTTTAGATTTCAGAGGGAGAGATTGTGTTGCAAGCAGCAGTTGAGAAGCCGGCATGACGGTGAAATCCGTCTGTGTTCAAGAGTTTTACTTGTCAGATTTTAATGGATGGCGTCATTATCTCTAAGGAACTCCCAAAAGATGATACATAGCAATACTCATAGAGTCCCTATTCTGCAGCAAAAGAAAAATGATTTTCAGATCATCCTTTCATCTCCTCTCTTCTTCAAGTCAGATATCCAAGAAAGTTTGGGCAGACTCACAATTCCTAAATTGAAAACCCTGAATCCCTGAATTGAAGATTTCCCTGTGGCTTTCACCTTGCTTTGTCTCTGCATTTAGGCCTCTCCCTTTCTATAGGTATGAGAGAAAAGAAACTCTATGCAATGACATGCTCTTTATTCATAGCTCTAGCTCTTATTCTGCTCTGTCTACTTTGGACTGTGATGACCCTCTAGGGACTCTACTTGCTCTTTTCTTTGTTCTTGTTGTTTTTCTAGAGACACAGTCTTGCTCTGTCACCCAGACTGCACTCTGTCATGACTTCAGTGGTGCAATCACAACTCACTGCAGCCTTGGACTCCTGGATTCAAGCGATCTTCCCACCTCAGTCTCCTGAGTAGCTGGGACTGCAGGTGCATGCCACCATGCCTGGCTAATTATTTTTTATTTTTTGTAGAGACAAGGTCTTGCTGTTTCACTCAGGCTGGTCTGGAACTCCTGAGCTCAAGCAATCCTCCCGTCTTGGCCTCCCAAAGTGTTGGGATTATAGGCGTGAGCCACCACACCCAGCCTCTTCTTGTTATTATTATTATTTTTTTAAGACGGAGTCTCACTCTGTCGCCCAGGCTGGAGTGCGGTGGCGCAATCTCAGCTCACTGCAAGCTCCGCCTCCCATGTTCGCGCCATTCTCCTGCCTCAGCCATCCGAGTAACTGGGACTACAGGCGCCTCCCACCGTGCCCGGCTAATTTTTTTGTATTTTTAGTAGAGACAGGGTTTCACCGTGTTAGCCAGGATGGACTTGATCTCCTGACCTCGTGATCTGCCCACCTCGGCCTCCCAAAGTGCTGGGATTACAGGCGTGAGCCACTGCGCCCAGCGTCTTCTTGTTATTTTTGACGGGCCTATGCCAGGCCAGAGGTAGGCCTAAGTGACCTGGTTCATGCCTTCCTTCCCACATCCCAGGATTGGGTCCTACTAGCTTTCTGGATCTCACCACTCTAATAGAGGGAACAAGACCCTCTTTTCTAAAAGCCTAGAGCGGGGTGCAGTGGCTCATGCCTGTAATTCTAGCACTTTGGGAGGCCAAGGCGGGGGGATCACCTGAGGTCAGGAGTTCAAGACCAGCCTGGCCAACATGGTGAAACCCCGTTTCTACCAAAAATACAAAAATTAGCCGGGCGTGGTGGTGCACACCTGTAATCCCAGCTACTTGGGAGGCTAAGGCAGGAAAATTACTTGAATCCAGGAGACGGAGGTTGCAGTGAGCTGAGATCATGCCGTTGCGCTCCAGCCTGGGCAACAAAAGCGAAAATCCATCCCCCCCAAATTAAATAGATAAATAAATTAAAACATAAAATAAAAAATAATTTTAAAACAAGTCTAGAGCAGAGCTGGGCCAAACTGCATGTGCTTTTCTTCTTTGCCTTGGGTTTGAACTCAGCCTGCCTTCCTGTGATGTGGGTTTCTTTCATTGGGAGATTTCTTGAGCCCCTGATTTTCAGTACTGGCCTGGAAGGACGAAGAGAACTCAAGCTTTCTTTAATATTCCACACCAGAAGTTTCATAGCCTATGCAAGGCCTGGACCTACACCTGCACAACAACTTTTTGGTGTAAAGAGTGAATCCCGGATATTACAGTGGGTGAGCTGAGCTATTAGAATGTGTAATGGGAGGACAGG
The DNA here is from genome assembly GCF_000001405.40 of Homo sapiens. Lineage (NCBI taxonomy): Eukaryota > Metazoa > Chordata > Mammalia > Primates > Hominidae > Homo > Homo sapiens. The sequence goes on from NC_000006.12 coordinate 21,684,123, forward strand.
CACGGTGGCTCACTCCTGTAATCCCAGCACTTTGGGAGGCCGAGGCAGGCAGATCACGAGGTCAGGAGTTCGAGATCAGCCTGACCAACATGATGAAACCCTGTCTCTACTAAAAATACACAAATTAGCCGGGTGTGGTGATGCGCACCTGTAATCCCAAGCTACTCAGGAGGCTGAGGCAGGAGAATCGCTTGAACCACGGAGGCGGAGGTTGCAGTGAGCCGAGATCGCGCTACTGCACTCCAGCCTGGGCGACAGAGTGAGACGCTGTCTCATAAAAAAAAAAAAAAAAAAAAAAAGAATGTGTAATGGGGACCCTTTCACATTGCTTTCATTGGAAGGTAAATACAATTTAAAGGAAAGAAGTCTAAAAACTCAGAACACCCAAAGGTGGGCAGTTATTTGAACTCAGGCTTTGTTTGGTGACCCCCATGAGTCCTGACCTCATTATCTTTAGCCCTCACCACAAATTGATATTCTAGAAAGCTATCTCTTCCTGCCTGCCCCGCCTCCTAGAAATACATCACACTGCGTTAGCACAGTCAGGATGCTAGTCCCTGATGGCTGATCATTGTAGTGCCCATTGGAGGTTGGCATGATTAGTTATGTGACAACCCTGCTGAAATGCCACCTACTATATTTGGTCTCAGCGATTAAACGAAAAGAGATGGTAAGGCAACAAAAATTATCAGCATATATTTTCAGCTTCTTTGAGTTTTGCAGATTAGTATAGTTCAAAGGATAGACAAATTCACTTGTTTTCATTTTGTCTTTAAGATAAATAAATTTTGGTACTTTCTTAATAAGTGTTCAGCATTTATCCCAGTGTGGGAATTTTGGTGAAAGTTCATGGAATGTTTTTCTTCAAAAATTTCCATCAGGAGGTCTGACTCCTCAGCCAAATTCAAAATTCTCACTTTACTGTAATGATGGAGCTGCTATACCTAAATATATTGCATAGGTTTCTAGACAAATGGCTGTAAGATAAATAAGCAAAGAAGAGGAAGAAGTATCATGATATCCTAATGCCAAGTTCTCGCTCTGCGGTATGACCTCTGGAGTTCCTAGAGTTTGTGTGATCTGAGGCTTCAGAAGCCAGGAATGGGAGTTTGGCTAACCCGCATTTTTAGATCTCCTTTGGAACATGGGAGTCAATCCAGGTGCCTGGAAAATGGGCTCGAACATCCGAGGTCCCCAGCAGATGACAGCTTCATCTTATTTTCTGCCTCCTTTCTCTGCATCAACTTAGGTTACTATTTACCTATTGATTCTGACTTTATGCAAATTTTATGACGTGGTCCACAGATTCAAATAGTCTGTCTTTTCACATCCCAGCCTTCAGTGTTCCTCGGCCTCAACTCTGCCTGCTCTTACCCTGATACTGCTTCTCGTCTTTGGTTCTTGCCTTCTTTAGACCTTGATTCTCATGGCTGGCCAATTTCAGTGGATCTTGGCCAGCCTCAGTGGTCTCAGGTTCTGCCTCCTGTTCTTACAGAATAATCTTGGATCCTAACACGTTGCTAAACATCCAAAGGCAGCCAGTAGATTTCCAAAACCGGAACTCTCCGTTTGCTATCACCTCTGCCCTTCTCCAGGGTATTGCATTGATTCAAATGCTATAAATCAGGGGTCCCTAACCCCAGGCCATGGACCGGTACCTTCACTTGCTTACCCACCACTCACTTCCTGTTCTGTGGCCTGTTAGGAATCGGGCCACACAGCAGAGGGTGAGCAGCAAGCAGGCAAGCCAGCCAAGCTTCATCTGTGTTTACAGCCGCTCCCCATCACTCACATTACTGTCTGAGCTCCATCTTCTGTCAGATCGGCAGTGGCATTAGATTCTCATAGGAGCATGAACCTGGTGAGCTGCACATGAGAGGGACCTAGGTTGCATGCTCTTTATGAGAATCTAATGCTTGATGATCTGTCACTGTCTCTCATCACCCCAAATGGGACCATCTAGTTGTAGGAAAACAAGCTCAGGGCTCCCACTGATTCTACATTATGGTGAGTTGCATAATTATTTCACTATGTATTACAACGTAATAGTAGAAATAAAGAACACAATAAATGTAATGCACTTGGATCATCCTCAAACGATCCCCCCACCTCCCACTGTTCGTGGAAAAATGGTCTTCCACAAAACCGGTCCATGCTGCCAAAAAGGTTGGGGACTGCTGCTATAAATGACATCCTGAAAGTATGGGAGTAGACCCTCTCAATTATCTAAAAAGTATTAAGCTATTCTGAGTACCCTTTTTTTTTTTTTTTTTTTTTGAGATGGACTCTCGCTCTGTTGGCCAGGCTGGAGACAAAAAAAAAAAAAGAAAAAGAAAAAAAAAAAGAAAAAAAAATTAGCCCGGCATAGTGGCATGCACCTGTAGTCCCAGCTATTCAGGAGGCGGAGGCAGGAGCATCACTTGAACCCGGGAGGATGAGGTTGCAGTGAGCCGAGATGGCACCACTGCACTCCAGCCCGGGTGACAGAGTGAAACTCTGTCTCAAAAAAAAAAAAAAAAAAAGAAGAAGAAGAAAAGAGCCTTCTGTGTGTGCATGAGTTTGGGGAACTCTGCAGACTGTATGCATACCCCTTTTGGAGGTTCACCAGGCCCTCTAGGCCAGGCTGTGAGATGTCTGGTGGTTAAAGTTTAACTTAAAAAAAAAAAAACTCATTGAATATGGACTCATTTATTATATTTGTTTTGGTTTTTAAAGATTCACAGGACACTCATTGACAAAACTCAACAGAACTAATCTTTTGACAAGTGTATATTTCATGTATCCGAAGACACAGTAACTGTGATTTAATGTGCAATCCACTACAAAATAATATTTGAGTTTTAACAGTGGGCTTTTGTCCAAGGAGGAAATGTGAGGAATTTTAGGCACTGTGACGTGTCCTGTAGAGTGATAATTTGGGGCAGCAGAAACCTTTCTATGTCTCTTTGGTCTTATAAAGTCATTGCTCACTACAGCCGTGAAAAGACTGGCCCCAAGCCAAACAACAACAACAAAAAAATAGCAACAAAAACCCCTGCCGGCCGGGTGTGGTGGCTCACGCCTGTAATCCCAGCACTTTAGGAGGCTGAGGCAAGCAGATCATGAGGTCACGAGATTGAGACCATCCTGGCCAACATGGTGAAATCCCGTCTCCACTAAAAATACAAAAAAATTAGCCGGGCGTGGTGGCCCGCGCCTGTAGTCCTAGCTGCTCAGGTGGCTGAGGCAGGAGAATTGCTTGTACCTGGGAGGCGGAGGTTGCAGTGAGGTGAGATTGCACCACTGCACTCCAGCCCGGTGACAGAGTGAGACTCCGCCTCAAAACAAAAAACAAAACCCTGCCAAGATCATAATGAGGTGGAACAGAAATGGAACGGAGCTTCAGTGAAATAAAGATGATATAAGCAGGAGGCCATTCAAAGCAGCTGCAATGATAAATACTATAGGGCTTACAGAAGCCCTTCAGAGGCTCACACAATCGTTTGAGAACATCTGGGAGACAGTAAGCCTCATCAGGTCCCAGGAGGACCATTCCCATTTAGGCAGCATGGATCGTATTCCCTGAACGCAGGCGGAAGGAGTTTTGATACCATATAGTTTAGTACCTATTTATCCTGTGCTGCTTTGCTTGGTTTTCAGTTTCATGGCTGGGATCCCCCACTCCCCATAGAAGCTCGGGAACTGTGAGCTGGATAAAGGCCTCCTCCCAAAAGACCAGGTTCTAATATCTGGAACTTTTGAACGTTGCCATAAAGGAACATGGTCTTTGCAGATGTGATTAAATTAAGAATCTTGATGTAGAGAGGTTATCCTGGGTGACCTGGGATATCCAATCACAAGTATCCTTATAAGAGACAGGCAGGAGATCATCTTCACAGAGCACATGTAAGACAGAGGCACAGATTGGAGTGATGTGGCCACAAGCCAAGGAATGCCAGAGAATGCCAGCAGCCACCACAAGCTAGAAGAGGCAAGGAACAGATTCCACAAACAGATTCTACCCCTGAGCCTTCAAGGGGAACGTGGCCCTGCAGAGAGCATGAGGGAGTAAGTTTATGTTGTTTTAAGCCACAGAGTTTGTGATAATTTGTCCTAGCAGCCCTAAGAAATTAATACAGGCTGTAAATTTTCTGAGAGGTGGGGTGATGTGTTCCCTGTTCCTGTCTTCTGCACAGTATGCATGTTTCTGCACAGAACAGGCACTCAAATACCCGAGTGCTTGAACTGACTTGACTTCTTCACTGGTTCAGAAATTCAGAGCCTAAAGATTTGGATATAAAATTTTATTGGAAGAACAGTGAGACCAGTAAGATCTGAGCATTCATTTGCAAAAGAAGAAATTAATGCCCCTGAGGTTAGTCCCTTAGAGTTTATTGCCTCTTGAAGCTGAGATTTATACCACGTTTTAATGTAGCAATTTTTTTTTTGCCTTGCTGGAATATTAATAATACCATGAAGAAAACTTCATCTAGGCCGGGCGTGGTGGCTCACACCTGTAATCCCAGCACTTTGGGAGGCCGAGGCGGGCAGATCACGAGGTCAGGAGATCGAGACCATCCTGGCTAACACGGTGAAACCCCGTCTCTACTAAAAATACAAAAAATTAGCCAGGCGTGGTGGCGGGCGCCTGTAGTCCCAGCTACTTGGGAGGCTGAGGCAGGAGAATGGCGTGAACCCGGGAAGCGGAGCTTGCAGTGAGCCGAGATAGCACCACTGCACTCCAACCTGGGCGACAGAGCGAGACTCCGTCTCAAAAAAAAAAAAAAAAAGAAAGAAAACTTCATCTAGCAGGGACCAGAAAAGCAAGTCATTCAAGGCGGTGGCTTGGTGTCTTAATTAGATACTACCTTGGTGCTTGCTTTCTCTTCGTTTGCACTGACGGTATCTAAATGACAGTGTTCTGGGATTTCTGGATCAGACACAAAATGTCTTCTGCTCAAATCTTCCATGAAATGTAATTTTGAAACCATGAGCTTGGTTCTTACTCAAGCAGAACTCTTAGCGTATTTACTGGGACTTCAGCTGAATTGGAATGGAATTGTGAGATCACATTCCTTTGGAAATATAAACAGTTTGTTTTTACGTATAAGGAAGCCACATAAAAGTATCTAGAATTTTAGCTCAGTAGACTGGTTGGTGATTTGGTGATGAACATTATTCTTTTCAATATTATGGCCATTTTATTTATTTTTTTAACAGGCATTTTGTTTTTCTTTGGTAGGGAAATAAGTTCTCTTCTAGACCATCTTTCATCTAGGAAGCTCAGTTCATTGTAAAGCCAAGTAGGAGTAACAATAAACTGCTAGAACATTTTACCAATATTGTTAAACTAATGGCAAAGGAAAGGGAAGCTACATGCAAGATTGTGGTTAGTGTGTTGATAATTTTGTGTTTGTTGTGATCTGGAGCATAGGTAAGGGTTTCTTTACAGATTTACTGTGAATTTTTTTTTTTTTTTTTACGGAGCAGAGAGTTTAATAGGCAAGAAAAAAGGGGGAAGAAAGAAAGAAGAAGCTCCCCTGTACAGAGACGGGGCAGGGGGCTCCAAAGCCGAGAGAGGGAACCCCGTGAAATTTATTTTTTAAAGCACTTATATTATTACCTGATGCCACATAGAAATGTTAATATGCTAGTAGACTTCGCAAGATTTAGTCACTTTCATTGTTTTTAGTAAGAAACTGTAGCAGACATTTACGATAGTATGGCTAAAGTAAAATCAGTTAATCTCCACCTTGGCTTTGCAGGAGAGTGAGGGTTAGATTTGAAAGAGACTTTTCCCTCATTGAATTGAACTTGTATTTGACCTTATATTCTGATGAAGGTTGAAATTGACATTAGGCAGTTTTGCTTTAAGTCAACCCACCTCACATGTTGAAATAATGAGGTCTTTGCCTTGATGTTAACTCCATCCCCTTCACTCTCTGCCATATTTAAAATGTGCTCCAATGCCATTTAGTTTTTACTATTAATAGTTATACAGCCTTATTACCGAAGTATTAAGTGGTATGATTGGGTCATCATCTAAAAGATTCCTTACAAAATTCTCTAAAGACAGGCCCATGTGCCAGACATTGTATTATTTTGCCTGGAACATAGCAGTTGCTCAATAAATAATTATTTGTTGCCTGAATGAATTCATGATTTAATCACTGAAATCAACAAGTTTTGATGTCAGTGAAGCCTTAACCAGCAATTTGGATGTCCTGGGCTGTCATATCAATCTAGTAACTCATCTTCTGGTGCGCAGAAAAGTGTTCATCAACAGTTTATTCGGTGCTGTCCAAGAGAAATAGAATGTGGGCCACAAATGTGAGCCACAGATGTCATTTTAAGTTTTCTAGTAGCTACGTTTAAAACAAAAAGAAACAGGTGAAATTATTTTTAGTAAAATATTTTAACTCAATATATTGAAAATATAATTTCAACATAAAATGAAAATAAATGTATTTTATATATGTACTATGCATATTTCATATTTAACAATATATCTCAATTTGGCCCAGCCTCATTTCAAATGCTCAAAATCCACATATGGCTGCCAGTGGCTACCATATTGGGCAGCCTACATTTACACCATCTGGAGGCTCCAATTCTAAGTAATTATTTTTGCTAACTAGATGGAAAACTCAGATTTTATAAGCTATTGAGTGTGATATGTGTTATCCTATCAGTGTGCAACTAAAACAAAAATTACACAATTAAAAAAATTGTTCTTTAGAGATTGTGTAAAAAGTGTAATGCCCCCTAAATTTTAGGGGCCATGGCAAAACTTCCATTGTTCTAAGATTCAGATTTTCTCTTGTGTTATTGTGGGGCAAGTTACTTATCCTTTCTTGAGCCTCAGCTCCCTCTTCTGTAAAATGGGGTTACTGTTTGTCTCAGGATGTAGAGATAACATTTGCAAAGGTTCTTTTTTGTTTTGTTTTGTTTTTTGTGACAGAGTCTTGCTCTGTCGCCCAGGCTGGAGTGCAGTAGCGTGACCTCAGCTCACTGCAACCTTCATCTCCTGGGTTCAAGTGATTCTCCTGCCTCAGCCTCCCGAGTAGCTGGCATTACAGGCATGCACCACCACACCCAGCTAACTTTTGTATTTTTAGTAGAGACGGGGTTTCACCATGTTGGCCAGACTGGGCTCGAACTCCTGACCTCAAGTGATCCGCCTGCCTCGGCCTCCCAAAGTGCTAGGATTACCGGCATGAGCCACCGTGCCCAGCCCACAAAGGTCTTAACTCAGAAACATTAGCTACTCATTGTTAGCCGTAATTAGTTCTTATTTAGTATTTTCTTCTGCATGCAAAACTTCAGAGAAAAAAATGGGTTCTTTCCTATAGATGCTCGTCTTCTTTTCCTAATAGTTGTTCCACAGGCAACTCCTCATTATGGCAAGAATTTCCTGTGATTCTTTGATGAAAATGAGATAATTGAATTTTGTTTAAATTAGTTCAACATGGGCGACTCCAGGTAGTTCCTGCACAGGGGGCCCATGAAGGATGCCAAGAAAACTGAAGAAGGGTTAACTTGGGTTAACTTGTGAGGTATTGAACTGAATTTGGAGACTCTGTTAATGCATTTCTATTAAACTTATATCAACATTACGCCAAGATCAGTAATCTAGCAGGGAAAGGTGATCATGGTAGAGAAATGCTTTTAGATATAGCTAGACTTCATTCTGCTTAAGGCCTATCCAACTCTTTTCCGATGTAATAAACTTTGAGAATATGAAATTAGTGACAGGAAAATGTTTTTAGCCATTGTTTATCTTGCTTTGGTTAAGTGAGACAAATAATGAGAAATCACTGGAGCTAAAATTTCTTATAGTATGTTATTTACCAAAGCTCACCTAGGCAGGGTCAAATACTTGTTTTTTTGTTTTTAGATGATGTTAATATGTTTGGAGTATAGGATTTCCGCCAGCAGTTCCTAAGAATTTTTGCATAACTTAAAGACTTTTTTTTTTTTTGGCAAATAGTTGTTGATTTTAATTCTAAGTAAGATAATCTTCATGATAAAGAGTGGTGAGCAAAGGCTTGTCCTCGGAGACCTACTGTCGCTTGGCTATTACTTTCACCTCTTTCATTGCTTGTGGAAAAACCCTTATCCAGGGAAGAATTAATAACTTCAACAATACTATCAAAGGAGGGCCTAAAATTAAAAAAAAAAAAGAAACAAAAAAGTTGTGAAACAACAACAACAACAATACTTGGCAAACTCCTGACAGACTTAGGGAGAATATTATGATATTGAGGCTGCTGTTGACTAAGGCTCTCCTATTGTTAATATAAAAAAATCTTTTGTCTAGTAGTATTAAACCTTGACCCCCACACAGCGGAACTTTGGAAAAGAATTGTTAACTCCTTTGCTGAAAACAGAGTTCTAGAATGTTTTAGCAAAAGCAACATATCTTTTACTAAATATTATATTTTCCAATAAAATGAATAAAGAGAATGCTTTTTTTTTGCTTTTCATATTTACATAAATTGAAAAAATTCCCCCAAAATACGAAAAACTGGCCCTTGCATTTTTTACGTTGCTCAATGTGGGTAACTGTTTAGTGGAAGTAGACATTCACTTAAATGGGGAAAATGGAGAATGGACAATTCATTAAATGGAGGAAAATAAAGCCTTATTTTTTAAATGTTGCTGATAAAATATTTGGGTACTTAATGATGCTGAATCAAGACCACTCTGAATACAAGTGGTTTCCCTTTTCTCTGAATGCCTGGTTGTACAAATCATAGGTTTTGCTTGTTTTTGGGTAGGGGAAGGTTGGCAAGCCTAATGTGGTTTCTTTGAGAGCAATCTGTCTGAGGGGTCCCCTTTGCTGTGGGGGTGAGGGCATTTGACTTCTCTAATCTTTTCTTGGTCATAGCTCCTCTTAATGGCAATGTTTTTAAACTCTTCTTTGAGAGAGAATATATTCCGAGTCTGATTTTGCAGTGCACTTTCTCCTGTGTAGAATGCTCATGAGAAGGGAACCATCTCTGCAGAACTTCTAGAACAAGTTTTTCTTCCTGTGGTATTGAAAAGGATGGATTGGATGGGTGCATATTTTCCCTTCTATGGAAACAAGAACTCTGTAGGGTTCCTGTGAATCAGGAAGCCGTTACAAAGCTACAAGTATGACGGCCAGTTTTTAAAAAATGAAGTACGTATAGTTTATTTAGGGGAAAAAGAAGGAAAAGAAAAGAGCTGGAAATAGTAATATTTGCTTTCAAAATAGAAATATGAGCCTGAAAATAGAAATATTTGCTTTTCTGTATTTACATACACATCTGGTTTTTCATTTATTTTGTGTGTAAAGAAACCTAATAGGTGTGACTCGCTTCTTCATCTTGTGATTGTGCTTTTTTTTTTGAGACGGAGTCTTGCTCTGTCACCAGGCTGGAGTACAGTGGCATGATCATGACTCACTGCAACCTCCACCTCCCGGGTTCAAGTGATTGTCCTGCCTCAGTCTCCGGAGTAGCTGGGACTACAGGTGCGCGCCACAAAGCCCAGCTAATTTTTGTATTTTTAGTAGAGACAGGGTTTTATCATGTTGGCCAGGATGATCTTGATCTCCTGACCTCGTAATCCACCTGCCTCGGCCTCCCAAAGTGCTGGGATTACAGGCGTGAGCCACCGTGCCCAGCCGATTGCGCTTTTTAAACCTTGGTTTCAGCTTTGATGTGACAGTGCTTGGGAATAGAATAATTTTCCTCCTTGGGCTTGAGCTCTGTTAATCATTTGGTAAAGATCTTTCATTGTCAAAAAAGCCAAGAGGCAGGCCTAGTTAATATTTGCAAACCGAGGAAATATTTATTACATGAAATATTGTTCCACTGATGGGTTAGTGGAAAATTCTGGGATAAGATCATTTCTTTCATGACTAATGAAGAACTGTATCTTAATTACTTTTCTAGAGGGTTTTTTTTTGGTTTTCTGATCATGGATTTGAGATTCAATTTTTATACTAAATGATGACGATGGTTAATATCAACTTTTTTTTAGCTTAGAGATACCTGGTTTATTTAATAAGTTAACAGGGTTTCATTCTCAATAATAGTGTGACTATAGACCGCTGGGCAGCAGACTTTATTGAACCAATAAAACTTTATTTGCTTGCTCTTAAAAGCTCCGTTGGAAAGACCTGGGGGTAGGCTGGACACAGTTATTTAACACAGAATTTCTAATACCTTTCTTTGTAATGAAAAAGGGCCAATTTACTTACTGGCTGTGAGCTGTAAAAGCATTTCCATTGATGTTAATGTGGGCTTGACTCCCTCAGAGTTGGTTCATTCCAGAAATGGTTCTTGGATCTTGAGAGTGGGGAGGGTGGTTCTTCCCAGCAAAGCTGAGTGACTTGCCCAAGGGCTTGTGATAGAGCCTTGTAGACAGTGCCCTTACTTGCCTTTGTGATTTGAATGATCATCCAAGGGAAAGTAGAATCAGTTTTAAGGAATATTTCAAATTAGCAAAATTGGAATATCCCCGGAAGGCTGGGTTCTACGTTTTATCATGAAGAATTGGTCAGACACCAACATTTTTGAGTGCCAGAGACTTGCAATAGGATGTCTTACAAATGTTATGTGTATTTTGATAGGCTAAGGTTTTTGTAGCCACCACTGCATGCAGTGTAAACACTCCATGAATTATTAGGTTTTCCTATGTTACCAGAAAAGGGTCCCATTCTAGACCCCAAGAGGGGGTTGTTGGATCTCTCACAAGAAAGAATTTGAGGTGAATCCATAGAGTAAAGTGAAAGCAAGTTTATTAAGAAAGTAAAGGAACCGGGCCGGTGGCTCACACCTGTAATCCCAACACTTTGGGAGGCTGAGGCTGGCAAATCACCTGAGGTCAGGAGTTCAAGACCAGCCTGGCCAACATGGTGAAACTCCGTCTCTACTAAAAATACAAAATTAGCTGGGCATGGTGGCTCACGCCTGTAATCCTAGCACTTTGGGAGGCCGAGGCAGGCGGATCACCTGAGGTCAGGAGTTCGAGACCAGCCTGGCAAACATGATGAAATCCCGTGTCTACTAAAAATAAGAAAAATTAGCCAAGTGTGGTGGCGCACGCCTGTAATCCCAGCTATTCAGGAGGCTGAGGCAGGAGAATCACTTGAACCCAGGGGGCAGAGGTTGCAGTGAGCCAAGATCTTGTCACTGCCCTCCAGCCTGGGCAACAAGAGTGAAACTCTGTCTCAAAAAAAAAAAAGAAAAAAAAAGGTAAAGGAATACAGCTGGGTGTGGTGGTTCATTTCTGTAATCCCAGCACTTTGGGAGGCCGAAGTGGGCAGATCACTTGAGGTCAGGAGTTCGAGACCAGCCTGGCCAACATGGTGAAACCCCGTCCCTACTAAAAATACAAAAATCAGCCGGGCGTGGTGGCACATGCCTGTAATCCCACCTACTTGGGAGGCTGAGGCACGAGAATTGCTTGAAGCCAAGAGGCAGAGGTTGCAATGAGCTGAGACCATGTCACTGCACTCCAACCTGGATGACAGAGCAGACTCTGTCTCAAAAAAACAAAAAAAAAACCAAGCAAAGGAATAACGAATGGCTACTCTATAGGCAGAGCAGCCCCGAGGGCTGCTGGTTGCCCATTTTTATTGTTACTTCTTGATTATATGCTAAATGAGGGGTAGATTATCCATGAGTTTTCCAGGGAAGGGGTAGGCAATTTCTGGAACTGAGGGTCCCTCTTTTTTTTTGTTTTTTTTGAGATGGAGTCTCGCCCTGCTGCCCAGGCTGGAGTGCAGTGGCACCATCTCAGCTCACTGCAACCTCTGACTCCCGGGTTCAAGCAATTCTCCTGCCTCAGGCTTCTGAGTAGCTGAGATTACAGGCGTGCGCCACCATGCCTGGCTAATTTTTTGTATTTTGTATTTTTAAAAATTAAAAATTATTTTTACATTTTTTGTATTTTTAGTAGAGATAGGGATTCACCATGCTGGCCAGGCTGGTCTCGAACTCCTGACCTCGTGATCCACCCACCTCGACCTCCCAAAGTGTTGGGATTATGGGCGTGAGCCACCGCGCCAAGCCTTTTTTTTTTTTTTTTTTTGAGATGGAGTCTCGCTCTTTTCGCCCACACTAGAGTGCGGTGGCACAATCTCGGCTCACTGCAACCTCCGCCTCCTGGGTTCAAGTGATTCTCCTGCCTCAGCCTCCCGAGTAGCTGGAATTACAGGCACCCGCTGCCATGCCTGACTAAATTTTTTTGTACTTTTAGTAGAGATAAGGTTTCACCATGTTGGCCAGGCTGTTTTCGAACTCCTGGCCTCAAGTGATCTGCCCACCTCAGCCTTAGAAAGTCCTGGGATTATAGGTGTGAACCACTGTGCCCGTCCTGTCTATAAACATTTTAAAATGCTGCAACACAGACTCCTCATTTGTCACTATAATACTGAGTACTGAGTGTGTGGACCTGTAAGGGTCTCTTTTTCTCTTTTTAGTTACAGGGCTTGACGTTTCTAGGACTAACCAAGGAAGATGCAGTTGGTTGTGAATCACTTCTTCCCATGCTGAAATGGCAAGTTTATGACACTAAAGATGCAGTCCAACAGAGTAGTCACTGTGCTCAGCATCAGTATTTTTTTTTGCCTCCATCATCTTGCTGAAACAGCATTGGTGTAATAAAAATGAACCTCTACACCTCTTTAAAGTGCTTTGGATTTGGACAAATTTATGTTTTATCAAAGGTTAATCCTGACAAATTATAGTCAATGATTTCTGGAAGGTCTGCTACAGGTGCAGTTGAATTAATTGTATACTGTGCATAGCCGGATGTATACTTTAGGAAAGATTTACTGCATTTTTTGTGGCAAAAGTAGAACTAGAAAACTGGGGATGCCCAGTAAAACCACAGTGGGACCAGGAGCTTGACCCTACTGTGCAGATAAATGATGTTCATGAAAGGTTAAGTTAGAGCTCTAATGTTCCTCATTGCAGCACTCTACTGCTACCTCTGCCTAAAAGACAAAATGAAAAGGGGAAAAGTCACAAAGGCAGGGAAAAAACAGGTAACACTAGAGTTGTGACTTTTACCCGCTTTTTCATTTTCTGTTTTTGGTGGGAAGGTGAAACCTCTATTCATTTATCTGCTGGAAAGAAGTCTTCTTTGTGTTTTCAAGACAGGCGCTTCTACCCATTGTTTCTAGAAGCAGGAGAAACTTTATTTCTCTAGTTCGGGGATCGCCCAGATGCAAAAGAGGACGAAATGAGAAGTGAGCCTTGAGAGAGGAATATAAATCAGTGTTACAAACAAACAAACAAGAGTATTGAGCACATAGCTGCTCAAGATGGCTTGACAAATGAATAAATTATGTAGGTGCAGCCCTGTGTTAAATAAAGGAGTTTATACTCTGAGACACACACATGACAGACACAACAGCAAATCTTGAACATGTGCATAGAAGTTTCTGAACTTTCCACAGAGAATGGTTTATTAGTGTGCTAGGGCTGCCATAAGAAAGAATCACAGACTGGGTGGCTTAAACAACAGAAATTTATTTTCTCAGGCTGGGTGTGGTGGCTCACACCTGTAATCCTAGCACATTGGGAGGCCAAGGCCCAGCAGATCACTTGAGGTCAGGAGTTCGAAGCCAGCCTGGCCAACATGGTGAAACCCCGTCTCTACTAAAAATACACAAAATAAGCCTGGCATGGTGGTGGGTGCCTGTAATCCCAGCTACTTGGGAAGCTGATGCAGGAGAATCTCTTGAACTCGGGAGGCGGAGGTTGCAGTGAGCCGAGATCATGCCACTGCACTCTAGCCTGGGCAACAGAGCGAAACTCCATCTCAAAACAGTTCTGGAGACAGGAAGTCCGAGATGAAGATGTCAGTAGGGCCATGAGGCAAGGATCTCTCTCAGGCCTCTCTCTCTCTGGCTTGTAAATGTCTATTTTCCTCTCTATGTGTCTGTGTCCAAATTTCCTCTTCTTTTAAAGATCCCTGTCATATTGGGTTAGTGCCCACCCTGAAGGCCTCATTTTAACTTAATTACCTCTTTACAGTCTCTCCAAATACAGTTTCATTCTAAGGTACTGGGAGTTAAGACTTCAACATATGGACTTGGGGCGATGTGATTCAGCCCATAAAAAATGGTTACACTTACCCTTTGATACTAACACTCATACCTTTTTCTCATTTCCCTCAACTATTTTTGTAAGTATCTAAGAAGCCAGAATTTTCAATGTTTTGATATTTCTCTTATAGTTTTCTGTTAATTTGCAAATTTGGCGACATCACTTCTTGTTTTCTGGTAGTCTTTATTGGTCTGATATTGAACAGAACAGTGAGTAGAAATAGGAAAAAGAAACCTTCTGAAGTAGGAAGTGCGGGGTCAATTCTTATAAAGAGCATCATCACCATCAAACATTTACTGAATATCTGCCCTGTCAACCCTTTCAGATGGTTCTGAGGTCAACGGAGTGTCTGCTGAGTAAATAACTCTTGGGTGAAAAAGAAAGCATAAGAATATCATCTCTTGGGTATATATTTTTTTCATAAACTTTTTTTTTTCGGTGGTGTCTCACTCTGTCAGCTAGGCTGGAGTACAGCGGCACGATCTTGGCTCACTGCAACTGCTGCCTCCTGGGTTCAAGCGATTCTCCTGCCTCAGCTCCCCAAGTAGCTGGGATTATAGACCTGCGCCACCATGCCCAGCTAATTTTTGTATTTTTAGTAGAGATGGGGTTTCACCGTGTTGGCCAGGCTGATCTCGAATTCCTGACCTCAGGTGATCTGCCCGCCTTGGCCTCCCAAAGTGCTGGGATTACAGGTGTGAGCCACCGAGTCTGGCCTTTATAAACTTTTAATTATGTATAATATACATAAAGATAAGTACACTAGTCTTAAGTGTACCATTCAATGAATTACCATAAAGTCAACCTTTTAGGTTAAGAAGTTGGTAGCTCCCCTTCTGCCCTCTCCCAAGGGTAACTCCTATCAAGACTTTTATCATTATAGATAGAAGTTTGATACTATTTTCCATTTATGTAAATGAAGTTGTTCGCAGTGTTCCTCATTGTATTTGGCCTCTTTGCTCAACATTTTCAGCCATGCTCAACAGATTCAGCCATGTTGCCGAGTATAGCAATAGTTTCTTTATTCTCGTTGCTGTACAGTACTCAATTGTTTGAAGAGGCCACATTGTATTCGTTCTACTGTTGGTGGACATTTGGATTATGCCTAGTTTTTGACTGTTAGGAATAGTGCTGCTGTGAACATTCTTTTTTTTAATTTAAAAATATTTAATTGACAAATACAATTGCATATATTTAAGGGGTTCAGTGTGATCTGTTGATATATGGACACATTATGTAATGATTATGAACATTCTTATACATATCTTTTGTTGAACATATGTATGCATTTCTATTATGGAGTGGGGCTGTTGGGTCGCAGGTCATATGTTCAACTTTAGTAGATACTTACAGTATTTCAAAAGCACCTGTAGCAATTTACACATTTTTTTTTCTTTTTTTTGGAGATGGAGTCTTGTTGTGTCACCCAGGCTGGAGTGCAGTGGCGCAATCTCGGCTTACTGCAAGCTCCGCCTCCCTGGTTCACGCCATTCTCCTGCCTCAGCCTCCCGAGTAGCTGAGACTACAGGCGCCCGCCACCATGCCAGGCTAATTTTTTTTTTTTGTATTTTTAGTAGAGACGGGGTTTCACCCTGTTAGCCAGGATGGTCTCGATCTCCTGACCTCGTGATCTGCCCGCCTCGCCCTCCCAAACTGCTGGGATTACAGGTGTGAGCCACTGTTCCCGGCCGCAATTTACACTTTTATCAGTAGTGTATGAGAGTTCTGATTGTGAACAGTTTTGCTAATACTTGATAGCATCAATGTTTAAATTTAGCCATTCTCTTAGGCAAGTAGTGGAATCTCATTGTGATTGCATTTTAAATTTCTCTGAGGACAAATGAATTTGAGTATCTTATTTCTTTTGATCACTCAAGTGCCCTCATTCATGAAGCAGTTTAAAGTAATCACGGGCTGTGGGCGGTGGCTCACACCTGAAATCCTAGCACTTTGGGAGTCCAAGGCCGTCGGATCACTTAAGCCCTGGGAGGTCAAGGCTGCAGTGAGCTGTGATGGCGCCACTGCACTCCAGCCTGGGTGACAGAGCAAGATCCTGTTTAAAAAAAAAAAATATATATATATATATATATATAAATTATATATATATATAATTTATATATATATAAATATATATATATAAATTATATATATAAATATATATAAATATATATATAAATATATATAATATGTATATATATAATAATAATAAAATAAAGTAATCACGGCCACCAATCCATCACTGGTGTCCTCAAAAACTCTTCCAAGTCTTAAGCAAATAAATAATGAATTGATCTTTCTGCAGCTTAAGGCTAAGGTGAAGAGTTGGTTTGTTTTGGATATTTTAAGTTTATGCTTATTAAGAGAATCCTCACTCTCAGAAGTGTTCCAGTTTAGATGATTAATTTATAGTCACCCTATTTATATCCATCATCTCTTCTGCATTATTTAAAGCTTTTCTATCTGAAATCACTCATTCATTTGTTCTATCATTGCTGAGGTCTTACTCTATGCCAGGTAGTGGGATAAGTACTGGGGATGTAAAGATGTATACGATATCCCTCCCCCTAAAAATCTTAAGTGTTGTGGAAGAAACAGAGTCTAGAACTATTTTTTTTTTTTTTGAGACGGAGTTCCGCTCTTGTTGCCCAGGCTGGAGTGCAGTGGTGCGATCTTGGCTCACCACAAGCTCCGTCTCCTGGGTTCAAGCAGTTCTCCTGCCTCAGCCTCCTGGGTAGCTGGGATTACAGGCATGCACCACCACGCCTGGCTAATTTTGTATTTTTAGTAGAGATGGGGTTTCTCCATGTTGGTCAGGCTGGTCTTGAACTCCCGACCTCGGGTGATCCACCCGTCTCAGCCTCCCAAAGTGCTGGGATCATAGGCATGAGTCACCAAGCACGGTCTTTTTTTTTTTTTTTTTTTTTTTTTGATGGAGTCTTGCTCTGTCCCCCAGGCTGGAGTGCAGTGGCCCGATCTCGGCTTCCCGGGTTCATGCCATTCTCCTGCCTCAGCCTCCCGAGTAGCTGGGACTACGGGTGCCCACCACCACGCCCGGCTAATTTTTTGTATTTTTAGTAGAGACGGGGTTTCACCGTGTTAGCCAGGATGGTCTCAATCTCCTGACCTCATGATCTGCCCGCCTCGGCCTTCCAAAGTGCTGGGATTACAGGCGTGAGCCACTGCACCCAACCTCTGGAACTATTTTTACCTGATCTAATCATAGCCATATAATCATAACTCTGAGTTCTAGCAGAGCTGAATTTCTGCATTAAGAACATCTATGCTAATAAAATGATTTGTTACACCCAATAGCTTATGTTGATGATTTATGATATGTTGTGAACACAATCGTTTAAAACATATATTTTTTGGCACTCTATTTGTCTCAAGTCCTTAATGTGTGAGAATTCAATCTTCAGTAGGTTCATAAAACTCATGTTTTGGGCAGGAGCCTTAATCCCTTGAATCACGGTAAGGGAAACTTGTGTTGAGTTGAACTGAATGTCTTATAAAAATCCTTCTGGTTTCTATGTCCTCATTCATTTGGATCCAGCTGTGTTAAAATGGCCATCTGATACTGTCTTTTACCCGGAAGAGAATACTGCTTTAATTTAAATGTGCCCTGTTGTCACATCTGCCCAGGTGTTCAGGTATTACTCTTTGGTACCCTGTATGATGGAACAATAAGCACTGTTTTGGAATTGTCTGTTTACTTGTCTATCTTCTAGATTAGATTGTTACCAACTCAAAATCCCTAGCACCTGACATGATGCCCAACAGAAGCTAGATGTTCTGGTCAGTAAATGCCTTTTGAATGAACGAGAATAAGCAAATGTTGGCCCGGGCACGGTGGCTCACGCCTGTAATCTCAGCACTTTGGGAGGCCGAGGCAGGTGGATCACCTGAGGTCAGGAGTTCAAGACCAGCCTGGCCAACCTGGTGAAACCCCGTCTCTACTAAAAAATACAAAAATTAGCCAGGTGTGCAGGGCGCAGTGGCTCACCCCTGTAATCCCAGCACTTTGGGAGGGCAGATCACGAGGTCAGGAGATCGAGACCATCCTGGCTAACACGGTGAAGCCCTGTCTCTACTAAAAACACAAAAAATTAGCCGGGCGTGGTAGCGGGCGCCTGTAGTCCCAGCTACTCTGGAGGCTGAGGCAGGAGAATGGCGTGAACCCGGGAGGCGGAGCTTGCAGTGAGTCAAGATCGCGCCACGGCACTCCAGCCTGGGTGACAGAGTGAAACTTTGTCTCAAAAAAAAAAAAAAAATTAGCCAGGTGTGGTGCCTCATGCCTGTAATCCCAGCTGCTTGGGAGGCTGAGGCAAGAGAATGGCGTGAACCCGGGAGGCAGAGGTTGCAGTGAGTGGAGATCGCATCGTTGCACTCCAGCCTGGGTGACAGAGTGAGACTCCATCTCAAAAAAAAAAAAAAAATAAGCAAATGTTAGAATACAAACACACACCACTCATAATTACGAAGAAATGATAATGCACCTGGCATAGAGCTAGGTTCTGGCTCCAGGTCATTGTGGCCCAGAACAGACATGCCAACTGCTCCAATAGGCTTTCATTTGGGGAGTGAGGAACAGACAATAATGAAGGCTTCACACAAAGTAGTGTTCAGTTACAAGTTGAGATAAGTGCTTTGAAGCAAAGGGACATATGGCAAATAAGACTGACCTAGACTTTGGGAGTTGAAAAGGCTTCCCAGAGAAAGTGGCATTTAAGATAAAACCTGCAGGATGAAGAGGAATTAATGATAGGCAGTAGGTAGGGAAGACAGGAAAGCATCTCAGGCTGAGGGAACAGTTGTGCAAATGGTCTGTGGTGGGCAGGAACATGGTGGGGATCAAAGAGGTTTTCAGAAGACAAACCTGGGAGACAGGTCAGGGTCAGACTATTCATGGCTTAGGAGATCTCATTGAAGATGCCCTGCTTTGTCTTAGGAGCAATGGTTTCCCTTTTAAAAGTTGTATGGGAAGGTACAGGAGTGCTAGGATCAGATTTGCACTTTATAAGGATTACCCTATGCTAGGAACTAGCCTGATATTTTGCAAACGTAAATAAAGAGAAAGAATCAAATATTTATTCTTGGTTGCCACATAACTTGTACCTCAAAATAACCAAATAGTATATGAAGATAAATTTCTCTATAGATGTGTTCCAGGTAATACATGAAAAGGAGTGATAGGATACCATCATTCCGCAATCCATAGTGAATTATATGTTTAGGCAATAATTATCGATAGATGTTAACTTTACAAAAGAGACAAGCAGACAAGATTCCTGGAAATAAATAATACCACCGTTTGATAGACTTGTCAAAAAAAAAAATCAAACCTGAATCTGCCCAAGCTTCTAGACCTGACTAGCATATTTTTAGGAAATGTGGGACCAAGGGAATGTGCTACCCATAGCATGGAGACGAATTCAATACAGTCCAAATCCTGGGAAATTCTACAGGATGAACCACTTGGATTATTTCAACAAAGAAATTATAAGAGGGACAGAAGAGAGATGGAGGGGAACCTATAGATTAAAAGAGATTTACATAAATGTGTGGACCTTATTTGGATTCTGATTTGGACATACTAACTGTAAAACAAAACAAAACATTTATGAGACACTTGGGGTAATTTGAACACTGGCTGGATATTTGATGATATTAAGGGATTACGTATTATTCTTAAGTGTGATAATGTTATTTTGATTATGTTTAAACAACAACAAATAGCTTTCCTATCTTTTAGAGATACTCACTGAAATATTTATGAATAGAATGATGTGATGTCTGGGATTTTCTTCCAAGTTGGTGAATGTTGAAGCTGAGGGATGGGTCAATGGGAGTTCACTTTCTCTTCTTTTCTGCTTTTGTTTATGATTGACATCTTCCATTATAAAGAGTTTTGAAAAGTTATGGGAAAAAGGAAAAAAGAGATCACCTTTGGTTTGACTTTTCCCCTCACCCCTCAAATCCTCAGTATGTTTCAGTTGAAATTTATCAGCTGGTCACACTTTAATGTATTACTATATTAAAGAATTTTAATTTTAATATCTTTATATATTAACATGTTTTAATGCTTATTAGACTGATTGCTTTTTAAAACATTTTAATACGTGTTAATTGTGGAAAATTTGGATATGTAAGAAAAGCCCAATGAAGACAATTAATAGCACCGATAATCCCACTACTTTGGAGAGAGCTATAGTTAATATTTTTGAGTGTTCGATCTCATCAGGAATATATACATATTAAAACATAATTTTAATTATTAAGCAACAAATTTTCTGCTTCTATTTTTTAGCAGCTCATTGTGACCATTTTCCCAAGGCATTAGGGGTTCTGTTATAAACAAATTTTAGTGGCTGTTTAGTGTTAACATCCATAGACATCTATGGCAAAATTTACTTAATTCTCTCTCGTTAAACACTAAATTAAAAAAAAAAGTCTGTTGTGGAAATGATGCTCTAATAAATAGACTTATAAATATATCTTTTATACATTCTGATTATTTCCTTTGCGTACATTCCTATAGTTAAATTGCTGGGTCAGTGAGCATGTGTTTTTGTAGCAATTTTTATTTTTTTTAAATTTTTTTTGAGACGGAGTCTTGCTCTGTCGCCCAGGCTGGAGTGCAGTGGTGCGATCTCGGCTCATTGCAAGCTCTGCCTCCCACGTTCACGCCATTCTCCTGCCTCAGCCTCCCGAGTAGCTGGGAGTACAGGCACCCGCCACCACGCCCGGCTAATTTTTTTGTATTTTTAGTAGAGACGGGGTTTCACCGTGTTAGCCAGGATGGTCTCAATCTCCTGACCTTGTGATCTGCCCGCCTCGGCCTCCCAAAGTGCTGGGATTACAGGTGTGAGCCACCGCGCCCAGCCTTTTGTAGCAATTTTATAAGCCTTTGAAATGTTGACACTGATTTGCACTCCTGTAAGCTATATATGAGCATGCTTATTTATTCTGTGCTCTATCAACTCTGAATATTATGAATAAAATTTTTTGGCCAGTTTGTTGATGAAAAATAGTGTTAAATAGTTTTAGTTGGCATTTTTCTGATTATGACTGCCTTTGAACATTTTTTCCTGTTTATTACTCACTAGTTTTTCAGTTACCAGACATATCCTTTGTACATTTTTATATTTGTACATTCTTTTTATGCTTAATTGTACATAGTCTTTATATAATAGGGATTGTATCACTTTGTTAGTCATGTTGCAAGAATTTACCCTGCATGTTTTAAAATTCAGTGTGTGGAATTAAAAAATTTCTAATATACGCTGGGCGTTGTGGCTTGCGCCTGTAATCCCACCACTTTGAGAGGCCAAGGTGGGCGGATCACTTGAGGTCAGGAGTTCAAGACCAGCCTGGCCAACATGGTGAAACCCCATCTCTACTAAAAATACAAAAATTAGCTGGGCATGATGGCGGATGCCTGTAATCCCAGCTACTTGGGAGGCTGAGGCAGGAGAATCGCTTGAACCTGGGAGGCAGAGATTGCAGTGAGCCAAGCTCGTGCCACTGTACTCCAGCCTGGGTGACAGCATGAGACTCTGTCACACACACACACACACACACACCAATTTTAATATATAGATTTTTCAAATTTTTATATAGTGAGTGATTAATTTTGTTCATGCATTCTCTCTTTGGTATTACAAAGTCCTTTTCCATTTGGAAATTATTGTGTTTGCCTATTTTAAAAAAATTGTTTCATTTATTTTACATTGGACTCTTTAATTCACATAGGTCTTATATTGCCATATTGCTTAGAGTAGAGAGCTAACATTATTTTTCTAGCAGTGACCAATTATTCAAGAAGTTGAACACTTCTTTGTTCTCTGAGTCAAATTGCTAGTTCCCCTCATATATTCAGATATTTTATATGTAGGCTTTCTGTACTCTTTCAATGAATGCCCTGCTTCCTAATCGTGCGCAAGTAGTGGTATTTTAAGCCCTGCAAATTCATGGATTGTTTTAATATATAGTATCAGTACTTAAAAAAAAAAAAAACTTTGATTCCATTAAAAAAAATCTTGGATATTTTTCCCCTTTCCATCTTCCAAATAGCTTTTTTAGTCTTGTTAATCTCATTCTTGTTAAGGTTCAACAAGAATTTTCTTATAATTTTGAAGGAGATGACATTAGACCCATTTGGGAGATTTGATATTTTTACATAATTATTCTCATCCAGTAACAAATAATGTGCCACCCTTTAGTGGTGTTCTTTCATGTTCTTCAGATAAAGTTTTGTATAGACCCTGTGTCAGTCTTGTTAATTACTAGATATTTTATATATGGTGATGTTTTTGTGAATGGGATCACAAAAATGCAGCATTTTTATTGAGATATAATTTATGTACCATGTTTTGTGCTTAATTTCAAAGCTAATGTAACTACTAGGCACAGAGCATACATACTACCTTAATACCATTTATGGTTTTCTATTTCTTCTTTTCAAGGGTGATTCTGACCACCTATTGATGCGTTTTTTTTTTCAAGACAGGAAGCAGGATTATCTAATGTGGAGATCTCTGAATTAGGCACACAGAAACATAAGTTCTAACTTCGTCCTGCTTTGTCATAGCTGGGTGTTTGATCTTAGGCAAATCACTTAACCTCTCTGGACTTTTGGACTTTGTTTTTCTCTAAAGTTCTTTCTAGCTCCGTATTTCTTTTTCTTTTTTGTTTTTTTTGAGATGGAGTTTTGCTCTTGTTGCCCAGGCTGGAGTGCAGTGGCTCGATCTCTCCTCACTGTAACCTCCACCTTCCGGTTTCAAGTGATTCTTCTTCCTCGGCCTCCCAAGTAGCTGGGATTACAGGTGCGCACCACCACACCCAGCTACTTTTTGTATTTTTAGTAGAGATGGGGTTTCACTGTGTTGGCCAAGCTTGCTCGAACTCCTGACCTTGTGATCCGCCCACCTCAGCCTCCCAAAGTGCTGGGATTACAGGCGTAAGCCACTGTTCCTGGCCTAGCTCTATATTTCTAAGTATATAATGGCCCTCAAAATATTTGAGCCTTAGAGTTTGTATTCTAGAAAGAGGGAAATCAGAATTTACATGGTATCATAGCCAGGCACAGTGGCTCACATTTGTAATCCTAGTACTTTGGGAGGACTGCTTGAGCTCAGGAGTTTAAGACCAGCCTAGGCAACATAGTGAGATCCTGCCTCTACAAAAAATTTAAAAATTAGCCAGATGTGGTGGCATGCACCTGTGGTCCCAGTTACTTGGGAGATTGAGGCAGGAGGATAGCCAGAGCCTGGGAGGTCGAGGCTGCAGTGAGCTATGATCGTGCCACTGTGCCCCAGCCTGGGTGATAGAGTGAGATTCTGTCTCAAATATAAATAAATAAATGAATAAATGGTAGCATAGCAAATGAAATATCATAGCAGTGAAATTTTGAAATATATTTTGTGTTTTATCCTCTGTTAGCTGGTATAGACTCAGTTTGGCATTTTAATTGTTCAGAATATTGACTTTGTTTCCTGAGTCTATCAAGCATGATTCAGAATAAAGCATGACTTCACTCTGTAAGGATGTGTCACCCCTCTATTTTAGATGTCATTTTAACACTTCTGAGGGGAAGAACACGTTTTTATTTTAAGGTTTATTTTTATAACAAATGACCCAACTGTAGTATTTTTGAACCTGGTGGCATTTTAATATTAGCTGTTTCCTTCCTATTGATGCAAGAAAAGCATTCACTTAAATCTGAAGTGAAATCTGCAGTGTAATTTGAAACCTGAAATGCTTATTGATTATGGTAAAGAATGGAAAATTAATGACTTTGGGAATCTATGCCACAGTCAAATTGAGCAGAGAATGTTCTCCTGGTAGGGTGCTTTGGATGCTAACTTCTATTAGCTGCTGCTCATTTCTACCACTAAATATCTAACAACACTGTTCTCAGAAGTAACTGAACTTGCAGAAATAGCTCATGAAGTCATTTTCTATTTAAATAGTCTGCACTTTTTAGAATAAATACTCTTTAACTAGGATGATATTAACGTATGTCTTCGACAGCAACTGCATTGAGAAGACAGCCTTTGCAAAACACTCTTGTCCCCCATCCAAGTATGGGTCTTTTATGACAGATTGTTGTGTATCTGAGGAAGCTATTGTGTCAACAATGAGCATCATAATGAGTCTAAAAATCTGACTCAATGGAACAAATGCATTTTAATGGCATGCATTTTACTTTAAAAGGATGTACCAAAATAGAGCAAGAGTCTGAAAGCAGGGCATTATTTTATAATGAAAGACTAATATATGGGTAGTTCAAACTAAAGGAAGAGTGTGACTGGGAATGAAAATTGACTTAGGGTGGATAAGATCACTCCCATCAGCAAACCACAAATGCTGGGGGAGAGTTAGCTGAAGTGGTACAGGAGCGAAAATTAAAGTGGTTACCAACACCCAGGAATGTCCTTTACTGAGATGCTGACCTAAGTGGGCAGATGGCTTCCTATGGCACTCTTCACAGGCTGGCATTGCAATATCACATTTACTCACTTTACCAAAATGCCATGAAGTTAATGCTGGAATAACCTGTTTCTTTTCATGTTTAAATTCTACTTATTAAGTGTGGTGTAATATTGAGGGGAAAGGAGTAAGTTTAGAGACTGAGATAAATTTCTAACATGTTTAGAATAGCGCTTAAGGGCCGGGCGCGGTGACTCACACCTGTAATCCCAGCACTTTGGGAGGCCAAGGCGGGAGGATCACGAGTTCAGGAGATCGAGACCGTCCTGGCTAATACGGTGAAATCCCGTCTCTACTAAAAATACAAAAAAAAAATTAGCTGGGCGCAATGGCAGGCGCCTGTAGTCCCAGCTACTCGGGAGGCTGGGGCAGGAGAATGGTGTGAACCCGGGAGGCAGAGCTTGCAGTGAGCCGAGATCACACCACCGCACTCCAGCCTGGGCAACAGAGCGGGACTGTGTCTCAAAAAAAAAAAAAAAAAAAAAAAAAGAATAGTGCTTAAGTGTGTATCTTTGGAATTAGGGTCCCAACTTTGCAATATTGAGGTGGAAGTTATGTAATAATATTTTGTTTGGTATTGACATCACCATACTTCTGTAATTGATTTTTAAAGACTGTGCATTATTTGTTTTTTTGTTGTTGTTGTTTTTTTTTTTTTTTTTTTGTGAGACGGAGTCTCTCTCTGTCGCCTAGGCTGGAGTGCAGTGGTGTGATCTTGGCTCATTGAAGTCTCTGCCTCCCAGGTTCAAGCGAGTCTCCTGCCTCAGCCTACTAAGTAGCTGGGATTATAGGCACTCACCACCACACCCAGCTAATTTTTGCATTTTTGGTAGACGGAGTTTCACCATGTTGGCCAGGCTGGTCTCCAACTCCTGACTTCGGGTGATCCACCCGCCTTGTCTGGGATTACAGGTCTGAGCTACCATGCCTGGCCTATTTGTATTTTTTGAAAGAGAACTTGCAATTTGTGGAAATATACCATAGTACATTTTCTGCATTTATATTATTCTGTTTATTATATTGGAAACTCTGCACATGTGCACTTACATACTAAAAAAATTAGGCATGAGGCCGGGTGTGGTGGCTCACGCCTGTAATCCCAGCTCTTTGGGAGGCCGAGGAGGGTGGATCACAAGGTCAGGAGTTCGAGACCATCCTGGCTAACACGGTGAAACCCCATCTCTACTAAAAATACAAAAAATTAGCCGGGCATGGTGGCATGTGCCTGTAATCCCAGCTACTTGGGAAGCTGAGGCAGGAGAACCTCTTGAACCTGGGAGGTGGAGGTTGCAGTGAGCCGAGATCACGCCATTGCACTCCAGCCTGGGCGACAGAGCGAGACTCCATCTCAAAAAAAAAAAAAAAAAAAGTGATGTCAACCTGGGTTTTTAAAAAAATTACTGTCTGTGATGATCCATATGTTTTTTGTATTACATCTGCTGACTAAAAAGAGCAACAACTCTATTCTATCAGAGGCCTCTTAGGCCAAACCCGTTTGGCCAGATGGAATAGAGAAAACTGTAAGAAGAATGTGAGTATTCCATTGTCGCATAAGACATTTTATTTTCTGGGCAGGATTTCCTGTTGACCCCAATTCACCATTTATGTCTCTTACCATCTCCTCTTTCCTGCTTTTTCTGCCTGCAATGTTGTTTCAGATTTCTTTTGCAAATTGCCAACTTCATGCATGCATGGTGCAGTTCTTTTTTCCTTCCCTCAGATGCCTCCTTTTGGCTATTGGCAGCCTTGCATAGGGCAAGGATGCCTTTTCAGAAATACTGTGTGATTCACAACTTCTTGGGGTGGAAGTCTGTGAAGAGATAAATAACTGTAAGAATGAGAATAAGTACTACTAATTGAACATGGCTGTGGTGGGTAGGTGGATTTGTATGCATAGTGGCCTCCTGAGGAAGGTGCCTTACCCTGACATGCAATCCTAGGTGCCCTTTGGCATGAAGCATCCGTGTGGTTTACAAGTTTAACGCAGAACAGGAGCTCCAAGGATCTGAAGGGCGGTAAAGCTAAATGCACATTTCCTAGTCTTCTAGGCTGAGGAGAGTATGATCTTCTTTGAGAAAGTCATAGGGTGGGTAAAATGCTACTTTGCAAGAGGTACATGCTCTTAGAGCACTGTTGTATGCTATCAGTCCAACCATGTTATAAACTATTTAGGAAAATGGACTGTATCCTATCTACCTCTGCATTATCTGTGAAACAGTGCCTTCCGTTGAAGCACAGATAGCTGTGGCTGAATGAATTGAGCAGACATTCAAATGCTTGTTGGATGTGAGGGAAAAATTAAGGAAACATTCCCTCTCCATTCCAAGTTCCCAAACTTTTCATTCGTCTGTGTTCTGTTATTTTCTCCCACTGAAAAAAAGCCTGGAAGGGACAGATGATACAAAGAAGACATTCTTGTCCATTGGCATGTGAGAAAGAAGGGCAGAGGTTAAAGAGGGAACAGGGAGTCAAGCTTTGGGGCTAAAGAGGCGTCCTCAGGCTAGTAAGGTGGATGGGGAGCTTGTGGGGAGGGACCATCAGTGTGGGGGCTGCCCTGGGAGGTCATGTCTAGTTCCACGTAAAGCCCCAGAAGTGACCTTCTGGGTCTTTACCCATGGAATTCCAGACTATACTGCAGTGAGAAGAAAGACGTCTTTTGTTCTTTGGCTAACTGTGCATTCCAGACTCTAATTTGGAAAGGCCAGATCTGTGAGTGATAACAGGGTCCATTTAAGGAAAAGGCATCTTTGTTGAAAATGGAATAGGGCAAGGGTGAAAAGGTGGGGCGAGGCAGATGTCAGTTTTGTGTATTGCAGTATTCCATTATCTAAAACAGTGCAGGCAGATAGTAAGTGCTTAATACCTAGTTGTTGAATGAATGCTTGATGACGATCTTTGAGGTATTATTTGCTATAGGAGTTTCAGTACAGGAGTATTTTAAGGAGATTTCAGAGTGCCCTTGGAAGCTGCTGGTAAAGAGGAACTCTCTAGCAAGGTGACCAGGTTAGACACAGAAAAAAATGCTTCTGGTCATGGTCACCCCTTCCCAGGCTAAAAGTACTCATTGGCACCAGGAACCCTTCCCTATATTTTAAAAAATATTATAGCCCATAATTTTGCACACTAAATTTGGCTTTGTTGACATTGGCATCAGGTAACTCAATCTCTTTTCCTTTATTTTATTTTATTTTATTTTATTTTTTTTTGAGACAGAGTCTCACTCTGTCGCCCAGGCTGGAGTGCAATGGTGCGATCTCGGCTCACTGCAACCTCCTCCTACCAGGTTCAAACAATTCTCCTGCCTCAACCTCCTGAGTAGCTGGGGTTACAGGCATGTGCCACCATGCCTGGCTAATTTTGTATTTTTAGTAGAGACGGGGTTTCACCATGTTGGTCAGCGTGGTCTCAATCTCCTGACCTTGTGATCCGCCTGCCTTGGCACTCTCAAATTGCTGGGATTATAGGTGTGAGCCACTGCACCCGGCTTGAAGCTGGGAGGCAGAGGCTGCAGTGAGCTGAGATCAATCTCTTTTTCTAAGGCATTGCACACCTACACATGTGTAACCCAGGAGGGTGGCACGGGAAATATTTCCAACCTGGAGACATCGTAGAGAGAGGAAGTGCTCCTTCAGGAGGACAAATGGAAACATCTGCTGCAGCTTCTTAGCACTCTCCTGGCTTACCTTTTCAGTTGCTCAACCCTAAATAAATTTGCTCAACCATAGACATCAGGGCACACTACGGGAACATTATGGGCATGGCATTTGGCAAGCATTTATTCACAGTTCACAAATATGGATTGAACCCCGACTGTGTGTTAGATAGTCTCCTGGATTTGTGGGCTGTGGGTATGAATAAGGCAGCCACCCTCCCTCCTTAGGGCACAAACAGAATTAACTTATTCTTCTCCAGGAGAAGTAAGCTCATGATAAGAAACCAAATTTATGAATTACTTATTTTTTTGCTAGGCTCCGTGCAAAGACACTTTGCATACCTTAATTCACTTAATACTCAGGAAAACCCTGTGAGAAAAATTTTAGAGCTGTGGAAACTCTCAGCCTTTGAGGATTTGGATAACCTGCCCAAGGCCACTTTGAATCTAATAAATGCTCCTTGGTCCAATCGAAGTTGCTTCTCACTATTACACACCCTACACTCCTATAAGATGCTAATGGAATTGATCCTGCCATGCTCTAGGTGAGGGGAAGAGCTGAAATAGCAGAGTTTAAAAATCTCTACACCAAAGTCCATCTCTGCTACTGTTTCCCACTGCTTCCTTGAATGGTTGGGTACATACTTGTCTGGGCCACATTGCTTTCTCTTTATGTGGGGCTTGTTTGGAAAGATCTTTGTTTTCTTGAGTCCCTGGTTACCATCAGTCATTTTTCATAGAAATACAAATGAATTAGCCTGATGTAAAGGAAGGATTCTTATTTTATTCTCGGAAGAAAACCTTGGAACTTAAATTCAAATTTTCTTTAAATCATTAAAAATGAATGAGATCGTTTTCATACCTCCTAAAATATATTGTTTTTCTTTTTAAGAATTTAAAGTTGATCTTATCTCACCTTATTGCATTTCTCTAAAGTAGGTTCTGGCACGAATAGCTATAAGTGCAATAAATTGAATGTTTTGACCAACTAATAAAATGGCAAAAATCACTAGCAGAAAACATATACCAAGAGAGTATTTTCTGTCTTCACTACTCTACAGATACCTCTTTCTAAAAAAATTTATTTTACAGTGGTAAGAACACTTTACATGAAATCTATCTTTAACAAATTTTTAAGTGGACAATATGGTATTGTTGACTATATGTACAGTGTCGTCTAGCAGATCCCTAGAACTTACTTATCTTGTTGAACTGAAACTTTATACCTACTGATTAGTAACTCCTCATTCTCCCTTCCTCCCAGTCCTACCATTCTAGTCTTTGATTCTATGAATTTGAATATTTTTGGATACCTCATATAAGTGCATTTATGCAATATTTGTCTTTGCGTAACTGGGTATTTCATTGATGTTGGCTCATATTGCAGAATTTCCTTCTTTTTAAAGGCTGAATAATCCTGTATGTGTGTGTGTACACCACATTTTAAAAATCTATTGATCTTTTGATACACATTTAAGTTGTTTCCATATCTTAGCTATTGTGAATAATTTTGCAGTGAAAATGGGAGTTCTGGTATCTCTTTGAGACCTTGATTTCAATTCTTCTGGATAAATACCCAAAAGTAAAGCTGGGTATGGTGGCTTATGCCTGTGATTACAGCACTTTGGGAGGCCAAGACAGGAGTATGGCTTGAGACCAGGGATTTTAGACCAATCTAGGTAATGTAGTAAGACCCTCCCTCTACCCGCCCCCCCAGAAATAAAAATTAGCTGAGAGTGGTGATGTGTACCTGTAGTCCTAGCTACTCCGGAGGCTAAGGCAGGAGGATCACTGGAGCCCAGGAAATCAAGGGATGGTGCCGCTGCCCTCCAGCTAGAGTGACAGAGCAAGAACCTATCTTAAAAAGCACAAAAAACAAGCAGCAAAAAATACCCAAAAGTGGCATTACTGAATCATATGGTAGTTGTATTTTTAATTTTTTCAGGAACTTACTGTTTTCTATAGTGGCTGTACCATTTTGCGTTCCCACCAACAGCGGGTTCCAATTTCTCTACATCCTCGCCAACACTTGTGTTTTGTATTTTTGATAATAGCCATCCTCACATGTATAAGGTGATATCTCATTGTGATTTTGATTTGTGTTTCCTTGATGATTAGTGATGTCAAACTAAAAAGCTTCTGTCCTGTAAAGGAAACAATCAACAGTGTTAAAAGGCAACCCATGGAATTTGGAGAAAATATTTGCAAACCATATGTCTGATAAGATGTGAATCCCAAAAACATATAAAGAACCCTTACAATGAAATAGCAAAAAGACTAATAACCTGATTAAAAAATGGGCTAAGGACTTGTATAGGTATGTCTCTAGAGAAGACATACAGGCTGGGTGTGGTAGCTCACACCTGTAATCCCAGCACATTGGGAGGCTGAGGCAGGCGGATCACGAGGTCAGGAGTTCAAAGAAAAGCCTGGCCAATATGGTGAAACCCCATTTCTACTAAAAATACAAAAATTAGCCAGGTGTGGTGGTGCACACCTGTTGTCCCAGCTACTGGGAGGCTGAGGCAGGAGAATCACTTGAACCTGGGAGGCGGAGGTTGCAGTGAGCCGAGATCACACCACTGCACTTCCAGCCTGGGTGACAGAGCGAGACTCTGTCTCAGAAAAAAAAAAAAAGAAAAAAATCTTTATTCCTATTCTTTAGGTGCAAAGTCACAGATACAGTGGTGCTTCATTCAAACTCAAGTTACACCTGAGTGCCTTCCTCTTGAGGGCGTGACATGCCACACTTAATATACCTCTCCAAAAACATATGGCTTGATTTAGGTATTGTTAAAATAGCTCCACTGTATACTTTGTTTCACTGGAATTAAAAAGGAAATTGTCTTGCTCACACAAAAGTGCAAGACAAACAGTTGAGTGTCTGTGTATTATTGTCAAATAGAATGGATGTAGGATGTAAGTTTTAGCTGCGACGCACTCTAGAATGCGGAATTCCCCTTGCAATTGAAAGGATATGGAGCGTCCTTTCGAGGACTGCCTCACATATTAAATATATATCTTGTTTTGTCTGGGGACTGCTACTCAGGACTCTGCCATCTGTAGTGGGTGGCAACCAAATCTCAGTCTTGAAGAATTCATCTGTTAATTTTCTTTCTTCCTCTGACTTGATGATACCATTGTGGTTACTTCTCCTCCCTCTCCAATCAATAACATCTCATTTTCCATTATTACATCTTAAGTATATTGCAATTGTTGCAAGCTGTTACATTTTCATTTTGGAAATGTGATGGTTGGAAAAAATCACCCATCTGATGATAAAGAAAAAGGAGTAGGAGTCAAGTCCTCCAAATACTGACTGTCTTTTGGATGACTTAGTTCTTAAATGGAAGAGCAACTCTACCTGCATACATTTCGCAGTGTTAGCTCACCCAGCCATACCCTTTTATAGATGAAGACCCTGGAGCTTGGGGATGAAGTCACCTGCCCATGTGGGGTGAATGTAGCTCCCAGAGCCCGGAGTCCTCATTCCACTCCACCTACTTCTTTTAAGCTTTACATTTGAAAGAATATCAGGATTTTAGAAGCAGTGTCTTATTTCTCTTTGAATATAAGGAAAGATGTGTTTGACAATTAAAATCACCCAGAATTTTCTTTTCTTTTCTTTTTTTTTTTTTTGAGACAGACTTTTGCTTTTGTTGCCCAGGCTGGGGTGCAATGGTACGATCTTGGCTCACTGCAACCTCTGCCTCCCGGGTTCAAGCGATTCTCCTGCCTCAGCCTCCTGGGTAGCTGGGATTACAGGCATGCACCAACATGCCCGGCTAATTTTGTATATTTAGTAGAGACGGGGTTTCTCCATGTTGGTCAGGCTGGTCTCTAACTCCCGATCTCAGGTGTTCCGCCTGCCTCGGCCCCTCAAAATGCTGGAATTATAGACGTGAGACACTGCGCCTGGCCTGAAATCACCCAGAATTCTGCACTGCTTTTCTTTACCCAAATGTTGGAGTGGCAGGCCTCACACAATGTCTGGAGTTGGGTGACAAATTAGTTTTAACAAATGGAAGAAATCTCCCGAAAGGTAATTTCCTGCAAGTCTCTTTGTGTTAGTGTTTTTAATGCTTTGGTTGTTCTTTAATGGAAAACACTTTTTTTGTGTGTGTGGGGTAGGGTGAGGGATGGTTCTAGCTTTTTACCAATGCATTTCAAATTTAGAAAAAATAGAATAGTTCATGTGTGAAAAGTTGTGTGGGAACCTTTCTTGGAAAGAAATTTAAATGTTTAGGAAATGTGTTCTAAATTGCAAGAAGAGTGTGGTTTAAGACTGCATGGCCTGGTGGGATTGTGCAATGTTGGGACCAGGGTACAGCTCAATCTAGTCTGGGATTACCCATGGGTGAGCCTGCCATGGGGCTACCCTCTCCATAACGGCATGGGCTCAGGGGTGTTGGTGGGAGGATGGGGATGGGTGTGCTGAACTTCCCCTTCCTCCCATCCCCACTGGCTTGTGCCCTGCGGCCAGTGGCAGGCAGTGGTGGTTCTGGCTGGTGAACACATTGGAGGAAGAGCAGAAATTCAGTACTCGGGACACATTTTTTTTAGGGAAGCGTGTCTTTGCAATTTGAGTTATAAATGCAAAATGAGAGGCCAGGTGTGGTGGCTCATGCCTGTAAAGCCAACACTTTGGGAGGCTGAGGCAGGCAGATCACCTGAGGTCGGGAGTTCGAGACCAGCCTGACCAACATGGAGAAACCCCGTCTCTACTAAAAATACAAAATTAGCTGGATGTGGTGGTACATGCCTGTAATTGCAGCTACTCGGTAGGCTGAGGCAGGAGAATTGCTTGAACTCGGGAGGTGGAGTTTGCGGTGAGCGGAGATCACGCCATTGCACTCCAGCCTGGGCAATAAGAGCAAAACTCCGTCTAAAAAAAAAAAAGGCAAAATGAGGGGCCGGGTGCGATAGCTCACACCTGTAATCCCACACTTGGGGAGGCTGAGGTGGGCGGATCATTTGAGGTCAGGAGTTTGAGACCAGCCTGACCAACATGGTGAAACCCCATCTCTACTAAAAAATTGGGCCAGGCACGGTGGCTCACGCCTGTAATCCCAGCACTATGGGAAGTGGAGGCGGGTGGATCAGGAGATCAGGAGTTCAAGACCAGCCTCTGGCCAAGATGGTGAAACCCTGTCTCTACTAAAAATACAAATATTAGCTGGGCGTGGTGGCAGGCGCCTGTAATCCCAGCTACTCGGGAGGCTGAGGCAGAGAATTGCTTGAACCCAGGAGGCGGAGCTTGCAGTGAGCTGAGATTGCACCACTGCACTCCAGCCTGGGCGACAGAGCGAGAATCTGTCTCAAAAAAAAAAAAAAAAAAAAAAAAAAGCTGGGTGTGGTGGGGGGGTGGCACCTGTAATCCCAGCTACTAGGGGAGGCTGAGGCAGGAGAATCACTTGAACCCAGGTGGTGGAGGTTGCAGTGAGCTGAGATTGTGCCACTGCACTCCAGCCTGGGCAACAGACTGACACTTCATCTCATAAAAAAAAAAAAAGATTGGAAATGAGGGTTATTTCCCTTTGCAAGGCACAATACTATACTCTTTTCACAACAAAATGACGAGGAAAAGAGTCAAACTCTATAAAATATTTAAAGAGGTTTATTCTGAGCCACGTATGAGTGACCGTGGCCCCAGGCACAATCTCAGGAGGCCTTGAAAACATGTACCCAAGGTGGTTGAGTTACAGTTTGGTTTTGTTTTAGGGAGACATAAGATATCAATCACCACATGTGGAGTATACATTGGTTCTGTCTGGAAAGGCAGCATAACTCAACGTGGGGACTTACAGGTCATAGGTGAATTCAAATATTTTCTGATTAGCAGTTGGTTGAAAGAGTTAAGTAATTATCTAAAGACCTGAAGGAGTGTTTGGGTTAAGATAAGGGGTGGTGGAGACCAAGGTTCTTATTATGAAGTCTCATAGGTGGCTGCCATCAGAGACAATAGATGGCAAGTGTTTCCTATTCAGACCTTGAAAGATGCTAGACTTAGTTAATCTCTTCACCGTTGAGAGGGTCTGGAAAGGGGAAGGACCCAGTAATGTTAGTAGAGGTTCTTTACAGATGCAGTTTCTCTCTCTCTCTCTCTCTCACACACACACACACACACACACACACACTCACACACACACACACACACCCACGCGCACACACACACACACACACCGGCTTTGTAGGAGCATTTCAAAATATGGCAAGGAAACATTTTTTGGTTATAAAATATTTTGATTTCCTTCCATATCTGTCATGTGATTTTATGCCAGAGTCAGGTTGGAAAGTAAGCCAAGTTATATAGGGTTAAGTAAAACCCATGGGATGAGATTTTATGGTTTGTAGGGTGTGACTCCCCAGGTCCTTTAGATAAGAATTTGGGCAAGAGAGGAAAAAGGTCAGAGTTTAGTTTGCAAAAGAAAAATCCTCAGGTGAAGGTTATGCCCCAAAGGAATAGATTGAACTGATTGTAGTAATGGGGCCAATTTTGTAGGCATCCATTACTTTTTTTCTCTCTCTTCTTTCCCTGCCTCCAGCTCCTTTAAGTCTATTCTCTTTTCTTGAGTCATGATTTGGCTCCGTTTCCCAGGCTAGAGTGTAGTGGTGCAACCAAGACACACTGCAGCCTCGAATTCCTGGGTGCAAGCGATCCTCCCCATTCAGCCTCCTATGTAGCTGAGACTACAGTTGTGCACTACCACACCTGGCTTCTTCACGTCTGTTCTATTAACCTATGAAGGCAAAAATTGATTTTTGCCTTCATAATATTTCTGTGTGTTTGTGTACATTTTAATATAAATGATATCAGATGCACCTGTATAAGTTTTCATATGGCTGATGTAACAAAGTAGCACAAATTTGGTGGCTTAACAGAAATGTATTCCTTCCAGTTCTGGAGGGAAGAAGTCCAAAATCAGTGTCACTGGGATGAAAAGGTGTCAGCAGAACTGTATTCCCAACAAGGGCTCTATTGAAGGATTGGTTCCTTGTGTCTTCCAGCTTCTGGTGGCTGCCAACATTCCTTGGCTTGTGGCTGCTGCACTCCAATCTTCAAGGCCAGTGTCTGTTCATCTCTCTCTGCTCCACCTTCACATTGCCTTCTCCTGTGTGCGTTCATGTCAAATCTCCCTCCCCTCTCTCATAATGACACTTGCGACTATGTTAAGGTACCATCCAGGTGACCCATGATAATTTCCCCATCCAAAGATCCTTAATTTAATCACATCTGCAAAGATCTTTTATCCAAATAAGGTAGTATTTATAGACCCCAGGGATTAGGACCTGATGCCTTTGGAGCCTCTATTCAGTCTCTTATAATACCTATTATGCAACTTGCTTTTCTTGAAGTCCACAATCTCTCTTAGAGATTTTTTTTTTCCATATTGGCTAACATAGACCTTCTTCACTCGATGTCATTGCTGTAGAGTGTACCCAGGATGGGTATTTCATATTTTGTTTTTAGTTTATTAAATTGATGAGCAATGTTTTGTTTTTATTTTTTCCATTACAGACATGTGGCAATGATTGGGGAAGGGGCTAAAGTGATACACACTGATTGATAGTATTTGTTACATCTCATGGGTACGGGATGAGTCCTTCAGAATAATTTCCTGGCCGGGCGCGGTGGCTCACGCCTGTAATCCCAGCACTTTGGGAGGCTGAGGCAGGTGGATCACCTGAGGTCAGGAGTTTGAGACCAGTCTGGCCAACATGGCAAAACCCCATCTCTACTGAAAATACAAAAATTAGCCAGGCGAGGTGGCAGATGCCTGTAATCCCAGCCTCAGGCGGCTGAGGCATGAGAATCGCTTGAACCCGGGAGGCGGAGTTTGCAGTGAGCCGAGATTGCGCCATTGCACTCCAGCCTGGTGACAGAGTGAGACTCCATCTCAAAAAAAAAAAAAAAAAAAAAAAAAATCCTGGCTACTTCCAGAGTTTTCTTGTTGTAATAACTAAACCCCTCTCCTGGTCCTTCCTGGTCATCCTGATGGCTGGTGTTGAAACGTAGGTGAAATACTCACCAGCTGTCTGGCCTTAGGCATTAACCTCTCTCTCAGTGCCTCGGGTGCTGGGCGCTTAGTCTGTAAAACAGGTATCATCATAGCATCTACCTCCTGGGTTCTCAGGGGTTTTGGAGGAGTTAATATATCTAAAGCATTCAAAACCCGCCAGGCACACAGTGGGTACTTTACTAGTGTTAGTTTTTGTTGTTATTGTTAACAGCTCCTTTCCCCACCCACGCCCAAGGAAAAACTCTCAAATAGCTGGCATGAGTATGGTCATCCACCTCAGTAGCCTGCCTGTCTGTGAGGGCCTCCTCCCTCAGTGAGCGGCTTGGTCCTACTCCCCTGGGCTCCTTTCTGCTCCCTTTCCTCCCACTGTTGAGTCTCTCTTCCCTGGGATTAATCCACCAACCATTTCGCCCTCTTCTGTGTTTTAGCTTCATCCCTACCCACTTTTCTTCTCCCTCTGTTGCTTCCTTCCATTCCTTTTTTTTTCTGGAGACAGAGTCTGGCGCTATCTTGGCTCACTGCAACCTCCGCCTCCTGGGTTCAAGCGATTCTCCTGCCTCAGCCTCCCAAGTAGCTGGGACTACAGACGTACATCACCACACCCTGCTGATTTTTGTATTTTTAGTAGAGACGGGGTTTCACCATGGTGGCCAGGCTGGTCTCGAACTCCTGACCTCAGGTGATCCTTCCGCCTCGGCCTCCCAAAGTGCTTGGATTAAAGGTGTGAGCCACTACGCCCAGCCTCCTCTCTCTTTCTTCCACCTTTTTGTTTTACCTTATTCCTCCCGCCACTCCCCCTCCCCCTTTTATTATTAAAGCAGCTTAAACAATGGGACAAAGGTCACATTCTATTGTATTTCTAGAGGGATGACACCTAGCTAGATTGTGTGACTAGAAAGACTGAAAATTTCCAACAGAAGGAATAGCAAGCAGGCTGAGAGGACCGGAAAGGTAC
Organism: Homo sapiens; assembly: GCF_000001405.40. NCBI lineage: Eukaryota > Metazoa > Chordata > Mammalia > Primates > Hominidae > Homo > Homo sapiens. The sequence goes on from NC_000006.12 coordinate 21,721,311, forward strand.
CTAACCCTAAAGCTTGTGTAAAGTAGAGTGATAAAAACTCACAGAAACTAAGTTGCCTAGCACAGTTCAGTAGTGAAGGCAGTCTTTATGGCAGGAGGGTAAATAGAGGTATTTAAGATAAAAGTCTAAAACACTTAGATTTTGCTTAATGATGTCAAAGAAATGTTCTTAATTTTATGGAAAAACTGTTTTTTAAATCCTAGAAAATTCTACCTAATTCTTTTGGTGTGTACATGTGTATGTGGGTGTGTACAGACACACCTTCATATTTTAAAATAAATTTACTGTGAACTTCCTAGCTTTATTTTATATTTTATTTTATTTTATTTTTGAGATGGAGTTTTGCTCTTGTTGCCCAGGCTGGAGTGCAATGGCTCAATCTTGGCTAAGTGCAACCTCCGCCTCCCAGGTTCAAGTGATTCTCCTGCCTCAGCCTCCTGAGTAGCTGGGACTACAGGCATCCGCCACCATGCCCAGCTAATTTTTAAAATATTTTTAGTAGAGACAGGGTTTCACCATGTTGGCCAGGCTGGTCTCGAACTCCTGACCTCAGGTGATCCGCCCGCCTCGGCTTCCCAAAGTGCTGGGACTACAGGGGTGAGCCACCGCGTGCAGCTTATTGTTTTTATTTTTTAAGACAGAGTCTTATTCTGCTGCCCAGGCTGGAGTGCAGTGGCATGATCTCGGCTCACTGCCACCTCCGCCTCCAGGGTTCAAATCATTCTTGTGCCTCAGCCTCCCTAGTAGCTGGGACTAATTTTTGTATTTTTAGTGGAGACGGGGGTTTCACCATGTTGACCAGGCTGGTCTCGAACTCCTGACCTCAAGTGATTGACAGCCTCGGTATCTCAAAGTTGAACCTGCTAACTTTCAACAGTGTATATTGTTAATTTAGGGGATGTTTTAATTCCAGGTACTTAAATGTTCTTGTGAGACACAATGTATCATTTCCGAATAAGCCCTTTTCTTTTTTCTGATTCACTTTTCTCCAAATTTCCCAAATTTGCTAATAATAGAGGTGAGTTAAACTGGACTCTAGCATTCTGATGTGTTTGTTCAAGATCTGGTTCGCAGCTTTTGTAGTCAACTGGTTTTGTGTGACAAAGTTCTGTATGCTTATAAAAGTTTTAAAATCATTTCATAATTGGTGATGTTGTAGAAAAAAACCAGGTTCTTGTCACACAACCAGGAGAAGTTTGGCACGCAGACACTTTGAAGGGTGAGGGGGAATGGAATGGTGAAAAGGCAAAAAAAAACAAAACTGCTCAGCAGAGCGAGAGGGGTTCCAGTTAACAGGCCCTCATCTCACAGATTGAATCTCAGGTCCCCACCCAGGAACAGGAGAGGCCTGTCTCCTTCCCCCTGCAAACGGCCTGAACTTCCTGCGGCTCCACCCTATCCTCCCAGTGCACAGGCAGGTGGGCGATTACGGGGGTGGTGGGGAGGGCTCCTCCTTATCTTCGCAGGTGGGAGATTCCGGGGCGGGGCGGGGAGGGCTCCTCCTCATATTGGCGGGTGGGAGATTGGGGGGGGTGGGGGGAAGGGCTCCTCCTTATCTTCCTCCTGCATCTATCAGTGAAGACGCTGAGGTTTGCAATTGTATAATATCCAGGTTTGCAATTGTATACTGCAGTTGTATAATTGTATAATATCCAGAGTTGAAAATAAAAAAAACAAACAAAAAAAGCTACAGTAGCATTCCCTTTTTTTTTTTTTTTTTTAACTTTGAGATGGAGTTTCACTCTTGTTGCCCAGGCTGGAGTGCAATGGCACGATCTCGGCTCACTGCAACCTCTGCCTCCTGGGTTTAAGTGATTCTCCTGCCTCAGCCTCCCAAGTAGCTGGGATTACAGGAGCCTGCCACAATGCCCGGCTAATTTTTTGTATTTTTAGTAGAGATGGGGTTTCAACATGTTGGCCAGGTGGGTCTTGAACTGCTGACCTCAGGTGATCCACGCGCCTCGGCCTCCCAAAGTGCTGGGATTGCAGGCGTGAGACACCACACCTGGCATCATTCCCTTTTAAAATGTCAGCTAGGTAATAATCTTTTCTTTTCGAATCAAGTGGGGGTTTCACTAAGAAGGGTAGAGTATTATTTCTATGTGAGGCCAGGAGGCTATTGTTGGGTCCAAGAACAAATGCTTAGAGATAAGCTTGTTGGCCTCTCACGGTGTTGTGAGAGGGTTCAGAGTAGACAGACATGTGTCTTCCCCCTTTTCTGTCACCTTCCTTTCTGCCTACAATGCCCGTTTTTGATATCCAGCTGGTGAGAGTGGATAAATAATTTGTATCATAGTGTCAGCCTCCTCAGAAACCCATAAAGATTTCTTTAAGGATTTGGATCCGATATCTTTCTGAATTAGGCCCTAAATTATTATGAATGTGAACCTAGGTTATATGTCTTGCCTGTGGTATGTGTGCTGCGATACTTTGAAGCAGAATGATTTGTGGATCATTTTACCAGTCCTTTCTCTTTTTTGGTCAAATGCAGATGGCATGGAGGAAATGGAAAGTTCTAGGCATTTTTGCAACCACTACTATATAACTCTTATGGACCGGATAAATTTAGTAGACAAAGTAAGTGGTTAGTTTCTTGGACCTCGGTTTTCTGGTCTGTAAAATCAAGAGATGCATCAAAGTTTCTTTCTAGCTTTAAATTCTGTAATTCTTTCTTTGAGAATTGTGTAGCATGTATAATGTTTATGGGAAGTAAAGTTTAAGTCACTAAAAAGAGGCAGAAATCAGGTTATCACTCACAGGGCTGTTTTTTCAGCCTAGTCTCTGCCAATCCTAACCTTGTTAAAACTACAATGTGGCAAGAGATGATGTCCCATTATTATTTCTTTCACTCGAGAATGCTTCAGCTATATAGATCTATCAAAGCAGTTGTTACACTGGTGAGTTTCCCCATATCCATCAGAAGAAGAAAATCCATCACACTTTTGACTACTTTTTCCTCTCCAAGAAAATGATCTTTAAGAGAATGACATGTAATATAGACTTTACTATTCTTGAGGCATTGGAGAAACTGCATCTGAAATAAAATCAATACATGATGCAGTGGTGTATGTACATTTCAAATATTGAATGGCAAAACATTTTATCAAAGACTTTGGGACTAAATACCCGTCGCAGACTTACATAAAGTAGGATAGAATACAGTAGAAATACGAGTGTACCTCCTGTGTATATAATACCTAGTCGTGGTTCAGTTACTCCATATATCTCAACTACACTAACAGAAAGAGGTAGACTCATTAGAGGTTAAGAAAGGTAGACATTAGGGCTGGTATGTTTAGAAATTTGTTGTTCTTTTTTTTTTTTTTTTTTTTTTAGAGTTCCATCCCATAATCTCAGTTTAAGTTATAATGATGGTTACCAGGCAACTTAGAGGAACAAAAGCACAGTCTTAGCCTTCATATTTCTAGCTGAGGAAAGTAGACAAATAAAACAGAATTCTGTCTCAGTTATGCACTGAGTGTGTGACGTGTAACCTTAATCTCTTTTTTTTTTTTTTTTTTTTGAGGTGGAGTTTTGCTCCTGTCCCCCAGGCTGGAATGCAGTGGCTTGAGCTCAGCTCACTGCAACCTCCGCCTCCTGGGTTCAAGCAATTCTCCTGCCTCAGCCTCCCAAGTAGCTGGGATTACAGGCACCTGCCACCACGCCTGGCTAATTTTTGTATTTTTAGTAGAGACGGGGTTTCACCATGTTGGCCAGGCTGGTCTTGAACTTCTGACCTCAAGTGATCTGCCTGCTTTGGCCTTCCAAAGTGCTGGGATTACAGGCTTGAGCCACCGTGCCTGGCCCCAAATCTCTTAACCTTCCTGGATTTGGTCCTTGAAACCAGTAATTTTAAATTACTGGCTAAATTAATTAAAATTACTGGTTAAATTAATTAAAACAAATGGCCAATAAAGCCAAACAGACACTGAGTCTTTTGTTGGTGTAAATTCCTTTACACATTTCATAATGTCTTCTATGATATTGGTTTACTTTTGGGAATTGAAACCTTTACAGAAAACTATCAGTTTCACTAAGATTTTACCATGAAATTATATATTAGATCATCTTCATTTATTTAATAAAGTGTTAAACACAAAGTTATTTCTAATTTTATTTGGGTTTTCTATGTTTTAAAAATTAAGACTGCGTATTCTTTCCCCGACAAAATCCAGCTCTGGGATTCATTAATGTATTCGAATATTTTTTGGTTTTCTATTTACTTTTCAATATGATCTTTTTTCATTTAATATGATCTATCATTTTATGATATTCCAATGGCCTCTTTTGGGTATAAGGTGGAATCACATTCACAGGTCAGCCTGAGATCCACCGGCTGATAGCCCTGCCCTGGGGCCAGCAGACCCTTGGCCTCCTTTGTAGTTCTTTTTCTTCTTCCTTTTGGGGAAGGATGTTAGAACGGACTGGCTTTGATGTCTGTCAGGCTGTTTGCTGCTCATGGTCTCAGGGTTTACAGCCACCATCACTCTGTTGGCTTCAAAAGGGGCTACTCTGGCCAGGCACGGTGGCTCACACCTGTAATCTCAGCACTTTGGGAGGCTGAGGTGGGTGGATCACAAGGTCAAGAGATCGAGACCAACCTGACCAACATGGTGAAACCTCGTCTCTACTAAAAATACAAAAAAATTAGCTGGGCCTGGTGGCGCACGCCTGTAGTCCCAGCTACTCGGGAAACTGAGGCAGGAGAATCGCTTGAACCTGGGAGGTGGAGGTTGCGGTGAGCCAAGATTGTGCCACTGCACTCCGGCCTGGTGACAGAGCGAGACTCCATCTCAAAAAACAAAAAACAAAAACAAAATACACACACACGCGCGCGCGCGCACACACACACACACACACACACACAAACAAAGGGGCTACTGTCCCGTTTATCACTGTAGTCCAAGTTTGGACACAGACCCTTCTCATAGTTCCTCAACGATTTCTAAGATAAAGCTATAATTTTGGTGTTTTTTGAGACGCAGTCTAGCTCTGTCACCCAGGCTGAGGGGCAGTGGAGTGATCATAGCTCACTGTAGCCTCTTCCTCCTGGGCTCAAGCCACCCTCCTGCCTCAGCCTCCCTAGTAGCTGCAACTACAGGTGCACTCCATCATGCCAGGCTATTTTTTTTTCTTTCATTTTTTTGCAAAGACTGGGTTTCCCTATGTTGCCCAGGGTAAGTTATAGCATTTAACATAGCTTTATTAAAGGTATAGGGTAACAGGAGAGAATTATAGCATACAGAGTAACTTGTGACCAGATGTGAGATGATTATTTTCGGAATTTATAGGCCCAGGCCATCTGCATGGCTTTAATTTTGGATTGATCTGCTCCCAGGCTCTGCCTGCTTTCCATGGAGGTGAAAGTCAGTATTCCCCACCATGTCTAGACTCCTGAGAATCCAGACTAAAGTCTCACTTGTCTCGGAGAAAAAAAGTAGAGTTTCTCCTTCAGTCTAAGGCCTTTTTTTTCCTTTCAGGATCTACCGCTTTTCAGGATGACTAATGGAAAGAATACTCATTTCCTTCAAAGATAATTTCACAGTTTAGGAGTGTTATTAGCTTAATTCATAGCCCTAGCGAGACCCCTATGTAATACCATGGTCCGTAAGTTTTTAGCTTTGAGTACACATTCTCAAAGTACACAGGCTTTGAGTGATTCATGAAACCCGTGAAGCTGTGTGCAGATTTCTGGCCACATGCCTTTTTCTCGGGAGCAGATCCATCGCCCTCATCAGATTATTAAAGTGGTCTAGCATCTCCCCAGAAGATTAAGAACCACTTAAGTAGGTCCAGCAACCGGACATTGGTTCAAGTGTGGATTAGTCACGTAGAGCATCAGGGGTTTCTTCCAGGTAGGGCTTCACTTAGAGTCCCTCCTCCATCAGCAAATATAGATGGGTTTTCACATCTTCTCTCCATACATTTATCTCTGCTTCTGATCCACAAATAAGGGCTGAAATGCAGGTATCTCCAGAGTGGTTTGTAGGAACCATATGGTCCAAATCCATTCTTGGACAAGAAGCATTTCTCCAGAGTTAACAGAGTCTGCAGAGATGTAATTTTGCCTAGGCTTTACAGCTGTGGTCTTGTAACAATCTTTATTTCATAAGCTCTTTGCATAATTAAACTGCCTATTCGGCCAGTCTTCCTAGGATGAAGAAATTGTCTCTACAAAGTAAGTAGTATTCAGTTTCTACAAAGAGATAGTCTTTTGCCAAAGGATATCCACCTCACTGTGGTTTGAAATGTACTATTAGGATTTTAGAGATCTTAAAGCCAAGATTTAGCTAGGTCTAAATTTTTTTTATTTTTTATTTTACTTATTTAAGTATTTATTTTGAGATGGAGTATCGCTCTATCGCCCAGACTCACTGCAACCTCCACCTCTTGGGTTCAAGCGATTCTTCTGCCTCAGCCTCCCGAGTAGCTGGGATTACAGGCGCACACCACCACACCCGGCTAATTGTTTTCTAGTAGAGACAGAGTTTCACCATGTTGGCCAGGCTGATCTCGAGCTCCTGACCTCAGGTGATCCACCCGCCTCTGCCTCCCAGAGTGCTGGGATTACAGGCGTGAGCCACCTCACCCAACCCTAAGTCTAAATTCTAATAATCACCTATACTCCTTTCTCTCAGCAGCCTTTGCCAGATGGAAACTTCTCTGAGGTACCTGCCCCAGGACTTGGAGTCTAGGGGAGGGATGATGGCAATGAAAGGTTTCTTTTCTCCTGTCACATCTTGCTCCAGACGTCATCTTGTCTCCTGTTACACTTGGATCTCAGGCATCTATCCTGGCTTGATGTTGGAGTCCCCCAGGTGCCTCATAGTCCCCTGGACACTGGCAGGGTCACCTTTCTTTTCTGAAATTGCAGGGCAGCTTGATGTACATTGTAATGAACCCAATTTATGATGCCTGGCAATGCATTTACTAAGTGCCATTTATCTTTTTGTGTGTGGAACGCATTCAGTCTTCTAAGCAATGCCTGGATGTTCATTCATGTCTGGACTTCAGGTTAGGCATGAGGGTGAGGTAAAGTCATTTGCAACAGGGTTGCAGCTTTCGAAATTGGGGACGTGACTGGGCGCGGTGGCTCACGCCTGTAATCCCAACACTTTGGGAGGCTGAGGTGGGAGGATCACCTGAGGTCAGGAGTTCGAGACCAGCCTGGTCAGTGTGGTGAAACCCTGTCTCTACTAAAAATACAAAAAAATTAGCTGGGTGTGGTGGTGGGCGCCTGTAATCCCAGATACTCGAGAAGCCGAGGCAGGAGAATCGCTTGAACCCGGGAGGCGGAGGTTGCAGTGAGCTGAGATCGGGCCACTGCACTCCAGTCTGGGTGACAGAGTGAGACTCCTGTCTCGATCTCTTGACCTTGTGATCTGCGTGCCTCGGCCTCCCAAGTGTTGGGATTACAGGCGTAAGCCACTGTGCTCGGCGAGACGCTTTCTCAAAAAAAAAAAAAAAAAAAAAAGAACAACAAAAAAAACCAAAAGGCCAGGTGCCATGGCTCACGCCTGTAATCCCAGCACTTTGGGAGGCCGAGGCGGGAGGATCACGAGGTCAGGAGATCGAGACCATCCTGGCTAACAGGGTGAAACCCCGTCTCTACTAAAAAAAAATAGAAAAAAATTAGCCGGGCGTAGTGGCTGGCGCCTGTAGTCCCAGCTACTTGGGAGGCTGAGGCAGGAGAATGGCGTGAACCCGGGGGGCGGAGCTTGCAGTGAGCCGAAATCGCGCCACTGCACTCCAGCCTGGGTGACAGAGAGAGACTCCATCTCAAAAAAAAAAAAGAAAGAAAGAAAGAAAAAAAAAAACTGGGGACCAAGGCAAATAGTCTTGAGGCCTACTAACATAAAAGAATAATCAGAGTCTTGTGTAGTGATGCCTGCCTTTACTCCCAGCTACTAGGGAGGCTGAGGTGGGAGAATTGCTTGAGCCCAGGAGTTTGAGGCTACAGCGTGAATATAATCGCCACTGCCCTCCGGCCTGGGCAATACTAATGAGACCTTGTCTTTAAAAAAAATGTTCAAGAAGGGCTTTTGACTGGGTCTCTTTTTCTGCCTCTGCTGTCCATGTCTCAGCATAATGTTTTAGTTTGAAATGGGATTGCTCTTTTTTTTTTTTGCCTTCATCAACTGTTTTTCTATCTCGTGTGGTTTTCCTTGTTAGAGGTGGATGCTGGGGCTTTGAAACCAGTCTGCTGAGTGGTTTCTAATATTACTGTTAGGCATGGGAAAAGGAAATCTGAGGGATGTGAATTTGGATCACTGACCTGGCAGGTTGTCAGTTTTCTCAGGGTGACGTAGTTTCTTGCTTAGGTGCCATCAGCGAAGGTTAAGAAAGTCCTCTCACTTCCATCCCTCATGAAGGAACTCAGGAGGTGATTACAAAACAGTGTTGCTGAATCTCACCGCAATTAGTGCAAGGGTAGAACATGTCTCCAGGTTATGATCATGGCTCCTTCCTCTCTTTGCTCTCCATGATCAGATTTCCCCCTCTATTGCTTTGTTTTGATGGGTATTTTACAGGAACCCGGGAGAGAACAGTCTCAGGATATGTACTATGGTACCATTTCACCTCCAATTTAGAATATTTTAATAAGTGATGATTTTACAGATTTGCAACTTGTGATCATTTATTCATTGATAGAGAATGCTAGCCAATTAAAAACAGCAACTTTCCTAGTGTCTTAGAGTTTGAAATTTCACGTGAAGGAAATATAAAATTAGGAAGTATCTAATAAATAGTTGAAGGTCTTTTAGTTTGACATCAACTTTTAAGTGTATCAATTATTTTATTGTAGAGGATTTGCTCATCCTTTTGTGTACTATTAATATTAAATATCCCACTTTGGACTAGATGAAAATAATTATTTTACAACATTATTAATACCTTAGTTTAAAACATAGAGTATGTAAAGAAATGTGTGATGATAAACCATTTTGTAATTTATTTATTTATTTAATTTTTGAGGCAGAGTTTCGCTCTTGTTGCCTAGGCTGGAGTGCAATGGCACGATCTAGGCTCACCGCAACCTCTGCCTCCAGGGTTCAAGCGATTCTCCTGCCTCAGCCTCCTGAGTACCTGGGATTACGGGCATGCGCCACCACGCCTGGCTAATTTTTGTATTTTTAATAGAAACGGGGTTTCTCCATGTTGGTCAGGCTGGTCTCGAACTCCTGACCTCAGGTGATCCATCCACCTCGGCCTCCCAAAGTTCTGGGATTACAGGCATGAGCCACCGTGCTGGGCCCCGTTTTGTAATTTAGACCTTCACTAAGTTATACTGTCTTCCCTCACCCGATTGCCCTGAACTAGTACCATTGTAATCTCTGTTCCAACCGTAGAGACAGTTTGCAGAATTTTCAGGGCTGAGCCGCAGTTCTGGCCCAGGTTCCTGTGGATGCTGAGGTTTCCGCTGACTTCCAAGATAGCACGGAGGTGGGGGCGTTGTGTCCTATGCTGCGTTCAAAAGCTGAGCTTCCGTTGCCTTAGCATTTCGCTAATGGCAGCTGTGCTGTGTGTCTTTATTGCAGGTGCTTTTTCCTGATATTTGTTTGAGCTGTTGGTGTTCAGCCTTGGTCATTTAGATTCTTCTTATCTCCCTGTTATCATGGTGTTTAGTTTAGTGTGTGTTTTTTTGTTTTGTTTTTGTTTTTTGTTTTTGTTTTTTTTGAGATGGAGTCTCACTCTGTCATCCAGGCTGGAGTGCAACCTCAGCTCACTGCAACCTCTGCCTTTTGGCTTCAAGTGATTCTTCTGCCTCAGCCTCCTAAGTAGCTGGGTCTACAGGTGTGCACCACTATACCCGGCTAACTTTAGTATTTTTAGTAGAGATGGGGTTTCGCCATGTTGGCCAGGCTGGTCTTGAACTTCTGACCTCAAGTGATTCACCCACTTCAGCCTCCCAAAGTGCTGGGATTACAGGTGTGAGCCACCACGCCCACCCCTCTTTTTTTTCTTTTTCAAATATTCTTTCTTTTCCTCATAGCTGCACTTTGTAATGCATAGGGTTAATAAATTGTTATTAGATCTCCCTGGCCAAGCTTAGAATAGAGCAAAGAGTCACTGAGAGCTAGATGTGTAGACAGGGGCCTTGAAAGTTTTGGTGATTTGCTCAAGGTAACCCAGCGGGTGGGTGGTAACAGAGCTGAGACTGCTGGGAGCTCCTTTTCAGTGATGCTTAACCATGTCTCCCTTCTGCTGCCTGTAGCTGTTTCTGTGTCTGGACTTGTAATCATAGGTGGATTCATATGACACCTCTCTAACTGCACCAAGAACAGGAATGTCCACCCTCCTTGAAGGATATGAGTTCTAATGTGGATTCTTGGTCTTCTTTGGGGGCTCTTCTTATGTTTAATGCACTTGTTGCAGCATATACTGAGAGTCTGTGAAATGTTTTCAGATGTAAACTATTGAATCATTTCAAGTATTTGTATTCATTAGTACTCATAGCACAAATGCCATTCCTGTCCCTTAAAGTGTGCAAAGCATGGGTGTTTGAGGGCTTGGCAACCAACGTGTGGGCACCTCTATTTTGAAATCGGTTTTGTTTGCAATTAACAAAGGTTAACAAAAAAGTCCTTTTGGGAAGTTTGGCCGAGGTCCTAGAATTTGTACATACCTTTGCAATGTGCTCATACTCTGTGGCACATCTAGGATCCTCAGCCCCTTGTTCTTCGCTTTTTCAGTTGACCAAGTTAAATATTAAAGGAAGAGGATTTCTTTCTTGCTACCAGGGGATTTTATCATGGTAAAAGGCTTTTAAATAATTTTTTAAAGTTGTGATAAAATACACATAACATAAAATTTGCCATTCGAACCATTTTTAAGCATACGGTTCAGTGGTGTTAAGTATATTCACATCATTGTGCAACCATCACCACCATCCATCTCCAGAACCCTTTTCATCTTGCAAGACTGCAACTGGGCGTGGCAAAATATTTTGTATGTACAAATAAATCTTTAAAGCTGAAACAGGCCAGGCACGGTGGCTCACGCCTGTAATCCCAGCTCTTTGGGAGACTGAGGCAGGTGGATCACGAGGTCAGGAGTTCGAGAGCAGCCTGGCCAATATGGTGAAACCCCGTCTCTACTAAAAATACAGAAATTAGCTGGGCGTGGTGGCATGCGCCTGTAGTCCCAGCTGCTCCGCAGCCTGAGGCAGGAGAATCGCTTGAACTTGGGAGGCGGAGGTTGCAGTGAGCCGAGATCACATCACTGCACTCCAGCCTGGGCTACAGAGTGAGACTCCATCAAAAAAAAAAAAAGGCTGAAACAATAAAGTTCTTATGGTAGAAGGTGCAGTAGTGACATATCTCTAATTCAATTTATATTTTCTGTTTCTTTAACATTTCAACATCTTCAAGTAACATTTATATAGTGTTTTCTTATATTCTCATTGAAGATTCAAAACTCATGTGGGATAGGCATTAATATTCCCATTTTATAAATGAGGAATTTGAAGTAGTAACAGAAAAAAGGTAATGAACAAATCAGGACTCCAGCTTAGTGCTGTGGGCTCTAAATCCTTTTCTGTCTCCATTCTACTGTGCTTCAAAAGGCTGTGACTAATGTTTTCTTTATCTATCTATCTACCTAGCTAGCTGGCTGGCTGGCTATTTAGCTAGCGATCTCTTTATTTTGTGGGGATGGAGCAGGCATTGAGGGAGGCTTTCTGGAGTTTTGTTTTAAATTCTGGGTCTTGCCCTGACAACAGACAGTTGTGTTCATAACCTTGGGCATCTCATCGGATCAGGGATTATGGTGCTTTGCCTAAACACTTAGTAGATGCAGCAGCTGTCTATTCAAATACTACTTTAAAAAATGCCTGGAATTGTATTTAAATTGCTTCAATTTTTCACTAATTAAATTGTAGATTGTTTCTCCTGGGGATTTTGCACTAGGCCGAGTTTCCTCAATTGTTGGTGTTGGACAATGACAAAATAAATCTTTTGCATTGTAGCTTAGTAAAAAATCCTGCTGAATGGGCTAAATAAGTCCACAGTCATCCCATAAGAGACTTATTTTTTAAAAAAACAATTTTTTTTTTTTTTGGTAAGACCAGGCATGGACAGATATTGGGCTTTTGTTTGTTTTTATTTCTGTACTTTGATTCTGGTGCTTAAAATACCTGGAGGGGTCACAGACACAACGGAGGCCCATGTCTTCTATTGAATGTGTCAGCTTCCTTGGTCTGCATGGGTTTTACCAAGAACTGTACAATGGAATTCAAATATTTTAAAACCACATGTGTGTTTCTCACATGGCTGCTACAGTTTAAATCTTTTGTCAGCCTGTTCAAGGGGTTAGATGTAGCAACCAGTTTGCCCTAGGACTTTCTCTAGAGTCCTTATAAATGGTCATCTTGCTATAGCATTTACAAAGCATTTCTCTATGTGCTGTTTTCATTCACAGAGAGGAGGAGAAAACAAAATTGGGAAAAGGAAAGAACTTAGAAGGGCTCAGTGTCCCTGCAGAGCAGGAGCTTGTAACAATATGCCCTTGATATTTTTAAACAAAAATGCTTGCTTGCTCTTAAAATGCAAATTGTTTCCATTCCCCTAAAAAAAATGCACAATTTCATGCTAATGTTCACCTCTCTATCCACAGATAATTAAGACTTTGCTCTCAGAATAAATAAGTACCTAACACTTACGAGCACTGGCTTTGGGGCAGCCAGTGTCTATGCTAAACCTTTCACATGCACGAACCTATTTAATACTCACAACGTAGTGAGGAAGGTGGTATTCTCCCCATTTTACAGACAGGAAAAAGAAGTTCAGGGAGGGGGTTAAGAGACCTGCTCAGATGTCTCACTGATAATAAGTGGCAGATCTGGGATTGGGTCCTTTCTGTGATATAAGTGCTCAGGGTTTTTAAAAAGCAACAGGGTTTTTTTTAAGGGTTGTTGCTGATATTAACAATTTTCAGATATGAGAACCAATGTGGAAGCAACTCAGCATATGGATGTTATAGCCAATCTCAGATAAAATGTAAGAGGCAAGTTCTGCTCAACAATGTGCTAACATCGGCAGAGCTGAAGTGGGGAGCTGGAGAGGTACCAAAATATTGGATAGGAAACCGAATGCTTTTTCAAATCAAGTACCTCTGAGTGACCCTAGACAGTTGGTGAGAAAGAGTTTGTCACCAACATAAATAATTGGAAAGAAGTGTTAGATGCGTTTGAAGCAACCCAGAGATTCCCTTGTGAAGCTGTTGAGAAGAGACTAGAGTGTGAAGAAAAGAAGCTTGCTTGGTGTCCAAGATAAAATAAGGGATGGATCTTAGCACTACAGATGGAAACTACAGCAGCAAATAACAGAACCAGAAGAGATACTTTTCTATCTGGATTTATGCAGAAAGGATGTCAGGTAACTACTGATGAAAGCAAATAAATCCCCAGTGGCTATAGTATCAGATAAAAATGCAGGACACATTTAAAATGGGCTCTCCACATACAAATTCCTCTTTTGAGACAACCTGTACCATATAAAATTTTATTTTATTTTATTTTATTTATTTTTTGAGACAGAGTTTCACTCTTGTGGCCCAGGCTGGAGTGCAGTGGCGCTATCTCGGCTCACCACAACCTCTGCCTCCCGGGTTCAAGTGATTCTCCTGCCTCAGCCTCCCGAGTAGCTGGGATTACAGGCATGCGCCACCATGGCCGGCTAATTTTGTATTTTTAGTAGAGACGAGGTTTCTCCATGTTGGTCAGGCTGGTCTCAAACTCCTGACCTCAGGTGATCCGCCCCCCTTGGCCTCCCAAAGTGTTGGCATTACAGGCGTGAGCCACCGCGCCCAGCTACCATATAAATTACATTGTAGGTAAAGGTCTGTGGTAGCCTTATATATTTAATTCATTTAAAACAAACCCAAGTACGTCTTTCCACAGACTCTCACACCACATTATTATTCAGCATACATTCTCCTTATTAATTTTTGGAATTAAGTATAGTTATTATGTTCTTAAAATTGTTTCCTGGCTGGCCGCGGTGGCTCACGCCTGTAATCTCAGCACTTTGGGAGGCCGAGGCGGGTGGATCACTTGAGGTCAGGAGTTTGAGATCAGCCTGTTCAACACGGTGAAACCTTGTCTCTACTAAAAATACAAAAATTAGCTGGGCGTAGTGGTGGGTGCCTTTAATCCCAGCTACTTGGGAGGCTGAGGCAGGAGAATCACTTGAACCAGGGAGGCGGAGGTTTCAATGAGCTGAGATCACGCCACTGCACTCCAGCCTGGGCGACAGAGTAAGACTCTGTCTCAAAAAAAAAAATTGTTTCCCAATGTTAGTTTTAGAAGATTATATAGCAGATGCCATGCTGAGGTAGTTCAGGAACCGTTTGTAAGGTAGTGATGAAATTCGGAGCTGGAGGGTGACTTACAGGTCAGTGAGAATAAAATGTTGCTGCTTATTTCTGAATGTCAAGTTACAATGACCTACTTTTTTTTTCTCATCTTCTTCATGATCCAAGTTTTCCAGGCATAAAATATTTGGAGGTGTTTTTTTCTCTTTCTTTGCTACTTCTCCTATGGTCATTGTGTTTCTTGCACTGGTCTGGCAAGGTAGACCTTTTAATCATATTTTAAGTTAAAAGATGTGGTAAAAGATTTTGAAACATTTAACAGGTTTTATTGGACAAATAGAAATTGTGTCACATTTGTGTACAAAAATGTTTCACTAAAATTAGGATTTCATTTAGGTCTATGTGTTTCTGTGGGGATGTGTGTGTGTGTGTCTGTCTCATAGCCTCTTCTGAAAATTTCTTGAAAGCAATAGAATGTTACCCCAAAAGGAAAAAAAAAACCCATATATTCACTTGCACATTAGATTTTTTTCATACAATTTCAAATGGTGGATTCATCCTTGAACTCCTGCTTATGAATCCTTTGTTCTGAAATATCACAGGCCATTTTGGATATACTTGGCTTTGGGTAGTGATTATTTGTGTAGTCTCCAGAGAAAGGTGGATGTTTGAAGTTGTATGACTTAGCAGGAAATTTCTAGATTTCAAGTGTAAGAGAAAATAAATCTTTTGCAAACCACGGGCCATACCTTGTATAAGGGAGAGAGACAACTTGAGTTTGAGGGTATTATGGAGATTTTGGATTGGAGGGAAATGGGGCTAGCGAAATATTAGAAAGCATAATTAATGGCTTTAGTGGTTTTTTAAAAACTTGGAACATACAATAACAAATGCAATGAAGACAAACGGTGGTAAATATTTACAGTTACACTAGACCTTAAAGGCAGGGATCATGTCCTAGTGGTGTGTGATTTGGGAGCTCATACCTGGGAGTCAGTAATTGGCTGTGAGAGTGGAAGAGGCCAGTCCTCATTAGAGACCTTCTGGGAGGAGATGAGTTCTGGGCCAGAGCTTCATCTTGAAGCTTGTTAGATTTTTTTTTTTTTGAGATGGCATCTCGCTGTCACCAGGCTGGAGTGCAGTGGTGTGATCTCGGCTCACTGCAACCTCTGCCTCCCAGATTCAAGCAATTCTCTGCCTCAGCCACCTGAGTAGCTGGGATTACAGGCGCCCACCACCACGCCCGGCTAATTTTTGTATTTTTAGTAGAGATGGGGTTTCACCATCTTGGCCAGGCTGGTCTTAAACTCCTGACCTCATGATCCACCTGCCTCGGCCTCCCAGAGTGCTGGGATTACAGGCGTGATCCACCGCGCCCGGCCGAAGCTTGTTAGATTTAAACTTTCCCCTGCAAGGCACGTCAGTGGTAAACCACCTAACGTGGTGGGGAAAGCCCGGAAGAGTTGAGAAGCCTCTCTACCCTCCTTTCTCCTTCGAGGTAGAGGCATCTTAACTCCCTAGCTCCTGCATTGTTACTAAGAGACCTGCAGCTAAACAAATGGTGCAAATCTTGGCCTAAAAGGAGCCAAAATTGTCACCTTAGACTGCATTTACCATCCTGCTAGCAATATGTAGTGAAAGACCACCTGCCTTCATCCTCTTGTAAATCCCAGTAATACTCTGTTTCTACCACTCACATGACATCCATTAAGTAATTGCTTTCGTTCCTTTACTAGACTGAAAGGGACCTTCATTTAAGGTCAGAGATCTTTTCTAACACAATTTGGTAGTCCTTGCCTACCATGGAAAGCCACACATATATTGCTGGTGCTTAACAAATGCTTGCTGAGCAAATGTTTAAAAGGCCAGGTAGGGCGTGCCACTGAAAATCTCTAAAAATTCTCTTTGGATTGTCTGTAATACTGATCAGGTTGGAACAACAATTCAAAGTTATGCTGTCAGAGGCTGAACGATTTCCTTGTCATTAGGACAATCAATTTTGTAATTTACCCTTAGTCTACACAGCAAGTAAATTGTAGTACTTGCATTTTTGGTTTCAATGATGTATATATAGAACCATGATGAATGGAATTATAGTCAAGTTCTGGTAATTTTAATGTATCGTCTCAGTTGTGGGTAGGGATAAGGTAGGGTCATTCATTAAATAACCATTCATTGATTAACATGTGTGAGGTGTGATTTTATGATTTTTATGAGGAAATAAACAAAAAAAAATGTGTTTTTTTGCTTGTAAGTAGTTCTCAACTTGTTAGGGGAGATAGATGCATGAGAAGTAGTTACAATCTCTAATGTGTTAAGTAAGAGAGAGGTAAGGAAGGGAGGGACAAAGGAGGAACTGATTGATTTGGCTTGGGTGCAGGGAGAGGGGCCTTAAGTATGAGTTGAGAGTCCAGGAGTTCAAGACCAGCCTCGGAAATACAGTGAGACCCCATTCTCTACAAACTAACTAAATAAATAAATATAAAAAATTTTAAGAATTAGCTGGACATGGTGGCGTGTGCCTGTAGTTCCAACTACTTGGGAGGTTGAGGCAGAAGGATTGCCTGATCCTGGGAGGTCCAGGTTACAGTGAGCACTGCACTCCAGCCTAGGCAACAGAGTAAGACATTGCCTCAAAAAAAAAAAAAAGAAAATAAAAGAAAAAAAAGTATCAGTAGAGAGTGGTAGGCAATGAGTGCCAATGAGACTGGAGTGGTGACATTCCAAGCATAGAAAAGAGACTGTGCAGAGCACAGAGGAAGATGTGGAGATCCCTGAGTAGTGTGCCTGGAGTATGAGATACAAGGGCCAGGGGACAACTGGAGATGAGGATGGACAAGGGCTGGGTGGAGACTCTGTGGGGGCTCTTAACCTTCTGTAGATTAGTTTTTTTTTTTTGTAGGTACCGGTGTTTTTGAGAGTGAAAGCAGGTCCTGACTACTGGTTTGTTTTATAGTAAATATCTCAATCCAGATCTCAGGTCTAGCTGAGGCAGGAGCCTTGGGCAAATAGTAAACAGGGACTGGAATTGGTCACAGGAGCTGTGTCATCACCCTTGCTCTTCAAATTATAAAGGAAGCCTAAACACACAAACTCCAGTGTGGGCCGGGCTGACTGCCAGATGTGCACAGGATCATTGTACAAAGTGGCAAGATTCTCTTGGATATTGGTTTATCTATTTGCTTAGAATGAAGAGAAATAAGGGTGAACTTGAAGTTTTTCTTGTTATCGTATTTTGACTTGCAAATCTGAGTAAAACTGATGGTGCAATCTCCTTTCTATGTGGGGCTGACCTCAGAAGAGTAGTGGCTTGTAGTGTAAATAAAATAGGAGCAACAGCAAACAATTAAAATACTGAATCCAGGTCACCTAGCACTCGGTGGGGTAAGGACTACTCAGACCCAGCACTTGTATAACCCGTATAACTGGATTTACATGTTCTGGCCCCCTATTCAATGTCTGACAAGCAGTTTTAATAAAAAAAAAAAAAACTTTACATTTTTATATACCTAGTAGCATTGTTAATCCTGTTTGTTTCTCAATTCAGTAACAAACAGGATAAATAACAAATATTTATCAAATACCTTCTATGTGCTAGGTTAAATTTTAGGAAAGCTTAAAATCACCTTCTCCAAGGTGATTTTCCCAGCTCATTTCCAAAAAAACACTTGCCACAGAGACTTCAGAGTCTTTGAGTGAAAACTTTGTCATTAATTGATTAATTTTATTCATTCAATAGAGATTTATTCTGGACACTTACAAAGTACCAGGCATGATGTTAGGCACTGGCACTGGGAGTTTGGTGCTGAACACTGCAGGCCCTATCCTTGTCTTCGTGGAGTTTCCATGCTAGGGGGATATTGACAAATAATAATAGCATTGCAGTGTAGCATGATAAATCATTTGAACGAGTAAATATAAGGTGCTTTGGGAGAGTGAGCAGGGGTTGCCTAACCCAGACTTAGAGGAAAGGCTTCTGGGAGAATGTCATATGTAAGCAGAGACTTGATGAAGAGCAAGAGTGGGTCAAAGGATGGAAAAGGGGGAGGATGGGTTAGGATTGGGGTGGGAGGCATCACAGGCATTCACAAGGTCATGTGCCAGAGCCCACTGTGTGCGTGTGGTGGTCCAGGGTGGGAGGTGTTGGGAGGGAATAAAAGCAATTTAGCTTGGCTATAGTGTGGAGTGTGAGGTGGAAGTAGAGAAATGGGGCTGGAGCATTGCACAGATCCTGAACATACTTTGAGCTCCGTAAAGGTGTTTGGAATTTATCCTAATGCCAATAGGAGACTGACTTTCCTAGAACGATCTCTGTAGCTGGTGTGTGAAGGATGGATGGGGTGAGGCAAACTGGAAGACAGGTAGACCAGTTAGGAAGTTTCCACAGTAATCCGGTGGGGAGATAATAGTAGCCCTAATTAGGGGAGTGGCTGTAGGAATGCGGAAAGTGGCTGGAGTCCAGAGCTCTTTAGGAGGTGGATTTCAGATTGGACTTGGTGACTGAATGGAGGTGGGGGTCTTGGGGAACTGGTAAGAAGGGGACGCTGTTCCTTGTGCAAACACAATGCTTGTCTCTGGGGGTGGGTATTATTTTCAGTGTAATTAAAAAAAATATTAAAACTGATCTAAGAAACCTTTAAATTGTCTGCTAGCTCAGCCAGGATACAGATGCTTTGGAGGGAGGAAAGAAATACGTTCAGAAGGGTGAATGCACTCCAATTTTGATTTTTCTCTCTCTCCTTTCAAATTTCAAGGCTGGTTGCATATGCCTCATTAGCTCACGGGAGACTGTGATCCTATAATCTTTTTTCATATTCAGAAAACTAGAGATGTTAAACTTCCTTGGAGAAGGTGATTTTTGCAGCCTTTGAATAAAAGCACTTCCAGTTCTACCTTTAGTTGAAAATCAATGGTGTCTAATGTGTATGAGAAGTCACCCCAGTCTCTTGTGTCCAGGCCACCAGCACTTATATGTTATGCCTATCACTTTGAGTCAAATAATCTCTAGTGGTCCCCAACTGCTAAAAATCCCCATTCTCTTGGATCTTCAATTTTTTTCTTTTAAGTTGAGAAAAAAAATCTCTCCTAGAAATGTACATTTGATTTCTTGCTGAATTAATAAGTTTTTCTCCTTCTTAATGTGTCCTCCAGGTCATTAACGGAAAAATGTAGTCTATGATGCAGCAGAGCTCTGCCCTTTTTATTTTAATACATTTTAAATATATCACAATTGTCTGCACTCTGATAAAAGAATGTAGAGCTGGAATTTTAATTTGATTATCATCCCCAATCTTCCCAGGCTTTCGCAGGCAAGTACTTTGTTTGAACAGCTGTACTCCGGTAAATCTCAGTAACAAATGAATCAGGAATGATTTTGTGTAGCAAGTCACATGAAGGGAACTTCCTTAGAAAGACAGGTCATTAAGAGAATGAAGAAAGAAAAACTAGCAAACATTTGAGAAATTTAGCAACTGTTTTTTTTTAAATAAAGCAATTTGTTCTAATAATTATTTCCTAATCATCTTAAAATACGCTGTCATTAACGGCAGAGAAAGCTCTTTATTTCCTTTTGAATTTTAATACTGGGTAGAAATATAATTTACAATGAAAGTCAGCAGGAAAGGAAAAATACTAAAAACGAGGAGGCATAAAAAATGGAAATAGATCCCTGTAGTCAATTTTCTATCATCTATAATTTTCTATCATCTATATGTGTGTTACCCATATGCTGGGGTGGAGTGGGGAGGGGAGAGGGAGGCGCTGTGAAATACATCTGCCTCCGATCACAAAAAGATCAAATTAACATGTGAAAAGATATTCCAAGGAGCTGTGGGAGAGAAAGGCTTTTGGCTTTCACCATCTTACCTACTGGATGGGTTTGAAAGCATAAAATAAAGCTAAACTAAATTCAGGGAAACATTGATTCACCCAAGTGAATAAACAACTTACTGCATTTGCTAATCTAATTAATCAAACTCTGCTTCTCCTTTTCCAAAGGAGATTCACAGGCAGTAAAATAAATTAAATCAACATTTTTTTTTTCCCACTTACTAAAAATAAGCTTTCTTTCCCTGGGTAAATCGGTCATTTAAATTCCCAAGGCTGCACTCCCGTAGTCCTCTGGCAGGAAGCAATTGTATGGGTATAAAATCATTTCTGTGCAGATTGCAGAGCTTGGGCTCTGAGCATCATGTCTGAGTTCTGCCACCTAAACTGATGAATAAGATCAGTTTTAACTGAAGTTATCTTTAGAAACAAATGGCCTATGGATGATGTTGATTAGCAGATAAAAAAGCCTGTTACATGGATGTTTTATGAAACTTAAAACTATATTGATGGCAGGAAACAATGATTTTGGAGGAAATCCTGGAAAATTAAGGATATTTAAAGTTTGAAAACAATTGTAATTGTGAAAGTTTAGACACGGAAGTCATAAAAAAATTTCAGTTCAGTAGTTTGCAGATCTGTTACTTAATCTTTTTAGTTAACTTTAGATCAGTAGAATAAGATTTAGTTTTAGACTGTATGTATATACATACGGCAATTTTATACATACATACATTTACGTAAATACAATATACAAGGAAAAGTGAAGGACAGAGTAAACGGAGAAGAAAATGAATTAAAAGATTATAAAGTGTTGAATGACAGGCTTTATGTAAGTAAGGCAAAAATGTAACACAGGAATATCCTAGATAACAAGTTAAGTATGAGCTAAGACTGTATCGCTAGGTTTTTCATTTTTTAAAGGCGTTATACCAGGATGTGGATTTAGGAGGCCTGCAGTTTAGAATTGAGAAAGAGCTCACTGTTTATATTAAGTTCTACTCACACTTACTGCATTTCCTTGTCTTTGTCATGAATGGGCACCCTTCCAAGGAAGAACCTAAATGGAAAAGTGCTTCCAGCTGAGTTCTTAATGCTACCACCTTCGTCATCTGTCTGGTGCCCTCACCTTGAGGATCAAAGGATCCCCAAGGATTGCCTTTCCCCGCATTTCCTTCTCGGATGGACTTATTTCCGTTCTTTTTAGTTTTGTTCACCCTAGGATATTATGCTCAAAACTAATTTACATGCTCAGCTAATCTTAATTAAAATGTAAAGGCAGATCAGGGCACGATCAAATTAAGTTCTGAATATACTTGGATAGTTGGGCATCAGTTTAATGGATTAAACAGTTCTTGGAATTGCTTCTCTTTCTTGACAGTAAGTCTTAGTTTTGCTGTCATTTCTTAATAGTCCCTTTTACTTCTACTTTCAAGCTGTGACTGAACATTCTCTTTTAACTTACAGACTCTTTTGCTATCTGGAAACCCATGTCCACCTCTGACTTCCACTCAAAATTGCTTTCCTCACAGTCTGACTGCGAGAGTTGTGAAAAATTGGGATGTGCTTCTGAGGTGGGCTGTGGAATGCCATGTAAGTTGCTACTTTTTTTTTTCTGAATGCAGTGGGTATTCATGCGCAGTAGGGATGTTGGCATATCTCTGATGTTTCCTTCTAAGGCTGGTGAATCTGGGTTGTTGCTGTTGGGGTTTGTAATGTAGTCCATGTCTATTAGTGAAGACACAGAGGGCAAAATAAGCAGTTTCTTTCTTCTTTCTTTCTTTCTTTTTTTTTTTTTTTTGAGATGGAGTTTCACTCTTGTTGCCCACCCAGGCTAGAGTGCAATGGTGCAATCTCGGCTCACCGAGATCTCCTCAGCCTCCCACGTTCAAGCGATTCTCCTGCCTCCTGCCTCAGCCTCCCGAGTAGCTGGAATTACAGGCGCACAGCACCACACCCGGCTGATTTTTGTATTTTTAGTAGAGACGAGGTTTCACCATGTTGGCCAGGCTGGTCTCAAACTCCTGACCGCAGGTGATCCGCTGCCTGCCTCAGCTTCCCAAAGTGGTGGAATTACAGGCGTGAGCCACTGAGCCCGGCCAAATATATATATTTATTATTTTTATTTTTTGAGACGGAGTCTCACTCTGTAGCCCAGGCTGAAGTGCAGTGGCGCGATCTCCTTTCACTGCAACCTCCGCCTCCCAAGTTCAAGCAATTCACCTGCCTCAGCCTCTGGAGTAGCTGGGATTACAGGCGTGTGCCACCACGCCAGGCTAATTTTTTG
Source organism: Homo sapiens (assembly GCF_000001405.40). Taxonomy (NCBI): domain Eukaryota; kingdom Metazoa; phylum Chordata; class Mammalia; order Primates; family Hominidae; genus Homo; species Homo sapiens. Next base: position 21,743,737 of record NC_000006.12, read on the forward strand.
TATTTTTAGTAGAGATGGGGTTTTACCCTGTTAGCTGGGATGGTCACGATCACCTGACCTCGTGATCCGCCCGCCTCTGTCTCCCAAAGTGCTGGGATTACAGGCATGAGCCACTGTGCCTGGCCAGGGGCCAAATATTTTTATAATAAATCCACCATCTCTATACTGTTCTGTGGTGAAATATGCTGAAGATTAAATGAAACCTTTCAAACTTGGTTATCATGGATTTGGCTGCATAGTTGGCCAAACTAGATTGGTTCCTTTTTTTTTTTGAGACAGAGCCTCGCCCTGTCGCCCAGGATGGAGTGCAGTGACACGATCACGGCTCACTGCAACCTCCACCTCCCGGGTTCAAGCGATTCTTCTGCCTCAGCCTCCCGAGTAGCTGGAACCACAGGCGCGGGCCACCACACCCAGCTACTTTTTGTAGTTTTTAGTAGAGATGGGGTTTCACCATGTTGGCCAGGCTGATCTTGAACTCCTCGTGATCCACCCGCCCCGGCCTCCCTCCTGGCATTATAGGCGTGAGCCACCGCGCCCAGCAACTAGATTGGTTTCTAAGCATTCACTTTGTGATTTGTTTCATTATCTTTAACATTCAAATTGGGGAATGACTTAACTAGATGCAGGCAAAGACAATATCTTGCTTACTATCTTTAAGGTACTGCCACCTAGATACTAGAGATACAAAGATGAGTAAGACAAAGTATGTGTTGTTCTGAAAATGGTGGTTTATCTGTTACCATTTATAATGCTGCAGTATACTTGTTTATGTCTTCTAGATTGTGAGTTTGTTTGAGGTCAAAACCATGGCAGCCAAAAATTCCACATAGAAATTTCCACTAAATAGTTTAGAACTGAAAAGATAAACCATCCCAAAGTACTTTGCATTTGGTCAAATTTTTTAATTTTTTTAATTTTTTTTTGAGACAAGGCCTCACCCTGTCACCCAGGCTGGACTGCAGTGGCACGGTCATGGCTCATTGCAACCTCTGCCTCCTGGGCTCAAGCGATCCTCCAGCCTCAGCCTCTGAGTAGCTAACACCACAGACGTGTATCACCATGCCTGGCTAATTTTTTAGTTTTTATTTTTTGTAGAGACAGGGTCTCTCTATGTTGCCCAGGCTGGTCTTGAACTCCCAGGATCAATGGATCCTCCTGCCTTGGCCTCCCAAAATGCTGGGATTACAGGTATGAGCCACCATGCCCAGTGACATTTCCTAATAGCTATTATTGTCATCACAATTACTCCTTACTAATAATACCTAATATATAGATCTTGCACATCTCTTGGCTTATGTGAGCCTTAAAATTCCATGAGGTATGGAGGGCAGCAGATACTTCTGTATCTTATTGATTTGGGCAACCTGCCCAGATAATGCATGTAATTTTTCTAAGATTATGGATTTAGTAAGTTTTGCTTAAGTGCTCAGACACAGGTTTCCTCAGTCCAGATCCATTGTGCTGTTTGATAAGCTTTTACGGCTGGGCTATTACTTGAATACTTGAAGAACATGGGAATGTTTCTGTGTGTATAAGAAAGGATATAAAATTAGCCAGGTGTGGTGGTGTGTGCCTGTAGTCCCAGCTACTAGGGAGGCTGAGGTGGGAGCGTTGCTTGAGCCCAGGAGGTAGAGGTTGCAATGAGCTGAGATCCCACCACTGCACTCCAGCCTGAGCAATACAGTGAGACCCTATCTCAAAAAAAAAAAAAAAAAAAGCATGTAGGGGAAACATTATCAACATTATCACTATTTTTACGTGTTTGGAACCGTACCTGGTAGTTGGGGTATTGGTCTTTCTTACTCTGAAACTTCTCAGGGTAAAATTTCAAATGTGTGTTGCTTATGTCTACTTTTATTTTGGCTTAATAGAGAAATTTTCTTTTCTGACATGCAGGCCTAGAGGTGAAACATGTGTGACCATGCCCTTGTACACCGGCCTCTGCTCACCTGTTTGCCTCATTTCATTAAGTTCTCCCCCATGCCATTCACTATGCTCAAGACCAGTGGTTCATCTTTTCCACCACAGGGCCTTTGCACTGCCTGGCCCTCTGCCTACAATACCATTCCCCTTTCCCCACCTCAACACCTCAACCTTGGCTTGGTTGAGTCTTATGCATCCCTTTGGACTTAGGCTAAAGGTTGCTTGGCCAGAGAAGACTTCCCAAAGAGAATGAATATTGTGCGACAACCTCAGTAAATGTTTGAATCAGGGTCCCTAATTGTAAGCGACAGAAACGGACTCTGGTTAAGCAGAAATGGAATTTATTGAGAGGATATTGAGAAGCTTGTGGTCGCCTTGGGAAGGCTGAAGAACTAGGCACATAGCTAAACGTTTCGGAAACAGTTTCCAAAACCATGGCAAAGAACTGGCCTAAAGAGGAAACCGTCACCACCTGTGCTGCCCCCTTGAGCCCTGAATGCTGTGGTTTCTTTCTTTCTTTCTTTTTTTTTTTTTTTTTTTTAAGTTGGAGTCTTGCTCTGTCACCTAGGCTGGAGTACAGTGGCGCTATCTCGGCTCACTGCAACCTCTGCCTCCCAGGTTCAAGTGATTCTCCTGCCTCAGCCTCCGGAGTAGTTGGGATTACAGGTGCCCACCACTACGCCCAGCTAATTTTTTGTATTTTTTTTTTTTTTTTTTTTGAGACGGAGTCTCGCTCTGTCGCCCAGGCTGGAGTGCAGTGGCATGGATCTCGGCTCACTGCAAGCTCCTCCTCCCAGGTTCACACCATTCTCCTGCCTCAGCCTCCCGAGTAGCTGGGACTACAGGTGCCTGCCACCACGCCCGGCTAATTTTTTGTATTTTTAGTAGAGATGGGGTTTCACCGTGTTAGCTAGGATGGTCTCAATCTCCTGACCTCGTGATCCGCCCGCCTCGGCCTCCCAAAGTGCTGGGATTACAGGTGTGACCACCGCGCCTGGCCAATTTTTTGTGTTTTTAGTGGAGGCAGGGTTTCACCATGTTGGCCAGGCTAGTCTTGAACTCCTGACCTCAAGTGATCTGCCCTCCTCAGCCTCCCAAAGTGCTAGCATTACGGGCATGAGGCATCGCACCCGACCGGTTGCTGTGGTTTCTAATGCTGCCAGGAAATCTGCCTGCTCTGAGAAGGCAGCCTTGCAACCATCACTGGCCCCCTAAGCTGGATACCATGATTGCCATCCTTACCTGTAATAAAACCATGTCAAATCCATACCGGTATGTCGCTTCCTCCTGCAAGTTGCCCGCATGTGAATCCAAGTTGTTCAAGGGTGAATCTGATTGGTGGTACTGAAGTCACCCTAGCTGCAAAGGAGACTGGAGAACGAAGTTTTCTGAGTTCTTTAATTGGAAAGTGGGACTTATTAGCTGAAAATTATCCAGCTACATCAAGGGTGTTCAAAAGGTGCTAACCAGGGGGAAAACATGACAAATATCTTCTACACTGAGACGCAGGGTTTTAATCCACCTATGGACCAACCATACTTACCTCACAGGGTTGTTATAAGGATTAAGGTAATTTACATGAAACTGCTTATTAATAAACTGTACAGAGAGCATAAGTATAAAATAATATTATTTCTCTAGTGTAACATATCTTTGACTGAAGCATAAAATCAAGTCCTTAATAAGTTGACAAATCTCCAGCTCACTTTATATGTTTTTAAAATGGTAAGGATATTCTTCTCCCCCAAAAGCCATTTTAAATATTCAAGATAAATTGAAAAAAGAAAAAAAGTACCTCTTCTATGAACGTGCTGCCCTCATAAATTTCTATCATCTTCACGTTTATTTTGTAATGGAAATATACAAACAATGCCAAGCATAGAAATTGTAGTTTAAAACATGTGAGTGGGTTTTCAGCTACTTTTGATTTGTTTCTGATTTTAAGGCTTTGTTCTAATCTACTTTTTATACTCTGGTTTCAACATGAATACAGCCCTCTTGTTTGAAAACAGACAATGGGCTTATTCAACCCTCAAGGCCCTCTACATTTGGTGTTTCTGCCACGGCCCTTGGTGGCTTTACCACATATATTATTATCTTGTAAAAAATGTAGACGTAACAGCTGAGTTGTTAGCAGAAGTCATAGTAGTTGTGTAAAAGGGTGTTAGTGTAAATGATTGTGGCAGTTGCATTAACGCTAATGCAGTGGGAATTATTCACGTATTCACTGAATGTAATCCTGGCCTTCCGTGGTGGTAAAGTTCCTCTATAGAAGAGGAGAGGTCGACATCAATGTAATTTCAGAGGAGAAACAGCCATGTGTAGAGCTATTTTCCTATTTGACAGAAATGTTTTCCAGTATAACATCAGAATTTTGAGTTATGCTACTTAACTTTCCTTTCTTGTAAATATTGAATTAAAATAAGATATTGCTAGAAAAAGTAAAACATGACCCAGCATTGCAATGCTGAAAATTGGATTATAATTCTCAGATTGTTAGATTTCTGCCATCTTATAATTTATTCAAGAATATAGAGAATTCTAACGTAAGTGTCTTCATGCACCTTCTTACTTAAGTGATACTTCATGTTACCCTGAACTGTCCTGAATTTCCAAAAATCTCATGTTGGGTTAAGAGGAATTTCCTTTCAAGATACTCTGTCTCCTCTTCAACATCTTCTCAACCCTTTTCTCCCCACCCACACATACTCACTCATTTACACTTAACCTAAAGAGGACACTGATTTTAGGACACTGGAAATCTGGAATCCTTACACTGTGTTTTAGTAAAGGTATGAGCCTGGAACTCCTGAAGGCCTTAAAAAATAGCACTGTAGTAAATAGAGCTTAGTTGGGGTAAACAGAGCACCCCGGAAAGTAGTATATTTTGGTGATTCAAAATTTATTTCACTTCTCTGATCTGTGTAAGTATTTATGTGATCTGTAAATACTTCCCAGCCATAAAAATTCTAATTTCATCTCTCAAGATACATAGTGGGCACTTGTGCAACTGTATTCAGGGAGCTGTCTGTTGGTTGGAGAGGGAGATGAAGTAGATTGAGGTGCAAATGGCATATTTAATGCCGAAGCTGTTGCTTTAATTGGTGATGTTGAAAGTCACTTGAAACCACCCCCCTAGTCCTCAAGGGAGTTCTCAGGTTACGTGTGGGTGTACTGTGAATGCCTTTTATTTTATTGACTCACTAAATTCTTAGATTACTCTTTACCATTTGATATTGACAGACCATAAAATTCTTATGGAACCTGCTCAGTAGTGACTTATAAAGAATTATCTTGTTAATAAACTCAGCATCATTTGGAATTCAAGTTTAATTAAAATGGAAAAGTAAATGATGATGTAAAGATTTTTCCTCATTTAAACTTGTATCCTTTTATTGCCTCTCTGTCTTTTCTCTAAATTCAAAGATAGATTTTATTTGACACCCATTTTTGCAAGGTGCATTTTTACAGAATCTGTTGTAGGACTTCTTCTCATTAGCTTTTAAATTATTATTATTTTTAAATTAGAGAAGGAGTTGTGAGATAGAGTCTGAGAGAGGTAAAAATGAAAAATCTATGTTATCCAGGGATTTTAGTTTTTGGGATGCTGTTTAAAGATAATGATTGTTTATGGACTCTTTAAAGATGTTTTCTCATAAGAGTTGCCAAGTAACAGATTAGTTATCTGAGGGTGGTTTGAAAGACCTTTTGAAATTGCCTGGGTGACAATACTACCTTATGGTACTTATAAAGCTCCTTTGAAGTTGGCCTTTTATATTAGAAAACCAGAAAATATTTTTCTTTTATTAAACAGAAAACAATACATGGTTCAGAGGTTAGTATTTTTTTTTTTTAGAAAAAATTACATTGGTTATTTTTGTGATTGACTCCAATTTTTTTTTTAAATCTTTCAGCCTTTGTGGGCTACTGGATTTTTCTAAATTAAGGTTCTTAGTATAATACGTTTGGCTGCTCTTGTAAACTATAGTTACGAGGTACATACTGTTATACCTCGAAATTTGAGGCCCTCTTCTTTTTTCTCTTCTGTTTCAGACACTGTGGTACAAAACCTGCAGCCCCCAAGCTTGGTTAAGAGAATTTTGGATTGAAATAAATATTGTAGGGCATGCGGCATTCCTGCACAACCCTTGTTATACACAGTCACACTGAAAGAACAGGTTAAATGGAAGGGGCTGTCAGGGGTCAGGGCTAGAAACTCACAGAGGCAGATATTGCAGTTTGGATAAGCAGGAGTTTATGAGAGTCCTCTTCAGTCCAAGCTTATCTGAGCTCACAAAGGAGATTTACGGTCTGTTGCTCTGCAAAAGCTATTTGGGCAGGCACTTTTCTTCCCAACTAGCTTTTAAGTGCTCCTGGGGCCCTCAAGCCTATTCACTTAGGCCTCTCAGATTATGAATACATAAACCTTAATGATTTTGGAGTCCCAAAGGAAGACATATTAACTGGTACATCATCAAAACATGATGCTGCTAATAGAATGGACAAATACATCGTAGGGCATCACAAATTCACCCGTTTTCTAGTAGTGACTATAATAATAAGTTTTTGCAACCCGTAAAGAACATTTATTCTGTTCTAGCATTGATAGGATGACTGATATTGATTATAAATTTATATTCAAATAGTGGAACCAGTTGTTTGATAGACATAACCTCTGAGACCAGCAGTAATGATTTTAGTTTTTAATGGTTTGACAAAATATACAAGGCATTTGATGAATACACAAGTTGGTTATTTCAAGCATCTTGGAGCTTCAGTCTTCCCATATTCAATAGTGATGTAGACCATGCAGTCTGTTCCCCCTTTACAGGTATAATTTGTCTTTCAAAATAAAAATTGTGATTGTGATTGTTACTAACACATTGTGTCTCTTAATATTCTTTAAATACTTCAATCTTTTCAAGCAACGTTTGGCATAACCTGAATTCCACTCAAAATCCCTCAGGAGAGAATAGAAACTGTCATATGAAATTGGTTATAATAGGATTTAACCTATAGAGTTCTGATTCTTTCTTCCCTTCAATTTTTATCAAGTATTTAATTGCCCACTGGATGATTTATTTTAGAATTGGCCTACTTTTTTTTTTTTTTTTTTTTTTGGCTTCAGTGCCTGTGGGCAAATGTAAATTTGCAGCTGAATTAGCAAACCAGGGATCTCTGTGTAACTTAATAACCACAACAGGGAATCAAGTAACTGATTTCCCTCTTTTTCTAGATTGGCCATGTGTGTAAGGTGGTAGAACTAGAATTAGGAGATAAGGGGGGGTTATGAGGAAATGATTAATTTCAAATTGTTTTATTAATACAAAAAGAATGTACATTTATTGCGGAAAATACAGAAAAGTAAAAAGAAGAAAAGAAAATCCATTATTCTTCCACTCAGAGAAGTTATGTGAATGTTTTGATATCTTTTATTTCAATCTTTTACTTTTTTGAAATATTTTATGCATAAAAAGTGTACATACATTTCTGAAATAGACAGCAATAAAAGGCTGACCCATGCGTCTGCCATCCAGCATAGAACAGTCTCAATTCTGTTTTATCTTTCAATTATTCCTCCTCACCCGTACCTCAGATACAACTTTTCCCTTTTCAATTAAAGTTAATTTCTCCAAAATAAAATGTAATTTTGATAATTTCAAACACGTTTAGTCTCTTAGCATATTTTACATAAGTCAGCATCCTGACATTTTTGTTTTCCATTTTCTTGTGTTCCTTCATGATTTCGCCATATATGTGTCCCTAACTAATAATTGCTTTATTTTGCATGTTTTAAAGCTTCAAATACATGAAACTGTACTGTGTTTCTTCTATCGCCTTTTTAAAAATTAACGTTATATGTTTTGTGATGTGCGCAACTTTATACATTTATTTTCATTGCTGTATAGTACTACTGTGTATGAATGTACCTCAGTTTATCCATTTCCTGTCAGTGTACTTGTGGGTTTTGTTTTGTAGCAGATTCTGTCAGTTCCTCACCCACGTCTTTTAGCTGTTTCGTGATGCACTCATCAACCTCCAGATGCATTATCTGCATCTGTGTCTAAGCGCTCTCCTCTCCATCCCAACTACAGAAAGCCTTGCACATCACAGAAAGCCAGGAGTGCCCCTGGGGGCAGGTCTCAACCAATGACTCTGGGGAGTTGGGGTGTAAATACCGCAGCTCCCTTGGATAATTGCAGTTCCCCTAGTTTCTCTATGAGACGATGCCCCAGTGACTCACACAGTAGTTGGTTTAATGGTACACCGTTTATTGGCTGCCTTTTCTTCCCTGTCTTACTCCCCCATACCCCTACCAGTTTTTTTTGTTTATTTTTTTCTTCTAAATAAACTTAATTTTTGTCTTAGGGTCTGCTTCTGAGAGGAGCTAAACTAAGTCAAGTAGTTTGCAGTTTGGGTCATTGCAAATAATACTGCTGTGGACATTCTTGTATCCTGGTACACAGAGCAACTGGTACACAGTTTTTCTGGGATATATTCCCAAGGAGAATAACTGGATTACAGGGCATGCATATATTCCACTTCCTGAGTTGGTGCAGGCTTGTTTTTCAAGGTGGTTGGGACAAACATTCATGAGTAATGAGTAAAATATTCCTATCATTCAACACCATTGCAAACTTACCTTTGGTATTGTGTTTAGCATAGTTTCTTTTAATTTGTATTTCTGGATACTTAATGAGATTGTACATCTTTACATATATTATTGGCCATTTCTATGCAAATGAATATTTGCATTTGTCACTTCTTCTATGGTCTGTATTTTTTTTTTTTTTTTTTGAGATGAGGTCTCACTATGTTGCCCAGGATGGTCTGTTCTTGGGCTCAAGTGATCCTCCTGCCTTAGCCTTCTTAGTAGCTGGGACCACAGGCATGTGCCATTGTGTCTGGCTGTAATTTGCTTTTTTGTAGGAGCTCTTTATAAATTCTAGGTAGTAGCATTTTATGTGTCTTTTAGACATTCTCTCCAAGTTTGTGGCTTGTCAGCTCCCTTTCTTTATGAGTCATTTTTAATGAACAAACATGAAGTCAAAGCACTTAGTTTTTTTTTTTTTGAGACGGAGTCCCTCTCTGTCACCTAGGCTGGAGTGCAATGGTGCGATCTCGGCTCACTGCAACCTCCGCCTCCTGGGTTCAAGTGATTCTCCTGCCTCAGCCTCCTGAGTAGCTGGGATTATAGGTGCCTGCCACTATGCCCAGCTAATTTTTGTATTTTTAGTAGAGATGGGGTTTCACCATGTTAGTCAGGGTGGTCTTGAACTCCTGACCTCAGGTGATCCACCCGCCTCTGCCTCCCAAAGTGTTGGGATTACAGGCGTGAGCCACCACGCCCGGCACAGCACTTAGTCTTTCACAATTAAATGTGATGCTACTTGTAAGTTTTTTAGCAGTCCTTTTAACTGTAATGTTTGGATCATTTGCATTTAATGCAATTATCCAGATGGTTGGGTTTGAAATCCATTATTTTATTATTTCCTTTCTTTTTGAGAAGTGCTGGGATTACAGGTGTGAGCCACCATGCTTAGCCTATTTTATTATTTCTTTTCTCTTTTCTTTCTCCCACACACTCCTCCTCCTCCTGTTGCATTTAATACTTCATACACAGAAGCAGAACTCCAGTACATTTACATGTTAGCAGTGTTTTGTCCTGTGGACAAGGAGAGGATTCCTTCCTATATTGGAATTGCCAGCTGTGTAGTAGATAACTGGAATAAAGTGTTTCTGATGGAATGTGTTTGGATATCACTCATGTAGGAAAAGCATAGGAGCGTGCGTTTGTAATTCTGAACACATTCAGTGGGTGGCTTTGTTTGCTAATAAGGTGGTTCTTGAAATGCCACAGAAGTGGACAAATATGTTAGAAAGTCTGAAATACTTGAACATGATACCTACCTTTGAGGACTAAGTGAGACAAGTGATGAGTCGAGGCGATATCAAGGCGATAGGGGAACATCTGTGGTAGCTCACTGGGCCTATGATCGCATTCTTCTCAGGTCAGAAGTCCCATGCGAGAGACCCAAAGCCACAGCTCGCTTCATTCCTCTGACGAAGGCAAGCTTGCTGCTCAGCTCTCCTACGTTAATCTGCCAATAAGTTCTGCAAAACTCACTTGGTTTTTTAAAAAACTAATTGAACTCACACGAAAGCTTTATCAGTCAACCCTTAAGTCTTGCTGCCTTAAACAGATCAGTGTAAAAGGAGTTTTTGTAATGTTTATAGAATGAGGTTGTGTGAGGTCACTGAAATGGTGTTTGTTTTTCTTGCAGCTATTTCAGTGGCAGTTATACAAAGCTTGATATGCTTTGTTTGGGAATGTGTGATACTGTAAGCATGCCATTTTTGGTCTGTGCTAACTGAAGCAACATTTTACCCTGTGTGTAGATAGTGTGGTGTATAATCATTCCTGTGATTTTAATAACAGAATTATAATATGTGAGACCTCAAATGGGTGTTAGACATCATCCAACTTCCTCACCACAGAAAAATATATAGGCAGGAAGAAATTTTAAAAACTCGTTTCATCATGCCAGCTAGGAAATTTTGGTAGATTATGTAAAATAGAGATTCACCCACAAAATGTAATAGTAAAGTTTCAAGAATGAGAATGGCAGACGAAGTTTTAGGAGAATGTCTGTTGCTCAAGTGAGGCATTCAGTAGAAAGTAGTGGAAAATTGGTTGGGGGTCATACATCTAAGCTTAGGAGCATTATATGCAATCTTACAATATTCTCAAGGCCAAATCTCATGCATATCTTTATGCAGCCCCTGTCAGAGACTGCGTTTAAGAAAGAAGATACTTTAAAAAAATGGTTAAAATGGTTTTTTTTTTTTTTTTTTGGAGACAGAATCTCGAAGTCTTGGAGTCTCACTCTGTTGCCCAGGCTGGAGTACAGTGGCGTAATCTTGGATCACTGCAACCTCTGCCTCCCGGGTTCAAGTGATTCTTCTACCTCAGCCTCCTAAGTAGCTGGGATTACAGGTGTGTTCCACTACGTCTAGCTAATTCTTGTATTTTTAGTATTGACAGGGTTTCACTATGTTTGTCAGGCTAGTCGTGAACTCCTGACCTTGTGATCCGCCAGGCCTCCCAAAGTGCTGGGATTACAGACATGAGCCACCACACCCGGCCAAAATGGTAAATTTTTATGTTATGTATATTTTGCTACAATTAAACAAAAGCAAATGCAAATAAAGACAAAGGAGGCTGTGGATTTTCACCATTTTTTTTCTTGTTTTTTGTGTAAAGGGGAAGGCAGTTACCAACCCCTGTGGACAGGAATCGCTTTTGAAGGTAGGGCTGAGGTGATCATCAACCAAGTTGTAAAGATCAAAACTGACCAGCCTGCCGGAGACTACCTAACCCTGTTCCTGTTTCTGCCGTATCAAGTGAGGACTTTCTGTTCCCTCTGGCGATGCTACTCTGTGTGACTCATGATTCCACGTAGGCTTGAAGGAATGGTCTTTATTCAGTGCCTGTTAGGTGTGAAGCAAGGTATTAGAAATTGTATATACATTATCACATTGATGTATCACAATCATCTGCTGGAGGTGGTATTATCCCTAATTTTTAGACAAAAAAAGTGAGATTCTGAGAGGGAAAGTGTAGTCTCCAAGCTCACACGTGTAGCAGTTCAGAGAATTCAAACCCAGATCTCTGTTTTTGAACTCCTTGACCTTGTCTTTATAATGTCATTGCCTCAAATTTTGTATCCACCCAAGCTAAATGGAAGGAAGAATTTAGTACCTTAGACTTGGTATATTGTTTTTCAGGGGAAATAAGTATAAGAAATAGGATTTCGTTTGGCATGGAGTATTTCATTCATATATGAGATTTTTAGTGGGAACCCACTTGGTGCTAGACGTTGTTTGTAGGCATTGGTGAGCCATATCTCTGTGCAAGACAGGCGTAGTCCTTGCTCTCAGGGAATAATAAATTATGCCATAGCTGTGTAAACCCACTTCGTCTGCATGCAGAAATTTATTTGAAACTGAATTAAGGACAACAATCAAGCTTTTAACTATTTCTCTGTTACTTTCATCACCATCAGCTGTGGTCCGGTTTAGCGGAAGCAAAATAGACAAATTCAGTAAAATGTCTTTCTGTGGAGAACTCCCAAAATGAATACGCTGAGCCGGGCACGGTGGCTCATGCCTGTATTCCCAGCACTTTGGGAGGCCGAAGCCGGCTGATCACGAGGTCAGCAGTTCGAGACCAGCCTGGCCAACATGGTGAAACCCCATCTCTACTAAAAATACAAAAATTAGCCAGGTGTGGTGGCACGCACCTGTAATCCCAGCTACTCGGAAGGCTGGGGCAGGAGAATCTCTTGAACCCGGGAGGCAGAGGTTGCAGTGAACTGAGATCGTGCCACTGAACTCCAGCCTGGGCGACAGGGTGAGACTCCGTCTCAAAAAATAAATAAATAAAAATAAAAATAAATACACTGAGTCTCATGATCTGAGAGAGTTAATGTTCTGTAAAGTTGCTGTGAACACTGAATTAGCAAATACTGAACCATTGCTCCTAGGGAAAATACAGGGTTAGGTTCCTGAGAGCCTCTGGCTGCAAGATTTTCATCAATGAACACATATGCTTATTTTATGTGTTTTATTTAGCATGTATTTTATTTAATATGTTTTATTTGTATTTTAAAATATATTTACATTTAGATTTGATACATATATTTAATATATGTGTAATTTAATGTATATTATTGGTTCATTAACATTAAACTCATGGCTAATAGTGCTACAACTCATGCCTAAGTGAAGCTTAGCAAACACGTGCCTTTTCTCTGCAAGGTACATCACAGACTTCTTGCGCTTAGTAACACTAGATATTAATAGCATTTCAGCCCTCCATCTGGGGGGCATTGCAAACAGTGAAATCACCAACAAAAAGCATAAAAATGCAAAGAACATGGCATTAAAAATGACACTTGTTTACATGATTGAAGCTGAAACAAGAAGGCAGCGTGTCACCTTGTTCAGCGTCAGCTGGGAATGTGTGTTGGGCAACTTAGAACTTTCACTGCTCTGTGCATGTTTGAGAAAGCAGGAAAGCACCATGCATATTGATTTTGGGGTTACACGTAAATTTCTGCAAGTTAGGTGAATTTGCAAATACAGAATCTGTAAACAGTAAGGTTTGACTCTATTAATGTCAATAATAAAACATAATGAGAAAAATATGAGATATTGCAATACACAGAATTCAAATAGGGCAATGGGAAGGTGCCTGGGGCGGGTGCTACAGATTGGGAGGTCAGCTGAGGTGTCTCTGAAGAGGTTTCATCTAAACTGAGATCTGGATTACAAGGAGGAGCCTGTCCTGTGAAGATCAGGGGGAAGGGCATTTGAGGTGGGAGTGAGTACAGGCAGGGCAAAGGCTCCAAGACAGAATGAGTTTGGTGTGAGGAAACCCAAAGAGACCACTGTGGCTGCCAGAAATGGAGAGCTTTGGAGGCAAGTACAGGCCTGGTCACTAGGGCCTTGTCGGCTGGAGTGGGGGTAAGGATTTGTGCTCAGTGAGTGATTCTTGCTATATTTCTCCGTAAATGTTGCGGCATTTTTTTCATTTTCCCTGCCACACTTCCTAAGTGGAGGTGTTGCTTTTTACTTCTTTGCTCTTTTTTGGTGTCCTAGACACAGTAGCCCCTATATGTGCTGAGTGACACCAAGCTTTCGGCTTCTGGTGCTGTAACCTTTCCTTCCTTCTGTGACCATTGTGAATGAGGATGGAGTATGAATGGGTGATATCATGAGAGAGAGTCTGCATTGTATTGTATTGGTGTGGTGGGGGTGCTGAGGGGTAGGGAAGCAGGAAGAGGCAATGTGTACAGGAATAAAAGTTACTTAAATGCTCCAGGTCTGAGTTTTCTTAGTTGATGATTAGCTATGTCTATCAGGAAACAAAGGGTCGTCACCCAGGCTGGAGTGCAATGGCGCAATCTCGGCTCACTGCAACCTCCGCCTCCCAGGTGATTCTCCTGCGTCAGCCTCCCGAGTAGCTGGGATTACAGGCGCATGCCACCGCACCCGGCTAATTTTTTTGTATTTTTAGTAGAGACAGGGTTTCACCCTGTTGACCAGGCTGGTCTCGAACTCCTGACCTCAGGTGATCCACTCACCTCGGCCTCCCAAAGTGCCGGAATTACAGGCATGAGCCACTGTGCCCGTCCTGGTCCTTGATAATTCTTTTCTTTTTTTTTTTTTTTGAGACGGAGTCTCACTCTGTTGCCCAGGCTGGAGTGCAGTGGCACAGTCTTGGCTCACTGCAAGCTCCGCCTCCCGGGTTCACGCTATTATCCTGCCTCAGCCTCCTGCGTAGCTGGGACTACAGGCGCCCGCCACCATGCCCGGCTAATTTTTTTGTTTTTTTGTTTTTTTTTTTTTAGTAGAGATAGGGTTTCACCTTGTTAGCCAAGATGGTCTCGATCTCCTGACCTCGTGATCCGCCCACCTCGGCCTCCCAAAGTGCTGGGATTACAGGCGTGAGCCACCGCGCCCGGCAATTCTATTTTTTTTTTTTTTTTTTTTTTTTAAGACGGAGTCTCATTCTGTCGCCCAGGCTGGAGTGTAGTGGCGCAATCTCGGCTCACGGCAAGCTCCTCCCGGGTTCACGCCATTCCACTGCCTCAGTCTCCCAGGTAGCTGGGACTACAGGCGCCCACCACCACGCCCGGCTAATTTTTTTGTATTTTTTTTTTAGGAGAGACGGGGTTTCACCGTGTTAGCCAGGATGGTCTCAATCTCCTGACCTCGTGATCCGCCCACCTCGGCCTCCCAAAGTGCTGGGATTACAGGCGTGAGCCACCATGCCTGGTCCTATATTCCTTTTCATTCCTGTCGAGGTAAGCTTTTAGTAAATGGATTTCATTCCACCCTTTCCTTCTGGTAAGAAGCAAGGACTGAGGATGATAGAACTTGTAAATGTTTGAATTTCATAGTACACGGTTTATGTGTTGGATTTGTCAGGTGTCCTTCAGCGTTATTTGGTGAAGGTGGGCAAATTAAATTTGCCTTTTTCAATATCCTCTGAATTTTTAATGAGCTGCTATATGTCTTGTCACTTTTTCTGCCCATAGCTATTGTTTTCAGCATAACTGTGTTCTGTAATTCTTTTTTCTCTGCAATAGTAATTTATTTATTTTACTTTTCAAGATGGCTTCCATTTGTGTTATGCAAGTTTTAGATTTTGTACAATATAGAGTGTATAAGACACCTTTTTTTTTTTTTTAAACTGAAGAGCTATGGAATCTAGTATACCCAGTGATATAGCTATGACACATTTATCTAAGAAGGAATATGTTACCACAAAGACAGTTTCTTTCTTTTGGAGAAATTTTCAAATGCATCAGTGCTTTAAAAAAATCACCATTTTGGTATCCATATGTGAGGGTGAGTGATTTTTTCAGAGAGAAAAAATGTGTTCCAAATAGATATCAGTTGATTTCTTTAATCGTAAGTTTTATATTAATGCGTCTTTTTTTTTTTTTTTTTTTTTTTTTTTTGAGACGGCCAGGCCAGAGTGCAATGCCGCGATCTTGGCTCACTGCAACCTCCGCCTCCCGTGTTAAAGAGATTCTCCTGTCTCAGCCTCCTGAGTAGCTGGGGTTACAGGCATGCGCCACCACGCCCGGCTAATTTTGTATTTTTAGTAGAGACAGGGTTTCTCCATGTTGGTCATGCTGGTCTCGAACTCCCAACCTCAGGTGATCCGCTTGCCTCGGCCTCTGAAAGTGCCGGGATTACTGGTGTGAGCCACTGCACCCGGCCTATGAGCCTTTTTAAAAATAAACAAGCTGACTGTTTTTACCAAACGCTATGAAAATACAATTATAAGCTATTCTGTCAATTAGGAATTAGAGGTTCTTAGACCATAGCTCTGAGAGCACACTAAGTCCTCATGCTAAAATTTATTTTAAACATAATTAAGAACAGAGGTGGTTTTAAACCACTTCCCTGCTAACTTTTTTTTTTTTAGACAGGGTCTTATTACTCTGTTGCCCAGGCTGGATGCAATGGTGCGCTCATAGCTCACTGCAGCCTCAAATTCCCTGGTTCAAGCAATCTTCCTGCCTCCGTCTCCTGAGTAGCTGGGACTACAGGCACACACCCCCATACCCAGCTAATTTTTTTGATATCTAGTAAAGACAGGATCTTGCTATGTTGCCTAGGCTGGTCTTGAGCTCCTGGGGTCAAAGGATCCTTCTGTCTCGGCCTCGCAAAGAGCTGGGATTACAGGTATGAGCCACCACGCCCGGTACTTCTAGTTTTTGACATCATCAACTATGGTTGAGTTATGCAGAATCAGATAATAGACTAATTTAGCAAATAATCTTTTTAAAAATTACTTTTAGAGAACTCTAAAAATGTAGGTACTTTAAAATATTTTACTCTAGTCAAAATTTTCTCTTTTGGCACAAACACTATAATTTCCAAAATCAAGGTTTTGGAAAACCTTGATTGTTTTGTACCTTGGTTTTCAACTCCAGAAGAAAAAGTCTAGTCCCTGCTAAAACAAGAATCAGCAAGTTGATGAGCTGGGTGTCTTTGTAAACAACTCCACACTTTCAGGATTAAGAAAACAAGTCTCATATGCTGGGCATAGCTTGGGATCGTGGACTAGATAGGAAACTGTGGCTTTAGCCTTGCCACACTGCCACACACTACCTGCTGAACACAACACAACAATTTAGATTGAGAAAATGTGAATACACCTCCAGTGACTGGAAATACATCTCAATATACAAGTAACTTTATAAGCACATGCGAAGTTTATTATCTTTATGTGCATGAAAGCTTCTGTTATCAGTTTATCAAATATTACATCTTTGACAAAAATGCGTATACATTTGTCACTATGATAGTAAGGCATGCAAACTGCACTAGTACGGAGTTGTTTTGGTTTTGCTTTTTTAGAAAACTCTGATGTTCAGGTGGGGGTGATTTGCGACCTTATAGCAAATGCACAAAGAAAAATCACATGTAGCTTTTAGGAGTTTCAGTTTGGGGATCTAAAGGAGCCTACTTAAAAGGAGGTTGCGTGGAGCTAAATTAATCCTTATTTTTATATTATACACACATATTCATGATAGGAACATGTCTATCTCAGTGACAACATCTCTTGCCACACTCATATTTATATCATATCTTTATCCTTCCTGCTGTATGTCCCAGAATGCAATTGTTGACCTCACTTTTTTTATTAAATTTTTTAAAATTTAATTTTTACTTTTTTTTTCCTCTGTGACTCTAGCCAAGGAAAATCAAGCTAATTAACATGTACATTACTGAGAGGTGACAGCGTGCTGGCGGCCCTCACAGCCCTCGCTAGCTCTCGGCGCCTCCTCTGCCTGGGCTCCCACTTTGGCGGCACTTGAGGAGCCCTTCAGCCCGCCGCTGCACTGTGGGAGCCCTTTCCTGGCCTGGCTGAGGCCAGAGCCGGCCCTCTCAGCTCGCGGGGAGGTGTGGAGGGAGAGGCGCGGGCAGGAACTGGAGCTGCGTGCGGTGCTTGCGGGCCAGCGCGAGTTCCAGGTGGGTGTGGGCTCGGCGGGCCCTGCACTTGGAGCGCCTGACCGGCCCTGGGGCCCCGGGCAATGAGGGACTTAGCACCCGGGCCAGCGGCTGTGGAGGGTGTGCTGGGTCCCCCAGCAGTGCCAGCCCACCAGCGCTGTGCTTGATTTCTCACCGGGCCTTAGCTGCCTCCCCGTGGGGCAGGGCTCGGGACATGCAGCCCGCTATGACTGAGCCTATCCCCCCACTCCCCGTGGGCTCCTGTGCCGCCCGAGCCTCCCCGACGAACGCTGCTCCCGGCTCCACGGCGCCCAGTCCCATCGACCACCCAAGGGCTGAGGAGTGCGGGCCCACGGCACTGGGACTGGCAGGCAGCTCCACCTGTGGCCCGGTGCGGGATCCACTGGGTGAAGCCAGCTGGGCTCCTGACTGGTGAGGACTTGGAGAACCTTTATGTCTAGCTAGGGGATTGTAAATATACCAATCGGCACTCCGCATCTAGCTCAAAGTTTGTAAACACACCAATCAGCACCCTGTGTCTAGCTCAGGGTTTGTGAATGCACCAATCCACACTCTATATCTAGCTACTCTGGTGGGGACTTGGAGAACCTTTGTGTCCATTCTCTGTATCTAGCTAATCTAGTGGGGTCGTGGAGAACCTTTGTGTCTAGCTCAGGGATTGTAAACGCACCAATCAGCACCCTGTGAAAACAGACCACTCGGCTCTCTGTAAAATGGACCAATCAGCAGGATGTGGGTGGGGCCAGATAAGAGAATAAAAGCAGGCTGCCCGAGCCAGTAGTGGCAATCTTCTCGGGTCCCGTTCCACAATGTGGAGGCTTTGTTCTTTAGCTCCACAATGTGGAAGCTTTGTTCTTTAGCTCTTTGCAATAAATCTTGCTACTGCTCACTCTTTTGGTCTACACTGCTTTTATGGGCTGTAACACTTACTGCAAAGGTCGGCAGCTTCACTCCTGAGCCAGTGAGAACACGAACCCACCGGGAGGAACGAACAACTCCAGATGCGCCGCCTTAAGAACTGTAACACTTACCGTGAAGGTCCACAGTTTCACTCCTGAGCCAGTGAGACCACGAACCCCACCAGGAGGAAGAAATTCCGAACACACCCGAACGTCAGAAGGAGCAAACTCCGGACATGCTGCCTTTAAGAACTGTGAAGCTTACCGCGAGGGTCCGCGGCTTCGTTCTTGAAGTCAGTGAGACCAAGAACCCACCAATTCCGGACATATTACCTCACATAGTTAACTTTTTGGGGAGTGAAAACATTTATTTAAAAAGATTTGGCCGAGCTCGGTGGCTCACGCCTGTAATCCCAGCACTTTTGGAGGCAGAGGTGGGTGGATCACGAGGTTAGGAGATGGAGACCATCCTGGCTGACATGGTGAAACCTCGTCTCTACTAAAAATACAAAAAATTAGCCGGGCTTGGTGGGGGGCGACGGTAGTCCCAGCTACTGTGGAGGCTGAGGCAGGAGAATGGCGTGAACCCGGGAGGCGGAGCTTGCAGTGAGCCGAAATAGCGCCATTGCACTCCAGCCTGGGCCAGATCTCATTTTCAAATGGTATGGTGTGCCCTCATTTATTTTTTTTCATTCATTCATTCATTCATTCATTCATTCATTCATGATGTTTTGGCTGAATGCCTGGTATGTGTGGTAAGGAGAGAAAGGAAAAAAGCAAGTCATAATTGCTTCATTCAGAAACTATGGAACCCGGATTCGAATGGGGAGACAACTCTTGGATACTTGTAGAGTTA
The DNA here is from genome assembly GCF_000001405.40 of Homo sapiens. Taxonomy (NCBI): domain Eukaryota; kingdom Metazoa; phylum Chordata; class Mammalia; order Primates; family Hominidae; genus Homo; species Homo sapiens. The sequence continues at coordinate 21,762,976 of NC_000006.12, forward strand.
AGAATAAAAGTTTAGGATTCAGGGCCAGAATAATAACAGTAACAGTTAATTCGACAGGAATTTCTCAAAAGGGGTACTCAGGGTGAGGAGGCACTTTCAGGGAGTAAGGTATAACTTAGGTTCATCCTGGAATGATGGGTAGGAATCAATAGCTAGAAGCGAGGTAGCATTAAAACTGAATTCTGGCAGAATGCTGCAGTTTCGTATAAGAAAAGACTTGTTTTAAATAAAATACTTCACAGAAGGTAGGCAGACATTAGAAGTAAGATTCTTTTTCTTCTTTTTTTTTTCAAGATAGAGTCCCACTCTGTCACCCAGGCTGGAGTGCAGTGGCATGATCTGGGCTCACTGCAACCTCCGCCTCCCAGATTCAAGCAATTCTCGTGCTTCAGTCTCCCACCTGCTTGGACTGCAGGTGCCACCACGACTGGCTTTTTTTTTTTTTTTAAGTTGGAGTCTCACTCTGTTGACCAGGCTGGAGTGCAATGGCAGGATCTCGGCTCACTAAACTCTGCCTCCCGGGGTGGTTCAAGAGATTCTCATGCCTCAGTCTCCCAAGTAGCTGGGACTATAGGTGCATGCCACCATGCCTGGCTGATTTTTGTATTTTTAGTGGAGACGGGGTTTTGCCACGTTGGCCAGGCTGGTCTCGAACTCCTGACCTCAGATGATCTGCCCACTTCGGCCTCCCAAACTGCTGGGATTCGGGCATGAGCCATCTTGCCCGGCCTAATTTTTGTAGTTTTAGTAGAGACAGTGTTTCCCCATGTTGGCCAGGCTGGTCTTGAACTCCTGAGCTCAAGTGATCCGCCCACCTTAGCTTCCCAAAGTGCTGGGATTACAGTTGTGAGCCACTGCACCTGGCCCAAGGTTTTTTTTTTTGAAGTAAAATTATTTTATATATATATGTGTGTGTGTGTGTGTTTAATTAGAGAAAGAAGTAAAGAAGGAATGATCAATGATGTTGGTATAGTGTAAAATGATCCAGCATAATTTATTCACTAAATATTGGCAAAAGATTATATATTAGCTTTTCAGATGGGTGGTTATTGTTCTGATAATGATGAATAAGTGTCTAAAAATTGTTGCCTAGTAAGAGCAAAAATAGGAATAACAGGAATTTTTTTTTTTTTTTTTTTGAGACGGAGGCTCACTCTGTCGCCCAGGCTGGAGTGCAGTGGCACCATCTTGGCTCGCAGCAGCCTCCACCTTCCTGGTTTAAATGATTCTCCTGCCTCAGCCTCCAGAGTAGCTGGGATTACAGGTGCCCACCATCACGCCGGCTAATTTTTGTACATTTAGTGGAGATGGGGTTTTACCATGTTGGCCAGGCTGGTCTTGTACTCCTGACCTCAGGTGATCTGCCTACCTCAGCCTCCCAAAGTGTTGGGATTACAGGCATTAGCCACCTCGCACAACAATAATATGCATTTTTAAGATCCTGTAAATATTTTATTTGTTCTAGCCAACACCTTTATTGAAAAGAAACACTTTTTCTACTTTAGTGACAATTTGTCATGTTAGACATGCAAATCTGATAGATGACAGGAGAAATAAAGGTTGTCCATTTCCCTTGTAACCCCGCCCCAGAGATTTTCTTTTTCTCTTCAAAATTACTTTAGGGACCCGCAATAGAAATGACGTAAGAGGCCAGGTGTGGTGGCTCATGCCTGTAATCCCAGCCTGGGTAACGTGGTGAAACCCCGTCTGTCCAAAAAAAAAAAAAATTTTGTTGGGTGTGGTGGTACACACCTGTGGTCCCAGCTGTTTGGGAGTTCTCAAACAGCTGAGAGGATTGCTTGATCCCAGGAGGCAGAGGTTACAGTGAGCTGAGATGATGCCACTGCACTCCAGCCTGGGCAACAGAGCCAGATCCTGTCCCTTCCCCTAAAAAAAGAAAGAAATGACGTAAAACTGTGAATTTTGGATTTCTAGGGGGCCAGGACCATTTAAAATTCCTAGAAAGAAGTATGACTAAATTCTTGTTGGTTCTTTTGTGAGTATGCTAGTGAATAAGTTCTTCTCATGAGTTTTGAAAATTAGTTCGTATGGGAAAGTTGCCCAAGAATTATAGTGTCACAGGGCCAGAAAAGGGGAAAAAAAGAAAAAAGAAACATCTATTTTTGTCATTTTAATCAGTAGAGTAAGTCAAAAATGGGGAAGATTCTTTTGTCAGTTGTCAAGAAGGGGACTGTCACACCTGCTAAGCAGGTTAAGCTTGTTTTTGAAAGCTTGCAATGCAATTTGCAGTAATTTTTTTCTCCTGCTACTGACCAGATCCAAAACTTTACGTTGTTCACACCAGAACCAGTTATTCAATTTATGAAGCAGTTGATTAAAACATTTACTACTCATTCATCATTCATTCATTCATCCCATAAGAGTTATATGCCTATTTACCAGTAAGGCATCATAGTTGTCTATGTATGGGTGGCTATACCTTCAGGGAGGAAAAGGTATAGCGAATATGGTAGTGAATAAATATCCCTGGGTGTAGGGTTCAATTGTGAAAGTAAAGCATTACATAAACAAATGCAACCATTATTAATTAGTTACCTTCTGTTAGCTAGCTTGGATTTTATTTGGCAGATAATGGGGTTTGTATGATTTGTGCCATGTCACTTCTCTGTGACATCACTGGCAACAGACAGTTGTGTGTCTTTTCATTCCTCCCTTCTTACATTCATAAACACATGTATTTGTTTACTTTAACAAAATGGGATCATAGTATACTGTGCTTTAGAGTATTCTGTCACTTGCCTTTTCCCCCTCCACATGTCCATACGCTATAATCATCCTTCCAAGCCAAAACATCTCAATCTTTGTTGTTGTTATGAATGGCAGCATTCATATTTGATGAAACCAGAATTGATATGTCATCATATCTTCAAGGAGTTTCCTTTTATTTAAATTAATTATTAATAACTTTATTAGAGACAAGCTCTTGCTCTGTTGCTCAGGCTGGAGTGCAGTGGCACGATCATAACTCACTGTAACTTTGAACTCCTGGGCTCAAGTGATTCTCCCGTCTCAGCCTCCCAAAGTGTTGGGATTACAGGTGAGAGCCACCAAGCCTGGCCAATTTCTAAAAAAAAAAATTTGTAGAGATCAATTCTCGCTATGTTGCCCAAGCTGAGAGTTTCTGTTTTAAAAATGCAGCAAAACTGATCAGTTCTCATAATTGAATTGAAGCTAGATAAGGCATTTAGTATTCGATTTATTTATTTAAAGAATTCCACCATCCTTTAAGGGGTCTTGTGTGTACAAATTTGATATGACATGTAACATTTTTCTTTCTTTTTTTCTCTTTTGTTTTGTGTTTGTTTTTTGAGATGGAGTCTCGCTCTGTCTCCAGGCTGGAGTGCAGTGGCACCATCTCAGCTCACTGCAACCTCTGCCTCCCAGGTTCGAGCGATCTTCCTGCCTCGGTCTCCCAAGTAGCTGGGACTACTGGCATGCGCGACCACGCCCAGCTAATTTTTTGTATTTTTAGTAGAGACGGGGTTTCACCATGTTAGCCAGGATGGTCTCAATCTCTTGACCGCGTGATCTGCCTGCCTCGGCCTCCCAAAGTGCTGGGATTACAGGCTTGAGCCACCGCATCCAGCCAACATTTTTCAAATAGAAAATCTGAAGCTAAAATCACCCCTAAAGGACAAATAACAGGACTACAAACAGCGATAAGACAAGGAATTCTATGGGCAACACTTAAGTCTACTGCAGCTTGGGCTGGATATTCTCCTTAAGGAGGAACCTGTCTTTGATTGTTCCATTGCCCTTCAACTCTGAGCCTATTCAATCATTGCAGAGCTTTTGCTCAGTAGCCACTCTCTGTATTCACAGAGGGGCCACCTGCCTCCCTACCCGGCATCTCGGAGCACCTTGCGTGTGCTTGGGTGTCCTGGAGAGCTGAGGAAGCCTGCTCACTAGGGCATCTTCTGCTCTTGCTGTTTTATTGTGAGCAGAAGGGAGCCATTCTTCTGTAAGGTTGGGTGTACGATGTGGTCCTGTTTTCAGGGAATATTCAGTCCTTGCCTTCTTCTGCCATTTGATAGAAGACTTTGGTGTTTTGGTCTGCCGTAATATATTTATACTAATTTGTAGGCCAGGCATGGTGGCTCATGCCTGTAATCCCAGCACTTTCGGAGGCGGAGGCGGGTGAATCACCTGAGGTCAGGAGTTTGAGACCAGCCTGGCCAACATGATGAAACCCCGTCTGTACTAAAAATACAAAAAATTAGCCAGGCGTGGTGGTGCACGTCTGTAATCCCAGCTGCTTGGGAGTCTGAGGCAGGAGAATCACCTGAAACTAGGAGGTGGAGGTTGCAGTGAGCCAAGATCGTGCCACTGCACTCCAGCCTGGGCAACAGAGCAAGACTCTGTCTCATAAAAACAAACAAACAAATATATATACACACACACACATATATGTTTATACTAAATTTTAAAAATTCAACCTATGTGGATCAAAAATTTCAAATTTGTCTGTTCAAGTCTATGTAAACATCATTATGTAAAAGTAATCTGAAAATAGTTTTTCATGCAACAAGAATAATGTATATTTTCAGTCTCAAAGTTGAAATGAATGAGAAATGTCAAAACAAAATGAATTGATTGGGAAATCAAATCTAAGCACTGACAAATATGAAAAGTGTATTATCTAATTAGTAGTTTATGAAAGTGAGGCACTTTTATAATCAAAGAAATAAAACCTTCCAGAGAGATACAGAATTACTCTGACCTGAATTATTTTAATGGGAAAGAGTTGTTTTTGTTTAAAAATTTCAGGTGAAGTTTGATAATTTTATCTTAAGTCCACTTGGCTTCATTTTGTTGGGCAGCATTGGACAGGACAGTGCAGCCTTATACAGATGACTCTCAGTTCTTTAAAAAAAAATTAAAATGGGTCCATGAGAAAATAAAAATTTAATGTATCTTAAGTAGAGGATCTTGAGAAAGCTAAAAACTGCTTACCTAAACTGAGACATTACCACGGATTTGTAGCTAAGTCATTTAGAATAGACTTTATTTGTAAATGTAAAATGATACTGGCACCAAGATATGGTTGTGAAATAGGAAGTCTCCAGAAAATAATGAAAAATTATAAACCGTGCCCATAGACAATAGTCAGCAAAAACAGATTGTGGAAAGACAGGAAGACAGAGCTTATCCTAGTCATGGTACTGAGTGGAGAAAATCTCAGAATTGTGTGCACTCAAAAACTGTGCAGCCCTGTTGAAAACATTTCTTGTAATATTATCTTATAATAGTTACATCTACCTGCACACTGTCTCAAAATAACTTTAGTGTCACAATAATTTTGGTTGAGCTCAACAACGTTCTTTTATCTTTCTAAGCCATATTCATTTCTCAGGGATGATTACAGAATTGGTTAATTTGAAAGAGTTGTAGCATAAATATTGTGACTCATGAAATGTTTTTAGTACTTGTTTTAGACTTTCATTTCCTTTGGTCATGCTCTTGTGGGAGATTTAAGCAGTAATAGCATTTTCATTTTTCTTTCCTGCATTCCTTACCCATGAGAAGGTAATCTTTAATACACTGTTTTTACTTAGTAAGTTCTGGTGTTTTAAAGAAATGGGTTTTTTATTCAATCATAATTTATTGAACACCTACTAAGTGCCCAGCACAGAATCAGATGTTAATCTAACATAATTTTCCTTTTTTCAAATGGTCTTATTTGATTTTTTAAAAAATGGATATTAATGTACACTAGAATGGAGATTTTTGTTTACCAGTTATTTGTTGCTATATAAATGTGGGTTAAATTAGTTTTTCTTCCTTATACCACCAACCTTTCAGACTTTTAAAGGAATTACTGTAGAATTAAAATTAATAGATTCCTCAGTACTGGCCAAACTCATGGATTTGTGGCACTTCAGAATAATATTGGCTTTTAATGAACAGAATAGATTTGCATGGAAATGCCAGTTTCAGGGATAGAATTAGAGTTGGGATTTATTTTTTCCCTGAAGATCTGCTTCGAAAATTTGCCCCAGGTGATCTCTGTCCTTGTCCTAGGGTCACTCCAGAATTACCACTTTTTTCTGCTTGCGATTCATAAAGGTAAGAAGGACAAACTTAGTCTGTTTTGTAGTGGAATTGTTATTTTTTTTTAACCTTATCTTTTATTTTCCATGTAAAATTGCTTTTCCCTCTTTAACTACCTCGCATAGACAGGGCAGGTAGAGTGAATGTCAGATGAATTAAGGTAGCACTGAACTCCTTATTTAGCCTGTCAATAGCTGCATGATTGTTTTTGCATGAAATCCCAAGTTCGTATTAGCTGCTCAACTTTCAAACTTTAATGGGGAAGTCAGTCTTTATTCTTCAGTAGTGTATGATCCGTGAATTAAGTTTGTATTATGCCTTCTGTCCCAAAATTTCCTCTCTCTTAGCTTCTCCCTAGCCCCAGAGATCAGTTTCTCTGCATGTGTCAAACTTCCTTTTCTCTCCTCATATTTCATTCTTCCAGGATCTGTAATGTGTCCAAGTTCTCATAGCTCACTTAAAAATGGATGGAGTCCAGAGGGATCAGTGCCGACTTTTCATTAATCTATTAGAGCTTCACATTTACTGGCTTGCGCCAAGAGATGTGGGAGAGGAGGAAAATGAGTAAGATCTCACCTCCTGGAAAGGAGGGTGCCACTGCTTTTTCAGTGGTAGAGTTGCTCCCTTAAAGCAGACTCTCTCCCAGCTGAATTCTGAGCTGAGTGTTACAGAGATAAGTCAGCTTGAATCTGGAGGAGTGAGAGAGTTTGGCTAGGGCCCTGTGACAGCTTTGTGGTCAGGAAAGAATATGTAAATTCACTGAATTCCCAGGCATTTCAGCCCTAGAGGAGAAGGATTAGGGGAATCCAAGAGTCCTGACCTTACTGTGAGACTGAATTATAACTAGAGCCCTTTTTAACTAACACAGCTTGAGTTTCATATTTGAAATAACGCTTAAATCAAAATAGTCTCCACTCTTCCCATATACTGATGGGAAATTTATTAAATGTTAAAGTCTAATCTGAAATCAAATATAGCTTTAAATAAAACTATGCAACATCATTTAGTAGTGTTTATAACTTGAGTGATGACTGTCTGGGCTCAATAACCCAGATAGGAGAAGGAATTCCATGGCCCTCCTTCCCAATCCAGACCTGTCTGGAAGCATTTATTTGTACTAAGTTTTCCAGTCTGAAAGTCTGTGTCATTGTTTAGACTCTGTGTGAATAAACAGACAGAGCAATAAACTTCCTCTTCAGGTGAGGTTTATATCTTTTAAACTAGACTGTGGCCTCTAAGCCATGGCTTTCCTGTAGAGAGGCTGCATAATTCAGTTCTGCAGATGTTTTGGTGAGGCTTTACCATGTGCCCAACCTGCACTGTGTTCTTTTAGGCATAATGATAATTGCAAAGAAACATGGCTCCTAATGAAGTTGTAGTCATTTTTGGGAAAAGTGAGTCTGACACACATTAATTAAGATACCTACTTCAGAAAATCTTAAAATATGTATCATCGAGGGCTGGGCGCGGTGGCTCACGCCTATAATCCCAGCACTTTGGGAGGCCGAGACGGGCAGATCAGGAGGTCAGGAGATCGAGACCATCCTGGCTAACACGGTGAAACCCAGTCTCTACTAAAAATACAAAAAAAAATTAGCCAGGCGTGGTGGTGGGTGCCTGTAGTCCCAGCTACTCAGGAGGCTGAAGCAGGAGAATGGCGTGAACCCGGGAGGCGGAGCTTGCAGTGAGCCAGGATCACACCACTGCACTACAGCCTGGGCGACAGAGCGAGACTCTGTCTCAAAAAAAAAAAAAAATTATATATATATATATATATATATATATATATATACACACACACACACACACACACACACACAATCAAATGTCATCAGTTCAAGCAGATATGCGCTTTGTAGTCAGGAAGAGGAAAAATGAGTGTTGGCTTTAGTTTTGGGGGGAAGTTTGCTGAAATAAATTGGATTTAAGATGATCTGTGCAGAATGTGTTCACTTTTGGGTGCCAGATTTTAATAAAGTTATCATGGAGCTTCCTATTTGGGTATCAGGCATGACTTAACATCTAAACATCAATCCCTACAACCGTAGGCTAGGGCTCAGACCTAGAGTCCTCAATCTGGTCCGGCCTGCCTAAAACCCTTGTTTATTTCCCCAATATGCTGTACAAATGGTATTATTTACTCTGGGTGCATGACATGAATAATAGTTAAGTAGCACTGAATTAGAGGTATTTCTTTGGAAGGCAAAGGGTCTAGAAACCAGGTCTCTTGAGGAATAGTTGAAGGGCCTTGGCATATGAGCTTAGAGCCGAAAAGATTAAGGACAAACAAAATAGTTATTTTCAAACATTGCAAAGACATTTTGTTACAGAACAAGTTTATTTGTTCTACATCAATTTAAGATGCAGCATGGGGCCTGTTGGGTAGATGTACAAGTGAGCACACAAGAATCCAGCTCAAATAAGAGGTTTCTCACGATTAAAATGCTCGACAGAGCACTGTTTTTCAGAGCAGTGCCTTCTTCATTTCTAAAAGTGTTAAAGAGAAATTGGATGTCCTTGCAGCCGGCTATGTGGCTAGGGTGGCTGGGATGCACTAAGTACGTGTTTAGGGATCCCAGGCAAGTAGAAATTATGGAGGCTTTTTAGAAAAAGACAACTATAGCATGAACAGACACACCAGGGGAACAATGAGAACAGGAAATGTTCGTGTGCCAGGAATGTGTGGAGGAAATGACACGAGCATGAGATTGGTGATCAAGAACTTTAAATATTCTGATAGGCAGTGGGGAACCGTCTTGCTTCCAGTCCTGGGGAAGGATATCACAAAACCAATGTCTGAGGAAGCTTTGCTTTCTGTCTTGTGCCAGAGGAATGTTAGGAGAGAGGGAAAGAGATATATTCCATGCAGGGAGATCACTTTGGGAGCTTTCCCCAATTATACTCTTTCTTAACTGTGCTATGGGTGGGTGGAGAGGGGAGTAATGGAAACAGAGACGGAACATAATCAGAATTTAATGGAAGAGCTAATATGGGTTTCCTTGAAAATTGTCCTGAAATAGAACTCTCCAAATTATTAATTGAAAGTGATGTGGTCAGTTTGTTAGATCAGCAGACCACAATCAGATATCTGCATCTTGGTGCACCACTCAAGCTGACCAGTGACCTGAGACAAGTCATTAAAATTCCTTATATTCTAATTCCCTAGCAGTATTATCCCAGCATGAGAGAATGTTTGCAAAACATTCTGAGTCTTGGATGAAAGGTACCTTATTATAATAATATTATACTATAATTATTCTTGTTATTGGGGTTATTGTTCTCAACATTGATGCAATTTAATACTTCCTACCTTAGGGATATTTTTGTCTTACAGCAGAATTGTGAAAGTGGCTTTCCTGGGAGATATTCTTTGAAAGACTGGGAAATCTTTCAAATATTTGTTTTAATAATAGCTCATTGAGGAAATGTGAAAACTATGTAATATTAAGGATTATCACTCCTATTTTCTTCTCAATCTAATATCTAGGATATGTTGAAAATACTTTTGTTTCATCTCCTTACAGGGAGCTAGAATGGTTTAGATTGGTGCTTTCCTGGGGTACTGATTTTTTTTTTCCTGTGGAATTCTCTGAACAGGGCTTTCCTCAAAAGAATACATTAAGACTGTCAGAATGATTCTTTTCAGCAGATTAAGCCTTGCAGATGCCCTTTGTTGAAGGAAAAAATGCATTATTCTGAAAGTCCTTCTGATCTTCAGGAAAACTGAAAATATCAAATATTCTCCTACCATTTGAACTTCCCTACAAGAAAACCCCAGATATTTTTATTTTCTGGTCTACAATAATTCAGAGCTTATTGTATTTTAAGATGAGGATATAGACATGTTTTGAAGAAAAATTAACTTTTTACATATTCATTTACTGAAAGGAAGACACCCTTCCCCCCACCCTGGAAAGACAGAAATCATAGTGCTTCGTTTTTATTTTTTTGTTTCCTATTTCTTGCACCTGGACATTTTCCTGGATGAAGTGATGTGTACGGCATAATTATCCTGGGACATAATTGCTTCATGTGTGTCAGCAAGACATGGTTCAGATATTTATTGAGCTCTGGTTGTCTGTGTCCTAAATAAGACCGTGCTATTTCAGGGTTGCAAAAACAACTCCAATGCATTGGAAAAAGCAGAAAGGAGGACATTCCTCAAAAAGAGTTGGTTTCATGGTTTAGAAATCCATTTATTGCTTGCACCGACAGACTGTGCTTGAGTGTGCGAAGGCTCACTTTGATTTATAGGGGCTTATAAAATGCTCTGCTCTTTGTACCCAAAGCCACAGACCTGCTGTGAATAGGGCACGGGCCCTGAGTTTTTCTGGTGGTCAAATTTATAAAACCAAACAATAATCTCTTTGGGAAGCTCCTCAAAGGCGAGCCTGAGTCTGTTAACTTCAGTCTGTACAATGTCTAGCATAGGGCCACATGTTGACGAGCCCTCATAAATGTCCTTGTTGCTGTTGATGAATGAAGGATTGAAACTGGGAATAGCATGTAGGGCACAGGCGTTTGTTTTCCATGACAGATAGGAAGAGAGCTTGTACATGGGGAGGGGATAGATGGGGGGGTCAAGGACATATTTTGGGGGATGCTACTGTATTCTTTAAGAAAAAGGAAAAATGGCTCAAATTATCTTTCAGTAGTGTCATGGCCCTCTGCTAGGAAACTGGTTTATGATTTGAAGGTGTCTGAGACGTTCACTCTGATTACAGTGCAAAGGGTCATTTGCACTCTATGATGCAATGATGGCGGAATTCTGTCTCAACTTTGCTGTCGGCCACTCTGACTAGTGTTTTTTGTTTGTTTGTTTGTTTGTTTGTTTGTTTTTTGAGAGGGAGTCTCGCTGTCACCAAGCTGCAGTGCGATGGCACCATCTCGCTCAGTGCAACCTCTGACTCCCTGGTTCAAGCGATTCTCCTGCCTCAGCCTGCCGAGTAGCTGGGATTACAGGCAAGTGCCACCACGCTCAGCTAATTTTTTTTTTTTTTTTTTTGAGATGGAGTCTCGCTCTGTCGCCCAGGCTGGAGTGCAGTGGTGCGATCTCGGCTCACTGCAAGCTCCGCCTCCCAGGTTCACGCCATTCTCCTGCCTCAGCCTCCCGAGTAGCTGGGACTACAGGCTCCCGCCACCATGCCTGGCTGATTTTTTTTGTGTGTGTGTTTTTAGTAGAGACGGGGTTTCAGTGTGTTAGCCAGGATGGTCTCGATCTCCTGACGTCGTGATCCACCTGTCTCGGCCTCCCAAAGTGCTGGGATTACCGGCGTAAGCCGCCGCACCCGGCCATTTTTTTGTATTTTTAGTAGAGATGGGGTTTCAACATGTTGGCCAGGATAGTCTTGATCTTCTGACTTCATGATCCACCCGCCTCTGCCTTCCAAAGTGCTGGGATTACAGGCATGCACCACCACACCCAGCTTACTCTGACTAATCTTTTATTTCAGTCCCTTCCCCTTCCCTTTCTCCCTCATTCCCCACTTCCTTTCCTCCCACTTTTCCTTTCTTCCTTCCTCAACTACTTGTTTAAAACCTGTTTCTCTTCTAGGCTATAAAGATCCCGTTTCCTTCCCATAGCTGAAGACCATTTAGGGAAGGTGGAAGTACATGCCTATAATCCCAACTACTTAGGAGACAGAGGCAGAAGGATCACTTGAGCCCGGGAATTTTAGTCCAGCCTGGGCACCATAGCAAGCCTCCATCTCAAAAAAAGAAAGCGTTTTCATATATGAGTAAAGCTGAGGCTTGCTTATGTCCAGAGGGGGAAAGGTTACACATTTTCAAATATACCTGTTGCATTTTCTTACACAGAAAGTGGGATAGCAAATAAATAGAACATCTTGTCTGTAGGATGAATGTAACCTTAAGAAGTATTGCAGTGTGTTATTATTGCTTAAAATGTATTTATTTAAGACCTCTTTGTTGAGAAAATTTCTCAGTTTGGGTGAAAAGATAGAGAATGGAACCAGTATGCAGTAGTTATATTGTTGAGGGAGTCTTGAAGTGGCAAAGAAAATGAAGTATTTCTTTCAAATAGTATTTTGCAACCGAACTGAAATTCCACTCTGCACAAATGTGCCTGCGAAAAGTTACAGTAATTTAGGATTGAAAAACCTGTATGTTGCTAAATTCATAGTTAACCTAATTTTAGTTTTTGCAGAAAAGACGATTTATAGTATGAAGAAATGATAATACTTTTTTAGGAGTTTTCTTTTTTTCTTTTCTTTCTTTTTTTTTTTTTTTTAAAGAGACAGGGTCAGCCAGGTGCGGTGGCTCATGCCTGTAATCCCAGCACTTTGGAAGGCTGAGGTGGGCAGATCCCCATCTCTACAAAAAATATAAAAATTAGCCATGTGTGGTCGCACATGCCTGTAATCCCAGCTACTTGGGAGGCTGAGGCATGAGAATCCCTTAAACCTGGGAGGCGGTGGTTGCAATGATCTGAGATCATGACACTGCACTCCAGCCCAGGCAATAGAGTAAGACTGTCTCAAAAAAAAAAAAAAAAAAAAAAAAAAAAAAGATGGGGTCTCACCATGTTGCCTAGGCTGGTCTTGAACTCCAGGCCTTTAGCAATCCTCCCACCTTGGCCTCTCAAAGTGCTGGAATTATAGGCATGAGCCACTGTACCTGGACTAAAAAAGATTTTTCATGCGAAAATTATGTGATTTTTGGTTACCTTTGTTGTAAAAACATTTTTTCCTTTTTATTTGCTTCCTAGAGCTCTATTCAGTGAGAAGGTTTTATTCTGTGTATTAATCAGCACACACTTCCCATGCACATCTTCTCCTAAAGTGAAGGCCTCCAACCTGAATTTCATCCCTGTCTCCAATCTAATCTTTATCAGGGTGATTTTGACTTCGTCCTACCCTCTGGATGGCAGTGGGGCCACAGGTGGTAACTGTCACTCTTTGAAGCTTCCTCATGTCCATAGGCCTCGGTCCCGGGTCCATTTGTTCTCAGCAGCGGGTTGTGCCCTTTGCATCTGAGCTTGTTCAGTGTCCATAGTCCATGGTGTCCCTCCTCAGGTCTGGCTTTGCTTTGTGGTTCACATGGCTCACAATCCGGCTTGCCCAGGATACTGCCACTGTACCCCTGCTGCTCCACCATAGTTATTCAGAACACCACTTTCCTTCTCTAGTTTCGTTCCTGAGTTATTTCAGGTATTAGTGCAGAGAGGGGCCAGGTTCAGCTTGGGTGTTACTTTATTTTTTAATTTTTAATTTTTTAAAAATTTATCATTATTTTTTAGACAGAGTCTCGCTCTGTCACCAGGCTGGAGTGCGATGACGCGATCTTGGCTCACTGCAACCTCCACCTCCCGGGTTCAAGCAATTCTCCTGCCTCAGCCTCCTGAGTAGCTGAAATTACAGGCGCCTGCCACCACACCCGGGTAATTTTTAGTAGAGACGAGGTTTCACCATGTTGGCCAGGCTGGTCTCAAACTCCTGACCTCATGATCCACCCGCCTCGACCTCCCAAAGTGCTGGGATTACAGGAGTGAGCCCGCGCCTGGCTGCCCAGCTAATTTTTTTTGTATTTTTAGTAGAGACGGGGTTTTGCCATGTTGGCCAGGCTGGTCTCGAACTCCTGACCTCAGGTGATACACCCACCTCAGCCTCCCAAAGTGCTAGGATTACAGGCGTGAGCCACCGTGCCTGGCCTTGAGTGTTACTTTAAATCTAATATTGTTGTATTGGGGTAGAGGTAGAGAAACCATTGCCTGTAGTAACTTAGTAACAATGGGTCTATATTAGTAGGGTTCTGATCTGGGAAGAGGATATCAATTATTTACTTAATAGATAATCATTTACCACCTATTTTGTGTCAGATACAGTTCCAGGTCCTGGGAATTATAGAAGTCAAGAAAACAGAGTCAGGGCCCTAAAGAAGCATGCATTTTGGCAAGAGACAGTGGCAATAATAATAATAAAAAAAGATATAATTTAATGTCGGGTAACAATAAATGCTGTAAAGAAAGCATAGCATGGAGATAGAGAAGTTGCTGCAAGAGCTGTTTTAGAGGGGGCGGCCAGGGACAACTTCTGAAGAAGGGACACTTGAACCATCGTCACAGTCATCTAGATAGATCACAGTCATCTAGATAGATCTTGTGCAACGGGAAGGCCTCTTCGTATTCCCTCTAAGCTCATAGAGGATCGTGAAAAGTCTGTGGAATCTTACTGGGGATAGGACAGTAATTTACACAGTGCTATGGCGATTTGTTTTGTATGTATTATCTTCAGCTGCTGGGAACTTGCTTTCCATAGTCCATCTCTAGCCATCTCCAGTCCCAACAATCCTACAGCCTACATTTGCTGTTTGGTATATTACCCAGATCACGTTTTCAGTCACTTTATTTTTTTATGTATTTATTTATTTTTTGAGATGGGGTTTTTCTCTTGTTGCCCAGGTTGGAGTGCAATGGCGCGGTCTTGGTTCACTGCAACCTCTGCCTTTGAGGTTCAAGCGACTCTCCTGCCTCAGCCTCCCAAGTAGCTGGGATTACAGGTGCCCGCCACCATGCCCGGTTAATTTTTGTATTTTTAGTAGAGATGGGGTTTCACCATATTGGGCAGGCTGGTCTCGAACTCATGACCTCAGGTGATCTCCCTGCCCCTGCCTCTCAAAATGCTGGGATTACAGGTGTGAGCCACCATGCCCAGCCGTTTCAGTCACTTTAAAAGTTCTAAGAGGTATGGAGAGAGAGGGGCATTTTAGAACATGGAGCCGCACAGCTATAGAATGTGTCCTGGCGCTGTTCCCTGTCCGTCATGTGGCTCTGTAGGAAGAAGACATTCTGGGAAATTCTATGCTCCAGGTCCTAGCTTGGAGCCTCCCTCCCTCTGTGAGGTTTGCAACATTTCCTGAACCTTAGAGAGTAAAGGGAAATGTGCTCCTATATCCAGAACTTCCAAATGTAAGTGTTTGCCAAGTGCTTTGCAATCTGCCTTTCCATAATTTCTCTCATTATCTCTGTGATGGGATTTATCATGCTGTACTGCACTTTACTGAGTAAATGTAGGGACAGATGGAGGTGGCAGACTGGAGGAGAAGAGCAAGAGATGACATTGAGCTGGGAGCTCTTCACAGGAATGGTCCGTCTGTGGGCTTCCTGGGGGGTGAGGAGGGGGGACAAATATGTGATTGGCACATGGTATTGCCATTCAGTAACACCTGTGGCATGAATAAGCTACCTAGGGTGAAGGTGAGCTGCTGTTTCGAAGTTTTGAATACAATTATATTTTAAATTAATGAAGAGATCCTGGCACTGAGGAGGTTGAAATCCTTTTGCATGGTGGATTTTCTGGATCTGAATTTTATAAGGAATTTTTTTTTAAATAGCATTGAAAGATTTTTAGTAGATGAAGACAACATGCGTAGTAAGGTGGCCATTATATGGTGAGTCAGTTCACTATGCCCTAGGATTTGAATTGCTGTTAAGTTTTGGATGTTGTAACTGACTGCTGGTTGGTCTGTTCCTATTTTTGCTGCTGTTGTTCATCCATCCAACCATGCATCTGTGCATCCATCTGTCCATTCATTCATCCATTCATCCATTTATCCATCCATCCACCCACCCACCCATCCATCCATCCACCCACCCACCCACCCACCCATCCATCCATCCATCCATCCATCCATCCATCCATCCATCCACCTCTCCACCCATCAATCTGTCCACTCATTTCTATTACTTACTAGTAGTGTGATTATTTTCTTCATCTCACTTGGACTCAGTTTTCTTCATCTACAGAATGGTGAGTTTTGTCTAGGTTATTGAAAGGGTCCTGTTAATTCTAGAATCCTAAGATTCTTACCATTTGATTACAGTTTGTGCAAGACAATTGGAAAGAATACAAACATGAATTAAACATGGGTTCTGCCCTCCAAAAGCACATTGTCTGGTAGGCGTGCTGACATAGAAACATGGCACAAATGTGAGTAGAGAATGACCAAGTACCAAACACAGCTGCGGTTAATGTGTGCGATGGGAATTTCAAGAAATTCAAGAAATTTGGCTGCAGATGTTAAGGAAGGCTTCAGAAGGAAGGTGGCATTTATGTTTGAGTAGAGCAAACTGACATGTATTAACATCATCAGTTGATTAGCATCCTCATTTCATTTAATGTTCACAGTAGTGTATGGTCTTCACTTTACTATCCCCATTTAGCAGATGAAGAAACTGAGGCAGAAAAGGAGATTAAGTAACTGGCCCAAAGCCACCCAGCTGTATTGTGGCAGAGTTGTGATTAAGAGGATGTCTGTCAACCCCCTTTCATCCTTTTGTCTTAAAAAATCGAGTCAGTAGGCCGGGTGCGGTGGCTCACGCCTGTAATCCCAGCACTTTGGGAGGCCGAGGCAGGCGAATCACCTGAGGTCCGGAGTTCGAGACCAGCCTGACCAACATGGTGAAACCCCGTCTCTACTAAAAATACAAAATTAGCCGGGTGTGCTGGCGCATGCCTGTAATCCCAGCTACTCCAGAGGCTGAGGCAGGAGAATGGCTTGAACCTGGGAGGCGGACGTGCTGTGAGCCGAGATCGTGCCATTGCACTCCAGCCTGGGCAACAAGAGTGAAACTCCGTCTCAAAAAAAAAAAAAAAAAAAATCGAGTCAGTAGAGAGATGAGGATTGCAGGATTCCTCCCTTTCCCTCCCCTCCACTCCCCTCCGCTCTTTTTTTGAGACAGGGTCTTGCTCTGTCCCCCAGGCTGGAGTGCAGTGCCTCGATCTCAGGTCACTGTAACCTCCGCCTCCTGGACTCAAGCTATCCTCTCACCTCAGCCTCGTGAGTACCTGGGATCACAGGCATGCACCACCATGCCCAGCTAATTTTTGTATTTTTTTGTAGAGATGGAGTTTTGCCATGTTGTCCAGGCTGGTCTCAAACTCCTGATCTCAAGTGATCCTCCTGCCTCAGCCTCCCAAACTGTTGGGATTACAGGCGTAAGCCACTGCACTTGGCCCAGGATATTTCAGGTGAAGAAGACCATCAGTGCCCTGGCACAACGAGGTGGAAGTGCCCTGTGTACCTGAGAAACAGCACAGACTTCGGTGGCGCTGGAGCACAGTGTCCCTTAATGGCAGCAGTGGAAACCGAGCCTGGGATGACAGCTTGGGATTCGAGGAGGCTTTTTATTGTCTGACTACAGGGTCTGGTCTTTATTTGGCCCAGATGGAGACTTTGTGCAGGGTGGAGACATGATCAGAGGAGTACATTTCAGGATGTTTATGACTCTAAGACCTTCTTATGATTCCAACATCCTTTCATGCTCCTAAGCTCTTCCATGTGATGCTGAGGAAACTCCCCTCCCCTCCCCAGATGTCTCCTGCAGCCTCAGCCCTTGAGCATTTTCATCTCTGGGTTTCTGTGCTAAGGAACTCAGGGCCCTGGCTTCCCATCCTACCATTCTGAACATCAGCACCTTTAAAAAAAACCCCTCTCAATTCTTGGGATTCTGAGAAGAAAACTCCTTCATCTTCCCCTTTCTGCTCTTTCCTAGATTTTAACCTAACTTCAGCTATTTCAGAACGTTTTCTGTTCAATAAATGAATAATTAGATCTTCTTGGGCTTTGCCAGTGAAAAATATACCATAATATTTAGATTAAAACAGTGTAATGACTACACTAGCAAAATACACCCCGGTTACATGATGAATTCCTCCTTTTCATTTTTATTTGTGGTATCCTGGGGTGGCCTACTGGAGAAAAAAATACTATTTGATCCTCCCTGGGTGGTCAGACAGGACTTGTAAAGACTCCTGTTTGTTTTGTGTTGAGGTTTCAAAGGCACGCAGGCTTTTCTACATAAAGATGTTCTAAGAAAATACGGATTTTTTTTTGAAGTTGCTGTGTATAAAGGGAAATTCAAAGCAACCGTCTTCCCTTACAACTACCAGCTAATGTGATTAGAGCGTCTCTTTTCACCAGGCATCTTTGTTGTTACCATCTCTGGTCATTACCACCAGTCTTGAGGGGAGATGTATGCTTACAAAAACCACCTCCACCTGGCTTTATTTTTGGCGCGATCACACAAACATGTGTTTTAATTTTAAAGATTATATTTATTGTCACATTTAGATTTTTTTTAAAAAAACACTAAGAAATCTGAGTGTTGTGTGTGTGTGTGTGTGGTTCAGGATGCACTGGAGGTGTGTGCTGCCACAACAAATTTCAGGCCACGTGTTCTGCAGATTCCAATTAGCAAGGCCCTCCTGCTGTGGTGTGGGAGAAAAGTTTGGAGTGGGGTTAGGGCTGGCTGAGTGTAGGAGGCTTTTTAATGCAATCTTTGCAGAACTCCCTCATTAGCACCTCGAGGTCAGTGGGAACTGGTATACAGAGCACAGTTGGCATTTTCTGCTATGCATGGTGTGTGTCAGCCATTTTATTTATCCATGCTTATTTTCTCCGTTTCATAAAATTAATTGTACTTAATGGGGGAGGGGTTGATAATGCTGAATTATTTTAAGCCTGGAGGGAGCTCAGCAGCTGTGTCCTAGATCAGACCACCGATCTATCTAATAGGTTGTCTTGCTACCGGATCCACTGGACGAATGTGTTTCGCCAATTAGACGAATCCCTATATGGAGAGAAAAATGACCTTGAGCCCCAGAAAGCCAGACAGTTGCTTCGTGCCATGTCTTCACCTACTGAAGCTGCTTCACCGCCTTGGCCTGATAGGAGTGTAGTATATATCTAACCTCTAGACAATTAAATTTCTCCTTTAAAAAAATAGCCACTCTTATGTGAAATAGTCAAATCTTTCATGACTTGCCAAGATACTTGCTTTTGGAATCAGGTGCTTTCGGGTGTAGCCTCTAAAAATTTTAAAGGAGAGCAAATCTTCCAAGCTTCCTTCTTGTATCAAGGCATAACCTGCTGAGGTCCAGGCTGCAGTGATCCATGATCATGCCACTGCCCTCCAGCCTGGGTGACAGGCTGAGACCCTGTCGCAAAAAAAAAAAAAAAAAAAAAAAAAAGACATAACCCCCTGCTATAAAATATATATATGTGTGTATGTGTGTGTGTTTAAGAGGAATATCAGAGAAAGATAAATTTTTAAGTAAAAGGAAATATTATAAGCTAATTTTGTTGGGTATTCTTCTGGGCAATTATTTTATCATCGAATACATTTCCACAAAATGCCAGAATTCTTTTTTTTGAGATGGAGTCTCACCCTGTCGCCCAGGCTGGAGTGCAATGGCGCGATCTCAGCTCACTGCAAACTCCGCCTCCCAGGTTCAAGTGATTCTCCTGCATCAGCCTCCCAAGTAGCTGGGATTACAGGTGCGTGCCTCCACGCCCAGCTAATTTTTGTATTTTTAGTAGAGACGGGGTTTCACCGTGTTGGCCAGGCTGGCTCTTAAACTCTTGACCTCGTGATCCATCCGCCTTGGCCTCCCAAAGTGCTGGGATTACAGGCGTGAGCCACGGCGCCCGGCCCAAATGCCAGATTTCTTTAAAAGATAAGCCTGGGCACAGAAAACAAACTTGATGTATGATAGAATCTTGCACTTTTTAAGTCCTGGAGTTAAAATTTACTGTGGCTTTGGTGTGACTCTACCAGCAACAGGATGGCACTCAGTAGAGGGCACATGGTATAGTGGGAAAACCTCTTGGGGGTCAACCAGGTCCAGATTTTGATCTGTGCCTCTGCTGCTACTAGCTCTGTGACCTTAGGCAAGTTACTGCACACACTTGGCCCCAGTCTCTTTGTAGCCTTCTGCTGCTATTGCTGCTAGCTTCACAAAATCGTTTCAAAGGTTAAATGAAGTAAACTATATAAAATAAATATCTAGGGCTGGGCACGGTGGCTCATGCCTGTAATCCCAACACTTTGGGAGGCAGAGGTGGGTGGATCACCTGAGGTCGGGAGTTCAAGACCAGCCTGACCAACATGGAGAAACCCCGTCTCTACTAAAAATACAAAATTAGCCGGGCGTGGTGGCACATGCCTGTAATCCCAGCTACTCAGGAGGGTGAGGCATGAGAGTCGCCTGAACCCGGGAGGTGGAGGTTGCAGTGAGCTGAGATAGCGCCATTGCACTCCAGCCTGGGCAACAAGAGTGAAACTCCCATCTCAAAAATAAAATAATATATAATATAATAAAATAAATAACATCTAGCTTATATATTAATGTTAGTTCATTTTCTTTTCTTCTCATTACATCCAAGGACTAGTAATTTTCCAAGGGTAGTAATGTTCCATTAATTTTGGGAGTCACTCTGGAGAATCCTGTAAATTTTCCAGATACTGAAATCTAAGCCTACAAAGGCTTAATGACTCTCTTGCAATGCCTTAGGAGTAGCAGAGTTGGTGCCCAAATCGTGCCTCACTGAATGCTTCCAGCTTTACTACAGGTGTGAGGACGACGTAGAATTCTGCACTGAGTCCCTGGCGTGGCTCTAAAACAGTCAAGTGCAGTGACGGTCTTAAGTGTAGAAAACACTCGACTTTCCAGATCTTCTAGGAACCTTCAAAATACACAGAAATGTGTAGTGAAACCTTACCCTACTGTGTCGCCGTCAGTTTACTTTTACAACTTTTGACTCAGTTTCCCTTTCTGTCCCCTAGTACCCTCAGGTGACTACAGATGTGTTAACACCCAGCATGTTCCGGTAGGAGACTTTCTGGATGGGGAAGATTTCCAGGTAAAGGACCACCCTGATTCCCTTCGTGGCTATAGCCTGCTGCCTGCCCTTCCATGGGCTGCCGCAGACTTCCTGATGGCCACTGCTGCCTTCCTCCTTCTCCTTTTTTGCATTGATTGATTGGTTCCTTATCTATGCTATTTTTCTATGATTTTTTGGTATTATTTTTAAGTATTCATACGTGTACACTGTTAATGATATAAAACATGCATGGAGTGGTAAGCCCTAACTTCAGGATAAGGCTTACCCTCTGAGGAGGGAGGCTGGGGCACTTGGCCAATGTCAATTCTGTCTCCAATGTTTTAAACTTTTTTCCCCAATATGTATCTCTTAAAAAGAAGAATTTCTTTCCTTTTCATTTCTTTCTTTCTTTCTTTTTTTTTAAGACAGAGTCTCGCTCTGTTGCCCAGGTTGGAGTGCAGTCCAGCTCACTGCACTGCGATCTCAGCTCACTGCAACCTCCACCTCCCAGGTTTAAGTGATTCTCCTGCCTCAATCTCCCAAGTAGCTGGGATTACAGGTGCGCACCACCATGCCCTGCTAATTTTTGTATTTTTTAGTAGAGTCAGGATTTCGCCATGTTGGCCAGGCTGGTCTTGAACTCCTGACGTCAGTTGACCCGCCAGCCTTAGCCTCCCAAAATGCTTGGGATTACAGGTGTGAGCCACCACACCGGGCCAGAACTCCTTATTTTTATTTAAAACATAACTGTAGTGTCACTTTTGCTCTTAAAACAGTAGTTAAGGCTAGATGTGGTAGCTCACTGAAATCCCAGCACTTTGGGAGGCCAAGGTGGAAAGATCGCTTGAGCCCAGGAGTTTGAGAACCAGCCTGGGCAACACAGCGAGAACCCCATCTCTACCAAAAAAAAAAAAAAAAAAAATATATATATATATATATATATATATATAAAATTTACATTTTTTTTTTTAGCCAGGCATGGTGGCACATGCCTGTAGTTCCAGCCACTTGGTGGGCTGAGGCAGGATCACTTGAGCTCAGGAATTTGAGGCCATAGTGAGTTGTGATTATGCCACTGCACTCTGGCCTAGACGACAGAGCAAGACCCTGTCTCAAAAAACAAAACAAAGAACAACAACAAAAACAACAACAAAATTACCAAGAGCTCCCCGCCAGCCAAAACAAAAAAACATCCTCAAACAGTAGTTAAGTCCTTCATATCAAATATCCAACTAGTGTTCAGTATTCCAATTATAATTGGAATATATTTATATAGAGAGATAGTAACAAAACCAAATTTGTTTGGCATTTCAAATGTTTGAAGATGCCAGAAGTTTAATCTAGAGTAGTGGTTCTCAAAATTTGGTCCTAAGACCAGCAGCATCAGCATCACTTGCGAACTTGCCAGAGACGGAAATCATTAGACCCTACAGCTGACTGAATCAGTGATTCTGGGAGTGTAGTGTTTTAACAAGCCTTCCAGGTGATTCCAATGCGTGGTAGAGTTAAGAGAACTACTGGTCTAAAGGAAAGCAAAATTTTATGCTCTTTACACACCCTATTTTGCATTTGTCTTTGTGTTTAACATCACAGCATGTGCTGAGATGATGTGCTTACACACTTGGGTCACCAAGATGGAGTCCAGCCTTCTATTGCCTTCTAGGGCCTGTGCCAAGCCACCTTCCATTTCTAGCTGTGGAGGGCAGCACACACAGACTGCTGCTGCATTAGGAAGTGTGTAGGAGAGCAGGGAATGGAAGTGGTGATCATGATTTTCTGGAGCAGGACAGAGAGAGTGAAAATAGAGATCTGGGTGTATTTGATGGGGAAATCACCTTCTTTTTTAAAAAGCATACTTACAAAGTTGTGGTCCTCAACTGCTGGCAGCACAGTCGAATCACTCCAGAGGGCTTTGAAAGACACTGGTGCCCTGGCCTGACCCCAGGAAATTCTGGTTTCAATTGGGTTGTGGGTGGGGTTAGGGGTGGTCCCAGCAACAGCAAGATTTAAAGGTGCTTCAGGTGATTCTAATTGCAGTCATGGTCCAAAACCACTGGGAAAGACTTGTGTTTGGTTTGGGATTCAGTTGGGAAACTAAGATGAAAATATCCTGCAAGAATGCACTCGGGGGTCTTACCCTTCAAACGAGTAAGTACTTTGCAAACTCTGGTTCTTAAGCCATTAGCGACCTGGTTTGGGGGAGTTTTTTTCTGCCATCTCTAGCTTTTTTTGTTGTTTTGAGCTACTGCTGACTCTTTCTGCAGTATTTCCGGCTAGTTTTTGTCTAGGTAAGGAGATTTGAATATGGTTTGTCTACTCACTTGTAGGTGTCTTGGGCAGAATATGCATTTTTTAAAGTATACAAATGACACCCTCTTTCACCTCCTTCATTCTCTTTCCTGTAAATGGCTATAGCTCCAGGAAATGAACTCGAGAGACTGATACTACATTTTGCAATGTGAGGCTTTTTAATTTTTCTAAGACTATCAACGAGACCAGAGCCTTCCTTGCAGTCTCCGAAATTATGGAAAGGAAAGGTTGGGCTGTATTTGTTGGTTGAGTGTTGAAATAGTCCATGGAAAAAGGAAAGGGAAACAAGTTCTACTACTGATTTTCTTGGCAGAGTTTATCACCTGTCCCCCCCAAGTTTCTGGCAAGTGTGATTAGAAATTGACTTGCAGGATTTGCTCACACTGGCTTCCCAAGACAGTTTTTGCTTGCATGCTGCTGACTAGCAGTAGTTAATTTGCTATCTTTCACATGTGTTATCCAAAAATCACAGAACTCATTAGAAATAAACAGCATGGGCTGGGCGCGGTGGCTCATGCCTGTGATCCCAGCACTTTGGGAGGCCGAGGCGGGTGGATCCCGAGGTCAGGAGTTCGAGACCAGCCTGGCCAAGATGGTAAATCCCTGTCTCTACTAAAAATACAAAAATTAGCTGGGCGTGGTGGTGGGCACCTGTAATCCCAGCTACTTGGGAGGCTGAGGCAGAGAATTGCTTGAACCCAAGAGGTAGAGGTCGCAGTGAGCCGAGATCACGCCACTGCACTTCAGCCTCTGCAACAGGGCGAGACTCTGTCTCAAAAAAATAAATAAAATAAACAGCATGAATTTGGTTGGTCATATTTGCAGGATTAGCCAGATGTAAATCTGAGTTGCACTTGGGAGGTTTGGTGGGCTTCATTTAAAAACAAATAGAACCCCAGCCTTGAGTAGAAGCAGATTTTTTTAAAAAATGAAATATCTTACTGGAAAACAAACCTTATTTTTCCAATAGAAAATATGGGGAAGAAGTAAGCTTTTTTTGGTGCCAATATTTATTTTATTTCATGCCCTTCTTGCTGATGGCAGATGTGGCAGAAATAAATACCCAATTTCATTTTCCAAAATGGGAAAAATTTAATCAATTCAAGAATTTATTTATTCTTAATTTATAGCAGAGGTTTGAAACCTGACTGGTTAAAGTATTTAATATGCCTCTTAGGAAAATAAACATACATTTATGTATTTCCCAAACCATTTTGTGGAATAATCACCACACAATGGGTTATTGAAGAGGTGTGTTGGCCTTGAGGCTGTCTAATTCTTAGGCCTTTTGAAAAGTGTTTAAGAGATATTGAAAAAGTTTTTTTTCATGTGATTACAATATACGATTTGTGTGATTGGAAAATTTCTGTTTTCTGTTGATATGCAAACTCACTGCCAGCAATACCAAATATTCATATGCCACCTGCTTCCTTTTTTTTTTTTTTGAGATGGAGTCTCGCTCTGTCACCCAGGCTGGCACCATCTCGGCTCACTGCAACCTCCGCCTCCTGGGTTCAAGCGATTCTTCTGCCTCAGCCTCCCGAGTAGCTGGGACTACAGGTGCGAGCCACCATGCTTGGCTAATTTTTGTATTTTTAGTAGAGACCTGGTGTCACCATATTGGCCAGGCTGGTCTCGAACTCCTAGACCTTGTGATCCACCCAGCCTTGGCCTCCCAAAGTGCTGGGATTACAGGCGTGAGCCACCATGCCCGGCCATATGTCACCTGTTTCTAATCCCAACAAAACCTGTACTCAGAATGAATTAAACAAACAAACAAACAAAAAAAACCCTTACCTTTGAAGAACCAAAAAAGGAATTCAAATTTTATTGAAACTTTTTGTGTTTATCCTTTTAGATCACACTAAATCAGATGAGTACACAAATGCCAAGGAATTGACTCTTACAAGTAGAGATGATGTTTCATGCAGACACATGAGTTAAAGGTGTGCTAGAAACTTCCCATGAGCTGATTTTGATCATTCTTTGCTCTAGTACCCCCAAAGCTTAGCTTAATACTTAATTATATATCATACTACCTTCTCTCTCTCTCTCTCTCTGTGTGTATGTATTATTTTCCACCAAAATGGCTATTTGTAACCTGCCATAGTAAAAGGTCTGCTTATTCAAGACCAGGACAAGACTTTCCATTGTCTTGTCTTTCTGCCCATGACACCATTCATTTTTCTCTTCTTCAGCATTGAGATGAGATTTATAATGCATCGTCCTACCATTTTCTAGGCATAAAGATAATTTGCCTGGTTAGCTTTTATTTAGTGATTCAAAAGAAATAGATGATCAGATCTGGCAGCGACTGACTTTTCACGATTCATTGCTGAAGGCTTTATTCTATGAAGACCTTTGTTGCTGAAGGTATGAAGGATGTGGTAGTAATGGAAAGTATTTTACTGATCTTTTATTTCCTTTTAAATTTTTTGAGACAGAGTCTCGCTCTGTCATCCACGTTGGAGTGTGGTAGCGTGATCTCAGCTCACTGCAACCCCTGCCTCCTGGGTTTAAGCACTTCTCCTGCCTCAGCCTCCCGAGTAGCTGGGACTACAGGCGTCTGCCACCCATGTCTGGCTAATTTTGTATTTTTAGTAGAGACAGGGTTTCACCATATTGGCCAGGCTGGTCTCGAACTCCTGACCTTGTGATCTGCCCACCTCGACCTCCCAGAATGCTGGGATTACAGGCATGAGCCACTGCGCCCGGCACTGATCTTTATTTCTAAAGAGCTTTTCTCCCCTTGCAGGATCTTTGGTGTCAAGATACTATAAAATTCCAGTAAATATGGCTGCAAGGAAGGGTAAAGAGAAAGAAAGAGAGACAAAATAAAGTACCAGAAGCAAATAGTCCTTTCCATATTCATGTCACGTCCGTAAGATTCAAGAAACGGATATTGAAGTGGAAGAACCAGACTTTCTCTTCATTCCTATGATCTAATTAAATGTATTTTCACTTAAAAAAGGATAACAATATTAGATCTTAATGGGATTAACCTAACTGAAATTTATTTGACTTTGCCTTGACCATAAAGATTATGAAGGATCCAAGTTTCATTTTGTGATGGTAGTTTCAGGTCTGTAATTTTTGCTACATTCCATTCCTGTTGCTGTTCTACTTAAAATATCAGTTATCGGCCGGGTGTGGTGGCTCACACCTGTAATCCCAGCACTTTGGGAGGCAGGGGCGGGGGTGGATCACCTGAGGTCAGGAGTTCAAGACCAGCCTGGCCAAGATGGTGAAACCCCATCTCTACTAAAAATATAAAAATTAGCTGGGCGTGGTGGCAGGTACCTGTAATCCCAGCTACTCGGGAGGCCGAGGCAGGAGAATTGCTTGAACCCGGGAGGCGGAGGTTTCAGGGAGCGGAGATTGTGCCACTGCACTCCAGCCTGGGGGACATGAGTGAGACTTTGTCTCAAAAAAAAAAAAAATCAGTTATCAGACAAAACTTGTGTGTTGTATGGCGGAGACTTAGAATAGACTAGAGTTTGAGTATTTTTCTTTTTTAAGTTTTGGAGATGTTAACTCTTACTGTTTTTATACTGAAGTGAAGTCTGTTAAGTTAAAGAGGAACCTTTCTTTTATTTTCTGTGTTTTTTGGTTTCTTTTTTCTTTTTTTTGGTCAGTTTCTTAGGGTTTCTCTTGCTTGGAATTATCTAGATGAACTGTTTCTTGAGTCCAGCTTCAGACTAGAGTTTGAGTATTTTTCCCTTTAACTTTTTGAGATGATTAACTCTTACTCTGTTTTTATACTGAAAGGAATCTCTTTAGCTAAAATAAAGAGGAATCTTTCTTTTATTTTCTGTGTTTCTTGGTTTCGTGTGTGTGTGTATGTGTGTGTGTGTTGCGCCAGTTTCTTAGGGTTTCTCTTGCTTGGAATTGATGAAATGCTTCTGAGTCCAACTTCATTGATAACTACCTACTCCTCCCTTTCCTTTGTATGTGTTACAGGATTTCAGTAATACATATTTTTTATTGTGGTGAAGTATACATAATATAAAATTATCATTTAAGCCATTTTTAAATGTACACTTCATTGGCATTAAATACACTCATATTGTTGTGTGCAATTGTTGCCACTATTATCTTTTGAAAGTTTTCATCTTCCCTCTCACTCATAAGTGGGAGTTGAACAATGAGAACACATGAGAGGGGAACATCACACTCCGGGGCCTGTCCGGTGGGGTGGGGGTAGGGGAGGGATAGCATTAGGAGAAACACCTAATGTAGATGACAGGTTGATGGGTGCAGCAAACCACCATGGCACGTGTATACCTGTGTAACAAACCTGCACGTTCTGCACACGTACCCCAGAACTTAAAGTATAATAAAAAAAAAAATAAAGTTTTTATCTTCCCAACCTGAAACTCTGTACCCATTAAACACTAACTCTTCATTCTTCCCTCCCCTCAGCCCCTGGCTACCACCATTCCACTTTCTGTGTCTATGAATTTGACTGCTCTAGGTACCTCATGTAAGTGGAATCATGCGGTATTTTTCTTCTTGTGACTGATTTTTTCCACTTAGCGTAATGTCTTCAAAATTCATCCATGTTTTGGCATATGTCAGAATTTCCTTCCTTTGTAAGGCTGAATAATATTCCATTGTATGTATATATCACATTTTGTTTATTCATTCATCTGTTGATGGACACGGGTTACTTCCACCTGTTGGCTATTGTGAATACCTCTATGAACATGGGTATGTAAATATCTGGTCAAGTCCCCATGAAAAGTGTCTTTGTGATTAATTATTATTATTTTTTGAGACAGAGTTTTGCTCTTGTTGCCCAGGCTGGAGTGCAATGGCACAATCTCGGCTCACTGCAACCTCTGCCTCCTGGGTTCAAGTGATTCTCCTGCCTCAGCCTCCCAAGTAGCTGGGATTACAGGCTTGTGCCACCACACCTGGCTAATTTTGTATTTTTTTAATAGATATGAGGTTTCACCATGTTGGTCAGACTGGTCTGGAACTCCTAACCTCAAGTGATCCACCCATCTCAGCCTCCCAAAGTGCTGGGATCATAGGTGTGAATCACTGCGCCCAGCTGTCTTTGTGATTAAGTAAAACACCCTGATGCTGATTTAGATACCGATTTAGCAACTTTAAATATTATGGTATTAATAATAACCATTAATTAATAATAAAGCTTTTTATGTAAAGTGATTGGAATGAGTTTGTCAGGTATGAGTTATAAAGGCCTCCAGAAGCATATGGGGAAGTTAAACACATGGCAATGAGAACTCTTTTAAGAATGCACCTGGCTGGATACCATGACCTGCTTAAGATCTGTGTTTTAGAATCGTCATTGAAAAGAAATGTTGCAGCCAGGCACAATGGCTCATCCCTGTAATCCCAGCACTTTGGGAGGCCGAGGTGGGCAGATCACTTAAGGCCAGGAATTCAAGACCAGCCTGGCCAAGATGGTAAAACCCCCTCTCTACTAAAAATACAAAAATTAGCTGGACGTGGTGGTGGGCACCTGTGATCCCAGCTACTCAGGAGGCTGAGGCAGGAGAATCACTTAAACCCGGGAAGCGGAGTTTGCAGTGAGCCGAGATCACGCCACTGCACCTCAGCCTGGGTAAGAAAGTGAGACTCTGTCTCAAAAAAAAAAAAAGAAAAGAAAAGTTGCTGCATGACAGACATCTGGAAAAGTTAAACTATAAAATGACTTGCAAAATTAACATCCTCTGGTTAACCAAAATCCTCAAAGCAGAGGGCAATCTGGTGTTTGGGATGTGAGTCCTCTCCTCTAGAGGGTCAGGCTTATCGCTTGGAAAGCAGATTAGCACTGCTAGCACACACCACCTAAAGATACGCTTCCCATCCTCACATTCTTGGTGTTTTCAGTGTTTCGTCTTATCTGTTGTATTCTTTCAAATTCCTTAAGCTTAACCACAGACAAGCTCCTTCTTGGAGTTAACACTATTTATCAAGTATATACCGTATGACCAAGCTATATATTACTGCTAGCTGATGTTTATTCATACTTGGCCCATGTTAGGCACTGTTCAGAAGCCCTTTACATGTGTTGTAAGTTATTTAATTATTCCTTATCTCTGTTTGTTTGATATCAGCAAAACTTCATTTTACAAATGATGAAAACGAGACACAGAGAAGTTATCTTGTTCAAGGACATAGGAATTGGCAAAGCCAGAACTTGACCCCAGGGGTCTGACTTCAGACCATGTATCTTTTTCTTTTCTTGTTTTCTTTTTCTTAGAGACAGGGTCTCGCTGTGTTGCCCAGGCTGGAGTGCAGAGCAATCTTGGCTCACTGTAGCCTCAAACTTCTGGGCTCAAGATATCCTCTTGCCTCAGCCTCCCGAGTAGGTGTGTGCCACCACACCTAGCTAATTTTTTTTTTAAATAATTTTTTTGTAGACATGGGGTCTTGCTATGTTGTCCAGGCTGGCCTTGAACTCCTGACCTCGAGCAGTCCTCCTGCCTTGGCCTCCCAAAGTGTTGGAATTATAGGCACGAGCCACTGCACCTGGCCCCCATTTACCTTTGACTGCCATGGCATGCTGACCTGCATTTTACTGTTGATCAAACTTATGAAAACACTCTCTAGAGGATGAATTCTCTTTCTTTCTTTCTTTCTTTCCTTCCTTCCTTCCTTCCTTCCTTCCTTCCTTCCTTCCTTCCTTCCTTCTTTTTCTTTCTTTCTTTCTTTTTTTTTTTGAGACAGAGACTCACTCTGTCACCCAGGCTGGAGAGCAGTGGCATGATCTTGGCCCACTGCAAACTTTGCCTCCTGGGTTCAAGTGATTCTTCTGCCTCAGCCTTCTGAGTAGCTGAGATTACAGCTGTGTGTCATCACACCCGGCTAATTTTTTATGTATTTTTTGTAGAGACGGGGCTTCACCATTTTGGCCAGGCTGGTCTCGAACTCCTGACCTCAAATGATCTGCCCGCTTAGGCCTCCCAAAGTGCTGGGATTACAGGCGTGAGCCACCGTGCCTGGCCTCTAGAGGACAAATCTTTTTAAGGTAAATAACAGAGCTTTTAAAGTCAGGAGTTCTCTGTGTCTCTCTAGGAACCCATGCTGTATTAAATGGCCACAAAGTAGTTTGGAAGTTTAGCATCAAAGGACTAAGGTTTCTTCTGAACACAGTGCCCTTTATTCCACTTTTTAAGGTAAACACACTTCAAAGAAAAGGAAATTTTAAAAAGCCATGCTTTTTTAAGGAATGTAATATATTTTTTAGAACGGTATTATCACTCTTTATGAATTCATATTTGGCAAAGAATTTTCTGGAAATATTAGGAATCAGCCTTACTCAGAAATTTGGTGTTAAAGGTTTGTAAAGAATATCTACTTATGCCCATTCATAATTAACAGGGATTCTTCTTTTTCTTTTAAGGTTAAAAAAATTTTTCTTTTTAATTATTTCAGCTTTATTCAGGTTGAATAAGGGCATTCCAGCCAAGCAAAGTAAGGTGAGGGGTGAGAGGGGTTTCAGGCGGAGAAAAAAAACACGTAAAAGGACACCAAGTTGTAGCATGGTCTGGCCAGCGAACTTTAAATAGGAGGGAAGTCCATTATCATGGAAGGAGCAGGGGCTTCGGGAAAGGTTTAAAAAATTAATTATTCTTGAGTTTTGGTTTTACCCTCTGTGAAAAGAGGTAATTGTTGCTCTTTTGAGGATTAGAAATAATTTTATGTTTGTTTTTTGCTTTTGTTTTTTTTTTTTGAGGCAAGGTCTCACTCTTGTCACCCAGGCTGGAGTGCAGTGGTGCGATCACAGCTCACTGCAGCCTCAAACTCCCAGGCTGACACAATCCTCCTGCCTCAGCTTCCCAAGTAATGAGGACTACAGGCATATGCCACCATGCTCAGCTAATTTTTAAAATTTTTTTGTAGAGATGGTGTCTTGGCTATGTTGCCCGGGTTGGTCTAGAACTCCTGGCCTTATGCAATCCTCCCACTTCGGCCTCCCATATTATTGGGATTATATCAGTACAGGTTTGAGCCACTGTGCCTGGCCAGATAATGTATTTAAGTTGTTCAGCAAAGGACCTGACACGCAGGTTTCCACATTGATATTATCATTATGTTGCTATCAGTTTTTTCTTTTTGACTTTTGATTTGTTTTCCTGAATAATATTACATTACATGGTTCAAAACCCAAAAAGTGTAATGTTCTCTCTTTCGTCTTTGTGCCTCATCTGTCAAGTCCCTTCTTCCCTGTCCCTGCAGGTAACCACTGTCCTGTTTCTGATGTAGCCTGCATTGTCCACTGATGCTCTGTGGGAATATGAGTATCTCTTCTGTATTTCCTGCTTTTACACAAAAGGTAGCATATTGTACGCATGCTTCAGTGTCTTCCTTTTGGTTTTCACTTAACTATACATCTTAGAAATCTTCCCATATCAGTTTATAAGGGGCTTCCTCTTATAAGCGCCATATATATATACACACATATATATATACACACATATATAAATATATATATACATACACATATATAATATATATACACATATATATATACACACATATATAAATATATATATATACATATATATGTGTGTGTGTGTATATATATATATATATATTTTTTTTTTTTTTTTTTTTTTTGGACAGAGTCTCACTCTGTTGCTCAGGCTGGAGTGCAGTGGCGCGATCTTGGCTCACTGCAACATCCGCCTCCCAGGTTCAAGCGATTCTCCCGCCTCAGCCTTCCAAGTAACTGGGATTACAGGTGTCCGCCACTGTGCCCAGCTAATTTATTTTTATATTTTAAGATTCAGGTGGCCAGGCACAGTGGCTCATGCCTGTAATCCCAGCACTTTGGGAGGCCGAGATGGGGAGATAACCTGAGGTCAGGAGTTCAAGACCATCCTGGCCGAGGTGGTGAAACCTCGTCTCTACCAAAATAAAATAAAATAATTAGCCAGGCATGGTGGCTGACACCTGTAATCCCAGCTACTTGGGAGGCTGAGGCAGGAGAATTTCTTGAACCTGGGAGGCCGAGGTTGCAGTGAACCAAGATCATGCCATTGCACTTCAGCCTGGGAGACAAGAACAAAACTCTTGTCTCAAAAAAAAAAAAAGATTCACAGGTAGTTGCAGTATAGTCCAGACAGTTCCCATGTGCCTTCACTCAGCATCCACCAATGTAACACCTTACATAACCTTAGTACATAGTCAAAACTAGGAAATTGGCTGGGTGTGGTGGCTCACGCCTGTAATCCTAGCACTTTGGGAGGCCGAGGCGGGCGGATTGCCTGAGTTCAGGAGTTCGAGAACAGCCTGGGCAACACGGTGAAACCCCGTCTCTAATAAAATACAAAAAATTAGCTGGGCGTGGTGGCATGTGCCTGTAGTCTCAGCTACTCAGGAGGCTGAGGTAGGAGAATTGCTTGAACCCAGGAGGCAGAGGTTGCAGTGAGCCGAGATCATGCCACTGCACTCCACCTTGGGTGACAGAGCGAGACTCCATCTCAAAACAAAAAAATAAACAAAAACAAAACAAAAAAAAAACCACTAGGAAATTGACATTGGCATAATGCCATTAACTCAGGTAAGAGACCTTATTTAGATTTAACCGATTTTTACATGCATTCTTTTTTTGGAAGGGGGTGTAGATTTTTCTTTTTTTCTTTTTTTTTTTTCCCCTTTTCTGTTTGGCTTATGTAATGTAGCATGTTTTTAAGGTTCATGCAAATTACAGCATGTTTCAGAGCTTCATTCCTTTTTATGTCTGAATTAATATTCATTATACATATATACTATATTTTGCTTATCCATTCATCAGTTGATAGACACTTGGGTTGGTTCCACCTTTAACTAGTGTGAATAATGCTGCTATGAACATTGGTGGACAAGTTTCTGTTTGAGTCTCTGTTTTCAAGTATTTTGAGTATATACCACTGAGGAGTGAAATTGCTGGGTCATCTAGTAAGTCTATATTTAAGTTTTTGAGGAACCACCAAACTATTTTCCACAGCAGCCCACCATTTTATATTCCCACCAGCAATGCCCAAGGGTTCCAACTTATCCACATTCTAACTAACACTGGTTTTCTTTCTTTTTTTTTTTTTTTTTTTTACAGTTTCAACTATTAATTCAACACCTTAGTGAACACCTGCTCAGTGCGGGCATTATTATGTGTTAACTAGAGGTTTTTTTTAAATTTTTTTTATTTTTATTTTTTTTATTGATCATTCTTGGGTGTTTTTGGGGGATTTGGCCGGGTCACAGGACAATAGTGGAGGGAAGGTCAGCAGATAAACAAGTGAACAAAGGTCTCTGGTTTTCCTAGGCAGAGGACCCTGCGGCCTTCCGCAGTGTTTGTGTCCCTGGGTACTTGAGATTAGGGAGTGGTGATGACTCTTAAGGAGCATGCTGCCTTAAAGCATCTGTTTAACAAAGCACATCTTGCACCGCCCTTAATCCATTCAACCCTGAGTGGATACAGCACATGTTTCAGAGAGCACAGGGTTGGGGGTAAGGTCACTGATCAACAGGATCCCAAGGCAGAAGAATTTTTCTTAGTACAGAACAAAATGAAAAGTCTCCCATGTCTACCTCTTTCTACACAGACACGGCAACCATCCGATTTCTCAATCTTTTCCCCACCTTTCCCCCCTTTCTATTCCACAAAACTGCCACTGTCATCATGGCCCGTTCTCAATGAGCTGTTGGGTACACCTCCCAGACAGGGTGGTGGCTGGGCAGAGGGGCTCCTCACTTCCCAGTAGGCGCGGCCGGGCAGAGGCGCCCCTCACCTCCCGGACGGGGCGGCAGGCCGGACGGGGGGCTGACCCCCCCCACCTCCCTCCCGGACGGGGCGGCTGGCCGGGCAGAGGGGCTCCTCACTTCCCAGTAGGCGCGGCCGGGCAGAGGCGCCCCTCACCTCCCAGACGGGGCGGCTGGCCGGGTGGGGGGCTGACCCCCCCACCTCCCTCCCGGACGCGGCGGCTGGCCGGGCGGGGGGCTGACTCCCCCACCTCCCTCCCGGACGGGGCGGCTGGCCGGGCAGAGTGGCTCCTCACTTCCCATAGGGGCGGCCGGGCAGAGGCGCCCCTCACCTCCTGGACGGGCGGCTGGCCGGGCGGGGGGCTGACCCCCCCATCTCCCTCTCTCCCCGACGGGGCGGCTAGCCGGGCGGGGGGCTGACCCCCCCACCTCCCTCCCGGACGGGGTGGCTGGCTGGGCAGAGTGGCTCCTCACTTCCCAGTAGGGGCGGCCGGGCAGAGGCACCCCTCACCTCCTGGACGGGGCGGCTGGCCGGGCGGGGGGCTGACCCCCCCACCTCCCTCTCTCCCGGACGGGGCGGCTAGCCGGGCGGGGGGCTGACCCCCCCACCTCCCGCCCGGAGGGAGCGGCTGGCCGGGCAGAGAGGCTCCTCACTTCCCAGTAGGGGCGGCCGGGCAGAGGCGCCCCTCACCTGCCGGATGGGGCGGCTGGCCGGGCGGGGGGCTGACCCCCCCACCTCCCTCCTGGACTGAGCGGCTGGCCGGGCAGAGGGGCTCCTCACTTCCCAGTAGGGGCGGCCGGGCAGAGGCGCCCCTCACCTGCCGGACGGGGCGGCTGGCCGGGCGGGGGGCTGACCCCCCCACCTCCCTCCCGGACGAGGTGGCTGCCGGTAGGAGACGCTCCTCACTTCCCAGACGGGGTGGCTGCTGGGCGGAGGGGCTCCTCACTTCTCAGACAGGGCGGTTGCCAGGCAGAGGGTCTCCTCACTTCTCAGACGGGGCGGCCGGACAGAGATGCTCCTCACATCCCAGACGGGGCGGCAGGGCAGAGGTGCTCCCCACATCTCAGATGATGGGCGGCCGGGCAGAGATGCTCCTCACTTCCCAGATGTGATGGCGGCCGGGAAGAGGCGCTCCTCACTTCCTAGATGGGATGGCGGCCGGGCAGAGACGCTCCTCACTTTCCAGACTGGGCAGCCAGGCAGAGGGGCTCCTCACATCCCAGACGATGGGCGGCCAGGCGGAGACGCTCCTCACTTCCCAGACGGGGTGGCGGCCGGGCAGAGGCTGCAATCTCGGCACTTTGGGAGGCCAAGGCAGGCTGCTGGGAGGTGGAGGTTGTAGCGAGCCGAGATCACGCCACTGCACTCCAGCCTGGGCACCATTGAGCACTGAGTGAACGAGACTCCGTCTGCAATCCCGGCACCTCGGGAGGCCGAGGCTGGCGGGTCACTCGCGGTTAGGAGCTGGAGACCAGCCCAGCCAACACAGCGAATCCCCGTCTCCACCAAAAAAATACGAAAACCCGTCAGGCGTGGCGGTGCGCGCCTGCAATCGCAGGCACTCGGCAAGCTGAGGCAGGAGAATCAGGCAGGGAGGTTGCAGTGAGCCGAGATGGCAGCAGTACTGTCCAGCTTCGGCTCGGCATCAGAGGGAGACCGTGGAAAGAGAGGGAGAGGGAGACCGTGGGGAGAGGGAGAGGGAGAGGGAGGGGGGTGTAGATTTTTCTACAAAATTTTGTTATCCTTGTAGATTCAAGTAGCCATCACTGCAATTGGGATACAGAACTGTTCCAGCATGACCAAGAAATTCCCTTCTGCTACTTTTTGTTTGCATTTTTGAGACAGGATCTTGCTCTGTCGCCCAGCCTAGAGTGCAATGGTGCGATCATGGCTCGCTGCAGCCTGCAGCCTGGAACTGCTGGACTCAAGCAATCCTCCCATGTCAGCCTCCCAAATAGCTAGGGCTACTGCCACCACATTCATCTAATTTTCTATTTTTTATAGAGACAGAGTCTTGCTATGTTGCCCAGGCTGTTCTTGAACTCCTGGCCTCAAGTGATCCTCCTGTCTCAGCCTCCCAATGTGCTGAGATTACAGGTGTGAGCCACCACACCTGATCCTCTTCTGCTGCTGGTTAATAGTTACACGCTTTTCCTAATGCTAATCACTGACAACTACTGATTAATCCACACATTTTATGTGTGCCTACTTTTAGAAAACCCAGCCAAACATCATACCTTCCTAGGTGCAAGAATCCTATTTCCAACTTTTAAAATTCCCTATGGGCCTGAGTACTTAATGGGTGCTTAATAATGACTCCTTGAAACACTAAGTAAAAAAAAAAAAATAGAACTCAGAGCTGAAAAACATATGAATCAAGATAATTTACAAAACAATAAAAAAGTTAAGACTACTTTCTTAAATATGAGCTCTTCAGGTTGACTAAGTGACGATTTATAATTTCTTTTCAGGGAGTCAGTACACCTAAAAGTGCTAATGATCTGAAATAAAGCTTCTCTAAAACATAACTTTTTTTCAAAGCAATTCTACTAATATCTTTTCCTTTAATGACCTCTGTGATGTTGGTATGATGAAGTTTGTTATCCCTAGCTGATAGAGTAGGACACTGAGACTAAGAGAGGAAAGAAAGGCCAGGCGTGGTGGCTCACACCTGTAATCCCAGTACTTTGGGAAGCCGAGGCGGGTGGATCACCTGAGGTCAGGAGTTCGAGACCAACCTGGCCAACATGGTGAAATCCCCATCTCTACTAAAAAAAAAAAAAAAAAAAAGTACAAAAATTAACTGGGCATGGTGGCAGGTGCCTATAATCCCAGCTACTTGGGAGGGTGACACTGGAGAATCGCTTGAACCCAGGAGGTGGAGGTTGCAGTGAGCCGAGGTCGCACCACTGCGTTCCAGCCTGGGTGACAGAGTGAGACTCTGTCTAAAAAAAAAAATAAGAAGAAAAAATAATAAAAAAAGAGAAGAAAGAAAGCTAACAGTGAGTACCAAAGATGGCTATTTCAGTAGGTTCTTCTAACAGCCATGTGAGGTGGACGTTGTTATTTCCATTTCAAAGAAGAGAATGTGGACTCTCTGAGGTTCAATAACTTGCCTGTGGTCAGTTTATATCAGAGACAAGATTCCAGATCCCACATTCTCACCCTCACTCCACAATGAATGTTTTCCTCAAGAATAAAAGTCAAATAATTCAGGCCAGGCATAGTGGCTTATGTCTGTAATCCCAGTACTTTGGAAGGCTGAGGCAGGATTGCTTGAGCCCAGGAGTTTGAGACCAGCCTGAGCAATAGAGTGAGATCTTGTCTCCACAAAAAATAAGACAAATTAGTTGGGTGTGGTGGCACACGCCTGTAGTCCCAGCTACTCCGGACACAGGAGGATTGATTGAGCCTGGGAGGTAGAGGCCGCAGTGAGCTGTGATCACACGCCACTGCACTTCAGCTCAGGTAACAGAGAGAGACCCTGTCTTAAAAAATAAAGACAGGGTCTTTAAATAAGTAAGTTACGTAAGAATTCAGGTTGCTTGTCTCTGCCCCCTGTTTTTAAAAAAGTGTCAGTGGTAGTGGTGTTTTAGTACATTACCTACTTATAAAGGATAATATACTATAATAGTTCATAAAAGTGGTTGAGGGCTTTGAAGTTAGCCAGACTTCTCTCCAAGTACCAGCTCGGCCACCCTCTAGCTTTGTGGACTATGGATGTGTTGTTTTATTTATTGAAGCCTCGTGGACTCATCTATAAAATAGAGAACCTGGTTGTTCTCCATCAGGTTGAGGGAATTCAATGGAATGAAACCTGGAAAGCACTTAGCAGAGTGCCTGGTATGTACCAGTCATTCAATAAACAGCAGCCATTAGTGTATATGAATCTTTCATTTTATGGACTTTCCACTGCTGAGATCAAAATACAAGCAAATAAATACTTAGATTGTGTTATGTGCAAAGCCACATACTATTGTTGGAATTAATGGAGGGACACAGTGATTTTTTTTTTGGACTTAAAAATACTTGTTGAAATTTAGAATGCCATCTTGTCTATAAATTTTTTTAATTCATCAGTTAAGTTACTCTATTTTCAAATTGAAAGGCTGCCAATTTTTTTTTTTTTTCAAAATTCCTGATTTTGGTTTTAAATGAGTGGATTTTCCAAAAATGAAGGATTTGAATTAGATCTTACTAAGGTGCTGGTGACCCCATCTCTCTTTCATTTACCTGACATATTCATTTCCTGAGAAATGGTCAGGTGGAGAGGCAGCTGATACGGATTTTTGTGTGTGTGGTGGGAGTGGGGGTGCTCGCTGCATACAGCTTTTGCTAATATTAAAAGATAATTGCGTACACTCAA
This sequence comes from Homo sapiens, assembly GCF_000001405.40. NCBI lineage: Eukaryota > Metazoa > Chordata > Mammalia > Primates > Hominidae > Homo > Homo sapiens. Next base: position 21,801,066 of record NC_000006.12, read on the forward strand.
CAGGCATTGCAATTGCAGTCACATTCTCCTGTCGTCCAGGGAATGGCACTCGGCTCTGCCTAGCATGATGTTTGTTTGTTTAGGGCGAGACTAATGGTTGAGGTATTTGTGAGAAGCATTTGTATCATAGTGACAGACTGCAGGGCGCTCTTTCCTGTGTTACAGATTGCTAGGAAATTGGATAGGACCTCCTGAGATATTCTATCCCATGCCTTCCCTCAAGACAAGCCTGTGACATACATGAGAATAGCGGTGGGGGTGGGGTGGAGAGTCAGGGACCCTGTGGGAGTGAGCTGCGTATCCCATACGGCCTGGAACGTCCTGTATTCTTAGGAACAGCCTGCACATAGCAATATAGAGCATCCTTGGCACTGCATGGAAAATGGACTGATACTCTCTTGAGGGCCTCTTGGAAATCTCTAAAGTGAAGAAAGAGGAAGAAAGACAGCTTTGCTTGACAGTTCTCATCAGAAGCCTAAATGATACAGTGCAATGCTGAAAGTTGGAGGCTGGATTGGTGAGGCTGGAGTCAGATGGGGGTAGGATAGTGGTTCTCAACTCTAGATGCAAATTATAACCTCCTGGTGGCCCATTGAAGGGTGTTGTCTTTAACCTCCCAGATGATTCTCCTGTACATCTGGGATTAAGAGCCACTGAGATCCACACCCTGATGAAACAGCAAAGCAAAACACCAACAAGGGCAAATAAAAAACTGGAAACAACCCACAATGGTTGAATAGGTCCCGTATTTCCTAATGAGGCCACTGGCCTTCCCAGTTGGCTGAAATTTCTCTTTTCACATTCTGAAAATGGGTCCAGTGGGCAAATATCCTGTTGATAGCTGAGTCCACCCAACTGCATTTTGTAGCATGTGGGATGTGGCTACTCTGTTTGCTCCAGAGTGAGAAGCAGGAAGTTCACTTTGGAATCATTATTTAAAGGCTCTCTGGGACCTCAGGCTTTAAACAGAAATATATAGTGCATTCTAAGGGGTATTGTGTTTAACTATTAATAATTGTTCCTTTCATATGAGAGATATTACTGTGTAGGGTGGACAGAAACCCTCTGAGAACACCATGTGTTTCATGTTTACCATGAATAAGTCTTTCCCTCTCAAAAATCATAATTTGGAAATCATTCTTTTCCTGTGAAAACCAGAAAGTTGCTTTTTTTTTCCTTCTGTTCTCTTAATAGGAACAGTAATAAAAGTTCCCATTGGGAAAAGCTTTCATTTTGACGTGGTGCAGTCAGTGGCGGTCTCTCTAGGAAAGCCCTGGAAAAGGCATTGCTGCATTTTTCTCTGTTGCATGTGTCTTTTCTCCCCTTAGTGTCATGTCCAAGCATGATGTCACTCACATGTCATCTGCACATCCCAGGTCCCTTTGCAAATGGAAACTACAGAAGAAACAAAAATTGATTGAGTGCATAAAATCTATTTCAGGAACATCCTAAAGGGTCTATCTCAGAAGCACTGAGTTCCAAAGGATTTGCTGACATTTATTGTTCTGCTTCAGATTATTAAATGTCTTTCTGATCACATGATGCCATGTTTTGCATAGTGTGACATATCTGTCCTGTTTTAAATTCATAGGAATTGGCAACAAGCTCATTTCACTGGTGGGTTTGCTGAAGCATTATCACAAGACAGTCAGAATGACTGATGAGTGCTCTTCAGGTAGGGAAATGCTGCCAGCCTGGTTTGTATTTTGTCTTACCAAGAGTTTTGCTCCTTAATTTTCTATTTCAGTTATGAATAATCCCTTTTCATGCTAGTAGCCATAATCACATTATAAAGGATTTAAAATTTGTCATTTCCTGGTAGTATTTCTTACAGCGTAAGCATTTTTGGTTCATGTACGATTATTCTCCTTTTATTTTATTTTTTAACATGAGGAGATATCATAGGCCAATATTAAGATTTCCTAATTTTAATGTTAAGAGCTAAGCACATATTCTGGTCAAGTAGAGAAGTTAAAGAGTGACCAGACTTTATCTGAAATGGTAGGAATAGGAGACATGCTGTTCCATGATGTACCTTGACACGGTTTTTAAAAAGCAACATTTATGCCTGAGAATCTAATGAGTTTGGTTAAAAGGAGATCTAGTAAGCCAATATTCATTCATTTCTGCCTCTCCCCCTAGATTCCTCCAATCATGTTTGTTTCTGTGTCTTCTTTTTTTTTTTTTTTTGAGATGGAGTCTCGCTCTGTTGTCCAGGCTGGAGTGCAGTGGCGCGATCTCGGCTCACTGCAAGCTCCACCTCCTGGGTTCACGCCATTCTCCTGCCTCAGCCTCCCGAGTAGCTGGGACTACAGGCTCCTGCCACCATGTGTGGCTAATTTTTTTTTGTATTTTAGTAGAGACGGGGTTTCACCGTGTTAGCCAGGATGGTCTCGATCTCCTAACCTTGTGATCCACCCGCCTCGGCTTCCCAGAGTGCTGGGATTACAGGTGTGAGCCACTGTGCCCAGACCTGTTTCTGTGTCTTCTTAAATTTAGAGACCGTTAGCTTTGTGTGTGTGTGTGTGTGTGTGTGTGTGTGTGTGTGAGAGATGGAGTCTCACTAGGTTGCCCAGGCTGGAGTGCAGTGCCTATTCACGGGTGTGATTATGGCACTCTACAACCTTGACCTTCTGGCCTCAAGTGATCTTCCCTCCTCAGCCTCCTGAGTAGCTGGGATTACCAGTGTGTGCTACCATGCTCAGCAATCTTTAAATTTTTTTGGTAGCTATTTTTTTTTTTTTTTGAGACAGAGTCTCACTGTGTTGCCCAGGCTGGAGTGCAGTGGCGTGATCTTGGCCCACTGCAACCTCCTGGGTTCAAGTGATTCTCCTGCCTCAGTCTCCCAAGTAGCTGGGACTATAGGTGCCTGCTACCATGCCCAGCTAATTTTTTTTTTGTATTTTTAGTAGAGATGAGGTTTCACTATATTGGCCAGGCTGGTCTTGAACTCCTGACCTCAGGTGATCTGCTCACCTCGGCCTCCTAAAGTGCTGGGATTACAGGCGTGAGCCACCGCGCCCGGCCTTGGTAGCCATTCTTGTAGAGCACTACACATCTGTCTCTGACTGAACAGGCCCAGAGATGTGGACAAGTTGGTCTCATAGAAACTTATTTTCAAGTTCGTCATGTGAGAAGCCCAAGGGAGTGGAGGACAGCCGTATATCTGGAAAGTGAAAACACGTAGCTGTACTTTTTGGGCAAACATAAAACTACATTTGAATATAGTAAATTCTTAGATAACTGTGAGCCATGGCCAACCAAAAGCATGGCACATACAAGGAACATGTGCCGGGTGGACCTTGAATGATCACATTTAACTTTGTGTCTGTAGAACTTGTGTTTCATTTTATTTTTCCCTTCCAAAGTTGTTTTTTGTTTGTTTGTTTGTTTTGTTTTTTTTGAGACAGAGTTTTGCTCTTGTCATCCAGGCTGGAGTGCAGTGGTACAACCTCAGCTCACTGCAGCCTCCACTTGCCAGGTTCAAGTGATTCTCCTGCCTCAGCGTCCCAAGTAGCTGGGATTACAGATACGTGCCACCACGCCTGGCTAATATGTTTGTATTTTTAGTAAAGATGGAGTTTCACTGTGTTGGCCAGCCTGGTCTCGAACTCCTAACCTCAGTTGATCCCCCCTGCCTCAGCCTCCCAAAGTGCTGGGATTACAGGCGTGAGCCACTGTGCCCAGCCCCTCTCAAAGTATTTTGAGTGGAACATTGTTCATAGAAGAAGTTACATCTTTTCTGGGGTTAGGATGTACATTTCATTAGGTCCTTCCAGATACTTAAAAGGTTCTCCGCATGCTGGTAGAATATGTGGTAATTCTCAGTTGATGAATTATATGATTGTGGCAGTTTGAATACGTAGATATTATAGATGTTGTAAATGGTTTTGTCAGGCAGAGTGAGCTACTATTTTAAACTAGCAAGAATATTCACTTTAACAGGCAGTTTCTTATTGGTGGCTAAGGCTGTTACAGCTATGTCAGTACTTTTTAGAAAAGATAAGCTGAAAGTATTACTCATTTATATTTATAAATCTAATCCTATGCATAACCAATGTTGAGCATTCCAAGCATTAATCCCGTGGTACTTGGCGTATAAAGGCCATGTGGAGCTAGACCTGGAAACACACCGTATACTCATCTCTTTTTGAATCTATGGGTATTTTTCCCCCTTTGGGAGTTCATTTTTCCTGGTTGTTCTGGGGGCTCACTGAGATGTAAGAGTTTCAGATTCTGGTTTCTTTGCGGAAAGACAGCAGAGTTCAAATTAGGCTCATAGACATTCTTGCCTAGTTGCCAATAATTCCTTACACAGTGACGATGGAGGTAAAAGAACACTGAGCAAGCCAAGAGCAGGGAGGGGAAGAGAGGAATCTCAAAGAATTCAGATGGGCCTACAAGGCAATTAATGTCAATACATTTCCTGTTTCCCACAACTTGGTTAGAGGTGGAGCTTGCAGTGACCTGAGATCGCGCTACTGTCCTCTAGCCCGGGAGACAGAGTGAGACTCTGTCCCCCAACAAAAAAAGTACAATTTTTGGCCAGGCGCGGTGGCTCACGCCTACAATCCCAGCACTTTGGGAGGCCGAGACGGGCAGATCACCCGAGGTCGGGAGTTCGAGACCAGCCTGACCAACATGGAGAAACCCTGTCTCTACTAAAAATACAAAATTAGCCTGGCGTAGTGGCACATACCTGTAATCCCAGCTACTCGGGAGGCTGAGGCAGGAGAATTGCTATAACCCGGGAGGCGGAGGTTGCAGTGAGCCGAGATCGTGCCATTGCACTCCAGCCTGGGCAATAAGAGTGAAACTCAGTCTGAAAAAAATTAAAATAAAAAGTACAATTTTTATACTAACGATGGCTATGTTATATATATATATATATATTTATATAATTTTTTTAGACGGAGTTTCGCTCTTGTTGCCCAGGCTGGAGTGTAATGGCACGTTCTCAGCTCACTGAAACCTCTGCCTCCCGGGTTCAAGCGATTCTCCTGCCTCAGCCTCCCGAGTAGCTGGGATTACAGGCATACGCCACCACGCCCGGCTAATTTTGTATTTTTTAGTAGAGACGGGGTTTCTACATGTTGGTCAGGCTGGTCGCGAACTCTCAACCTTGGGTGATCCGCCCGCCTTGGCCTCCCAGAGTGCTGGGATTACAGGCGTGAGCCACTGTGCCCGGCCTTTTTAAAAAAACTTTTTTTTAGATGGAGTTTCACTCTTGTTGCTCAGGAGTTGCACCTGGAGTGCAGTGGTGCAATCTCGGCTCACTGCAACCTCTGTCTCCTGGGTTCAAGTGATTCTCCTGTTTCAGCCTCCTGAGTAGCTGGGATGATAGGAGCATGCCACCACGTCCAGCTAATTCTTGTATTTTTAGTAGAGATGGGGTTTCATCATATTGGACAGGCTGATCTTGAACTCCTGACCTCAGATGATCCACCTGCCTCAGCCTCCCAAAGTGGTGGGATTACAGGCGTGAGCCACCACGCCTGGCCAGTTATATCTTTTTACCTGACGAAAACTGTAAACAACTTTTGGCATTCTACGCCTTTCAAAACAATTCAACTTTTTTTTTTTTTTTTAAATTTAAATCATGGAATTCAGATGAGCCTTCAAGGCAATTAATGTGAGTTAGGTCATATTGAACCTGTGTTTAGAGATACGTAAGGACTTTGATTAGTGCCCATCTTGTGCCAGCTTGTATTTCCCGTTTAGAGTTGGCAAAGGACAACATGTTGTAGCATTGGTCTTAGATGAATTATTGGTCTTAGGTTTTATTACCTAAAACCTGGATTTATTTATTTTTAACAATTAACCGAACTGTGACATCAATATCAGTTCCCATTCTTTGGTCACAGTTTAGTCATTTGAGAAAGGGTTGAGAGGCTTTTTAGGAGAAAAATTCATGCACATGCAGAGTCTACTCTAACACAGAACCACCTCACATTGAGTTTTGAAGCTAAATGATCTTTCCACGGTAATTATAATTAAGACCAGTATATTACAAAGAATCAGTTTACCAAAAAGAACTTTAAAAACCCTGAAGAACTAGGCCACATGCCTAGTTCACACCTGTAATCCCAGCACTTTGGGAGGCCAAGGCAGGCGGATCACCTGAGGTCAGGAGTTCGAGACCAGACTGACCAACATGGTGAAACCCCATCTCTACTAAAAATACAAAATTATCTGGGCATGGTGGTGCATGCCTGTAATCCCAGCTATTTGGGAGGCTGAGGCTGGAGAATAGCTTGAATCTGGGATTCTGGGAGGTGGAGGTTGCAATAAGCCAAGATCATGCCATTGCACACCAGCCTGGGCAACAAGAGTGAAACTGTCTAAAAAAAAAAAGGCCAGCTGGGGACTGAGGAGCAATTTGGGGTTATGTTGATCTTCTTGGGCTGGCAGAGTCTCTGGGCAACAGAGTTCATGCAGCTGGATTAAGGTTGCACCCTGTAGTTTCTCTTTCCACTTGGACAGAAATGGAGGTGTTGGGCCTATAATCTGGTCCTTGCCCAAAGCCAAGTTAGTGTTATGCAGTATTTCTGTTTTGAACACATTTGTCCTTATTTTCCCTTTTCTCTTCTTGCCCACTAGTAGGGAAAAAAATAATCCGAGTTATTTGCTTGGGTGGAGCCACTCTTTGATTGCAATGCCCCAGGGTTTTCTAGGTTAACAAATTGGAGCTTTCCAGCCGGCTGAGTAGGGGTGGGCTACAGCTCTTCTACCCTGCCTTCTCATATTCCTTTCCTTCCTTCCCACTCCAGAAGAGAAAGCAGAGGCCTGGTTGCTGAGTGTGGAGGACATGCTGTTTTGGGGAGCCTAGGGACTGTTGACCACAGCTGTGTCTTTTTGTGGAGAGGAGTTTCAGCATATTCTTGGAAGGTGTGGGATGCAAAATATACACCTTTTAGTTGAGTACTTTTGTAATGCAGCCCTGTGTGCCTTAGAGCTCAGAAACACTGGGGAAGGAGGGTGGGGTAGTTGGACGTGAGGGTGAGGATGGGTGGGGAGGAGGCGTAAATCTCCTGGGCTCCATCAGGGCAGGAATCAACATCCCAGGAAGCAGAGACAAACCCTTTGGCTTCTGTCCTTGTGCTCCATGGGTGAATCAGAAAGGACCGTGGTCAGTTATGTGGGAGTGCAGAAAGCCAGCCAGCCAGCACGATTCGCCTTGGAGGAATGACTTCTCATGCTGCCACCTCCTGCTTCTCTGCTGGGGGTGTGGAAGAAACAGTATGGGATGTGGGCGGTTTTCTGCTGCAGTTTATTGAACAAACAGCTGCCCTCCTCCATTTCTCTCCCTCCCTTACCCCCATCCCGCCACATCCTTCTTCCTGGGGCAGGGTATAACCATGCTGTAAACTTTGGTAGTGGGAGAATCTTGCCAATACTTTCTGAAACAGCAACTTTTTTTTTTTTTTTTGGCTTGGAACTGTTAGTTCAAAGCTGGAAACAGAGTAAATAAAATTTGATCTAGTCATTCTAGAAATGATTTGTATCAGTCCAGAAAATGGCCAGAGTCCAGTAGTTTGAATCTAAAAGAGCTGAACTAAGATAAGGTAAGGAGCCAGTTTTTTAACCTGGCAACCACATGCCCCAACTTGAAAGCCTGTTTGCTGCTCTTCTTTTGTTATCATAACCTCTTGAACAGAATACGCCATTTGAAACAACAGTAAACGCTTCTCAGTGGATAAGTTTATGACCTAGTTTTTGACCAAGAGCACTTACGGGATTGAACGGCGCGGGGAAGAGCAAAGGACCTTGGACACCATTCGCCAGGAAGTTCTGTGCAAACCGGGAGCTCGGGGCTCATTAGAAGCCGGAGACATTAAGCAGCAGCTGTTTTATGGTGTGAACTTTTGCACAGAGGATTTCAAGAGGCTCATTCTCCTCGGAAGTCTGTTTGCAAAGTGGTTCTTTCTTGGCTGTTGCTTCATCCTTCTTCAGAGGCCTATTTTCACTCCGAGTGTGAGCATTTCATGCCAAACCCAGCCATGACCTTGTGGCTGCTGAGCTGCCCGCATGGCCTGACCCCACAGGTCTTGGGATGGTGTGCGCAGCAGAGCTAAACCAGGAGGGGTGTCTATCTCAGCTCTGCTGGCTCTGGGGCTGGTCGCACCCTGCAGACTTGGAGTTGAGGACCAGAAACGCAGGGGGATGTTACAAAAGGAGCGTGATCCTGCAGCCCCTTTCCTCTCTCATAAACTGGATGCTTGGCCCTCCATCCTCTCTCCAGCTTTTTTCGTGAACTCTTGCACCCACTCTCAGCCTTCCCCTCTGCACTCTATTAAATCTGAACTTGAGTTCTTGTTCCGCTTAACATGGGAAGATATGCTTTTCAAGGAGAAGTATGAGAAATGAATTAAAATATATCTACAGTTTACTAATGGTGGTATAGGCCTTAGAATATGGTTAACGAAATTTCTTCCTCCTTTCTTTTCTCTTCCTTCTCTCCTTCCTTCCTTTGAAATTGTTTTTCTTTTTATCCTCCCACTTGTATTTGCTTTTACAGTGAAACTACTCAACAAAGCATACTTAGATGTGTTTTAGAAAGAAAAATCATTCTCTCTAAAGAGCACTATTAAAGGCATGATGCAGTCTGGGATCCATGAGAATATAAAACACAGAATTTAAAGGGTCAAAGTTAACGTTAATTATCTATTAACATGATTAATATTAGTAATAAAACTTACTGAAATGATTGGGTCCCATTTTTATATTTCACATTTCTTTTTTAGTAATGTACATCTTGTATATCACAAAAGATTTACCTATTTCTGTTCTTTTATCATTGACACATGAAATCTATATACAAAAAGATTTTTAAATGGGGGGAGGCAACATTCCTATCATCTAATGGAGAAATAATTATATACATGAAAGTGCATGAGAAAATAATATTCAACATTACAACTGTTTAGGCAGTGTTTTACATTTAAATTTAAATTTAATTTACATTTGAAAATGTAAAAGGAAAATACAAGACTGCATGTGCAATATTATCTATGCAAAAGTACACTGTCGAGTGTTTAGAAGGAACCATGCCAGAGAGTTTATAGTAGTTGAATATGGATTATGAACAGTTACTTTTATTTTTAATTTTTTGGGGGACAGAATCTTGCTCTGTCACCCAGGCTGGAGTGCAGTGGTGCGATCTCAGCTCACTGCAGCCTCTGCCTCCTGGGTTCAAGTGATTCTCCTGCCTCAGCCTCCTGAGTAGCTGGGATTACAGGTGCCCACCACCACACCCGGCTAATTTTTGTATTTTTAGTACAGACAGGATTTCACCATATTGGCCAGGCTGGTCTCAAACTCCTGACCTCAAGTGATCCACCCGCCTTGGCCTCCCGAAGTGCTGGGACTACAGGCGTGAGCTGCCACGCCAGATTATGAGCATTTAAAATTGTTTTCTTTTTACATTCTCTTTCCTCAGTTTTCCACAATGAGCAAGCAAATCTTTTATAATTAGAACATCTAACCTTTATTAAAATACTTTAATAAGGATATCTTCCTCTCTGTTCTACCTATTTTTGTGACGTGGTTCATATTAATATAGGAATTACAAAACTTCAAAAAGTTATTCTTGTTTTAGGTCTGTTCATATTTGGAAGGCTTTCAATTTTATGTATACCTCACCCCACTTGGGGCCAGCCTGGGAGCTGTGGGTTTCCTCCCAGAGAGCTCTACTTAGAGAACAGGGCATTTCTTGCCTACTGTGGTAGTCTCCTTCATCTTCTCCTTTTTAAATAATTATTTTGCTGGGTGCAGGGGCTCACACCTGTAGTTTCAGCACTTTAGAGGCTGAGGTAGGAGGATGGCTTGAGCCCAGGAGTTCTGGACCAGCCTGGGCAACATAGTGAGACCTTGTCTCTATTAAAACTTTTAAAATGGCCAGGCACAGTGGCTCACGCCTGTAATCCCAGCCAGCATTTTGGGAGGCCAAGGCGGGAAGATGACCTGAGGTCAGGAGTTCAAGACCAGCCTGACCAACATGGAGAAACCCCGTCTCTACTAAAAATACAAAATTCTCATGGCATGGTGGTATATGCCTGTCATCCCAGCTACTCGGGAGGCTGAGGCAGGAGAATTGCTTGAACCCAGGAGGCAGAGGTTGCAGTGAGCTGAGATCATGCCATTGCACTCTAGCCTGGGCAACAAGAGTGAAACTCCATCTCAAAAAAGAAAATAAAAGAAAAAAACATTAAAATTAGTTGAGCCTGGTGGCACGTGCCTCTAGTTCCACCTACTCAGGAGGCTGAGGTGGGAACATTGCTTGAGTCCAGGAGGTTGAGGCTGCAGCGAGCCGTGCTCACACTATTGCACTCCAGCCTGGGCGCCAGAGAGACCCTGTCTTAAAAAATAAATAAGTAAATACATAAATAAAAATTAATAAATAAATAAGTAAATCTCTCACTGCATTGCTCAGTGATTCTTTTTCTTTGACTTAAAGGACATACTCTTTTACCCTGCTCATATTATGTTTCTGGTTTTTTTCCTTCTGGGATTTTCCTCTCACCCCATTGTGTTGTTTCTGCCCGTGTTCCTTTTTCCTCCACTGAGGAGATGATCCCTGAATTACTTTATTGAGGATGACTCACAATCAGGGAGCAACAAGTCGCCAATAAAGTTGACAGTGCTTCTTAGGGACCCCATTTGTGGCAATAAAATTTGCAACTAGGCAAGAGAAATTTCAATTTGCAATACAGTGTTTTTAATTGTTCAGATACGTCTTTAAAATACAGTATGGCAAGTTAAAGTCACTTACGAACTGCTGAGATTTTTCTTACCAAAAAAGGTGCTGCCTAGAAAGAACTTTTCAGCAGTGATGCTCAGTTGTTGGCTCAAACATTTGCAGTCTGAAATGATGAAACTGTGCTTGACACATAGTACAGAGGGACATGTTTCTTCCATATCTTGATTGGGAGAACCTTTGAACTAGAAGTGGCACTACCCAGGTTGGTGAATTGAGTAGATCCTTTAGGTACTGGTGCATTTTAGCCCTGGATCCACCTTTTATGTGCTACATAATAGAAATGAAATGAAAACTATTTAACTTTCCCTTGCTGCCTCCACTTTTTTTTGTTTGTTTGTTTCTGAGACAGAGTCTCACTCTGTCACCCAGGCTGGAGTGCGGTGGCACAATCACAGCTCATTGCAGCCTCAACTGCCTGGCTCAGACAATCCTCCTCCCCGGCTTTTTTTTTTTTTTTTTTGATGGAATCTCACTCTGTAACCCAGGCTGGAGTGCAGTGGCACGATATCAGCTCACCGTAACCTCCACCTCCCAGGTTCAAGCGATTCTCCTGCCTCAGCCTCCCGAGTAGCTGGGATTACAGGTGCCCGCCACCACGCCCGGCTAATTTTTGTATATTTAGTAGAGGCGAGGTTTCACCATTTTGGCCAGGCTGGTCTTGAACTCCTGACCTTGTGATCCACCTGCCTTGGCCTCCCACAGTGCTGAGATTACAGGTGTGAGCCACCGCGCCTGGCCTTTTTTTTTTTTTTTTTTTTTTTTGATTCTAAAGGCACACATATTAGAAATTAGAATCTTATGCTGGATAGACATCTCTCCCCTTTTTCCTGTTTGCCCAGTTTTCAAAGGTTAGGGGGAAAACAGTCTCCAGAGTTTTTATGCTTTCTCAATTTGTAACATGTGGTGGGATAGCATATAATATGTCATTTATATATTTCTGTTTCTTGCCTATATTTGCATTTCTTATTTTCTTCCTGTTCTGTCTTGGTATTTCCCTCCATCTCCTACTCTATCCCTAAATCCTTTCCAGGGTGCAAGTCAATAAATATCTGAAATTATTGCCTATTTCTGATGTCTTTCATTTTGTGTCATGCTTTATAAGTTCAAAATTCTGTAACAGTGACCATCACTTGTTACTCTTGAACATATCAGTTATTTCCAAAGTATTCTTTGTTATTGGATAGTCAGTGAATGTCTGGGGCTGAATGAAGATATTCTGGGTAGAATATGCAGTACTTTATACCTAAAAGTGAATTGTAGGAACACTGAATTACTAACTAGATGAATAGCATAGCAAACCATCCGCTGAAACCTAACAAAAGTAGCTCATTTGGGGAGTGAGTTTTGGAGAGTCACTCTGCCTCTGTTCTGTAGATTGTGGCAAATAAACATGATATAGTATACATTGTGTGTGTGTGTGTGTGTGTGTGTGTGTGTAGGTGTAATACTATCTATTTGAAATGACAATGTAAAATGAGCAGGAGACCTTTTAAGACCAACAAGGAGCTTCCTTTATCACTACTGATTCTCGTGTCGAAATAGAGCTTAGAGAATCTATGATGAAAACACTGTGACCCAAGTTCACACTCTAAGGTCAAACTTCCAAAGTTCAGCCCTTGTCCTTGTGAATCACTTAACCTTTCTGTACCTTCGTTGCCTCGTCTGTACAATGGGAATGCTGCATAGGGCAATTGTAAATTCTCCACTCTGAATGCCATCCGGGTAAGTCCCACCTGACTGAACTTGTCGATCTTAGAGCTGACCTGTCCCACTGGAGGAAGACCTCAGAGACCATTCCCCATACAAAATTTGGCCTTGCCATCGTCTGTCTTGGGCAAGTCGTTTTAACCTCTCTGACTTCAGTGACTTCTTGTGAAATGAGATGATGGTGCTATGTGATCTTTTCCCTTAAACCTCAAGCCAAACAATAGGTCCAGGCATAAGTCCTGCTTTTTTTTTTTTTTTTTGAGACGGAGTCTTGTCCTGTTGCCCAGGCTGGAGTGCAGTGGCCTGATCTCGGCTCACTGCAACCTCCTAAGTAGCTGGGATTACAGGCGCCCGCCACCACGCCTGGCTAATTTTTTTTGTATCTTTAGTAGAGACAAGTTTCACCATGTTGGCCAGGCTGGTCTCGAACTCCTGACCTCGTGATCCATCGCCTTGGCCTCCCAAAGTGCTGGGATTACAGGTGTGAGACACTGTGCCTGGCCGTAAGTCCTGCTTTCTACATGAATAGCCCTGTTGAACGAGTGAGAGCGAGGGACAGGGACACATTGGGCATCTGCACTGTGTGGGGTGTTACCTCATTGGCTTTCGCACTGCTACCAACTAGACAGGGATGGGCAATACACTGACTTCTTTGATTCCAGTCACCTTCATCCTTCTTATATCCTATCTAAGTGATTTACTTGCCAAAAGCAGAGGACATTTCTGGAAGAAAAATAATCCATTGTGGCTGGGCGCGAGCCGAGATCGCGCCACTGCACTCCAGCCCGGGCAACAGAGCGAGACTCCGTCTCAAAAAAAAAAAAAAATCCATTGTAACATAAAAATAAAAACAACACCCAAGAGGGCTATATGTGCTTGTTTTCCAGCAGGAAAACCTCGCTGCCTTCCCTGCTCATTCTCTCTCCAGTCCTTGAACCTTTTCTTTCCTTAAGACTTTTCCCCAGGTCGGACTTAATGATGGACTCCAGCGTTGGCATGGTTTTGGTTGGGTCTGCATACTCCGGTAAGGCAGAGAACAATGCTCAATCTGTCCTGGCTTCCTGAGGCTGAAGGGCAACCCTCTAGTAGTGCACCTTGTGTCTGAGCTGTTTGTTGAGCTATACTTAATTTGTGTGTGTGTGTGTGTGTGTGTGTGTGTGTGTGTGTGTGACAGAGTTTAGCTCTTGTCACCCAGGCTGGAGTGCAATGGTGCGTTCTCGGCTCACTGCAACCTTGGCCTGCCTGGTTCAAGTGATTCTCCTGCCTCAGCCTCCTGAGTAGCTGGGATTACAGGCGCCCGGCTAATTTTTGTATTTTTCGTAGAGACGGGGTTTCACCATGTTGGGCAGGCTGGTCTCCAATTCCTGACTTCAGGTGGTTCACCTGTCTTGGCCTCCCCAAATCCTGGGATTACAGGCATGAGCCACCATGCCTGGCTGCTATACTTAATTTTTAAGGAAAGTAATTGTTCATAAACACACAGAAAAGAGCAAAAAAATCTATTTCTTTTCTACCAAGTGGGTCTTGATGTTTCCATTCACATCTTTCTCATGCAATACCTAACTTGCCAGTAACGAGATAAAGAGCTTCAGTGGGGAGGGAGGAGATTTCCTCAATCCACCTACATTTGATCAGATTTTCTAACTTAAAGAATTGAAAAACTCTATTGTGGTTTTTCAGAAGAAATTACGATGATATAATTTATGTTCAGAATATTTTTTGAATCAATTCTTTTTTTTTTTTTTGAGACAGAGTCTTGCTCTGTCACCCAGGCTGGAGTACAACAGCGCTATCTCGGCTCACTGCAGCCTCCACCTCCTGGGTTCAAGTGAGTCTCCCGCCTAAGCCTTCTGAGTAACTGGGATTACAAGCACCCGCCATCATGCCTGGCCAATTTTTGTATTTTTAGTAGAGACAAGGTTTCTCCATGTTGGCCAGGCAGGTCTGGAACTCCTGACCTCAAGTGACCCACCCGCCTCAACCTCCCAAAGTGCTGGGATTACAGGCGTGAGCCACCACACCCGGCCTTGAATCAGTTCTTTATCTGAGTGCTAGATTCCCTTTGAAAAAGAAGATTCTGTTTTTTTCTCATTTTTTTTCTGTAGCATCTTAGAACTGCAGCATGTGCAGAGTTGATGCTCAAGACATAATTAATGGGTTAATGGATAAATGAACATCTCCCTAAACCTTGTCCTCCCCTCTATTTTATTATACTCTTGGCCAGTGCCATTGTTCTTGAGAATCTCTGCTAAAGCCAAGTGACTTGGTTTGCGATCTCTTGCACACAATGTATTAGTTTTCAGTTTTTACTTTGCACAAAGTATTCTCTCTCTCCAGGTTGCCCTCCTTCCCCCATTTAGTGTTTCACATTTGTAATCATTGACAAAATCTAACCCCATACTCAAACCTTCTTGTAGTCCTCAGCTTGTGGCCCTGTCCACCTCGAGCTCCTCCTCACTCGGCAGCTCTCCATTTTCACCTTAGTCATCAGCAGACACTAGACTGACTTGCTGTGTTTGGAGCACCCAGAAGCTGAGGTTTTATCCTTGGAAACGGAGGATCTTTACTGTGATGGAGGATTTGGGAGTGTAAAATTTGAGTGTGTGGTGGAAGGGACAGTTCATCTTCTGGGACAGAACACCCGGGGCAGACAGATCCCGGAAAGCTGGGGCGGTGCTGGTGGCAGTCCCGACACTGTGCCTGCATTGATGGGTTCACATGTACCTGAGATGAAGCGTCTTTCAAGGATGACTCTTTCACAGGCCTTCTCCTTTCTCTGACACTAGTCATTAAGAGATTAGATTTCTTGAAATATCAGCAGTTGTTGGCCCCCTTGCTGAATAAAGCTTGGTAGCCTAAGGAGGAAGGGATTTCTGAATAGATTTTCAGCCCTGAAAAAATGCTGAGTTTTAAAAATAAACATTCATGGTGTAATGTACTCTTTTACCTCCTGCGAACGGGCATATGCTTTTCAAAAATGTAGTTACAGTCAAGGGCATTTAGAGGTGTTTGTAAAGAGGAGGGGGAGAGAGAGAAAGAAAGAGGGAAAAAAAGATTCTTTTGTTTCTCCTCCTAGTTTGTGGCCATGGCACAGTGTGATTTGAATACTCCAATTCTTATCATATATAAACTTTGTGTTGGGAAGGAATGGCTCAAATTGCTTCAAGATTTACACAGGGTTTTTTGTTTTTGTTTTTTTTTTGAGATGGCGTTTCACTCTCGTCGCCCAGGCTGGAGTGCAATGGCGCGATCTCGGCTCACTGCAACCTCTGCCTCCCGGGTTCAAGCGATTCTCCTGCCCCAGCCTCCGAGTAGCTGGGATTACAGGCGACCGCCACCATGCCTGGCTAATTTTTTGTATTTTTAGTAGAGATGTGGTTTTACCATGTTGGGCAGGCTGGTTTCGAACTCCTGACCTCAGGTGATCCCCCTGCCTCAGCCTCTCAAAATGCTAGGATTACAGGTGTGAACCACTGCACCCGGCCAGTTTTTTGTTGTTGTTGTTTTGAGACAGAGTCTTGCCCTGTTGCCCAGGCTGGAGTGCAGTGGTGCAATCTCAGCTCACTGCAACCTCATCTCCTGGGTTCAAGCGATTCTCCTGCCTCAGCCTCCCGAGTGGCTGGGATTATACGCACGTGCCACCATGCCTGGCTGATTTTTGTGTTTTTAGCAGAGACGGGGTTTCACCATATTGGCCAGGCTGGTCTCAAACTCCTAACTTCGTGGTCTGCCTGCCTCGGCCTCCCAAAGTGCTGAGATTACAGGTGTGAGCCACTGTGCCCGGCCAGTTTTTGTTTTTTAAACCAATGTTTATACAAGAAGAGTTTGGAACTTATTCATGAATAAAGTCATTCTTTGGCCTGTTGTGTAGCAACAAGGAGTGCTGGATTTTATGGAAGATGGCTTGTGGTACTGAAGTATCAGGAGAAGGAATGAATAAGGGTGAAGATTCAAACTGGTAGTAACATCTAGAAGCAAACTAGGAGAAAATTATTTCACGAAGGGAAGGATGTGACTATTGATGGGAAGGCTGTAGCCACCAATCTGAGAATACTTTAAAACAAAAACAGAGATAGAGCCTGGCATGAGCAGTTTAGGATCAAAATGAACAGTAGGCCCTAGAAATTTGTAACATTGATGTTATCTTCTCTATGAATCGTTGGTGGGGTCAAGAAATAATTTTCATCAGCGTCTTGACTTGTGTGGCCAATTAAGCAAACGTGTGTCTGCAGTGTAAGCCTGTTAAGTGGAAAAGGTTGGGCCTACTGGGTATAATTGTAATTGAGAACAGCCCATCATCTCTCTTTTAATTTTACGAAAATAAATGCATATTCTAAGTAGAATAAAATCATGGTTAAGAAAAGAAAAATGTTACATCTGTATCAGTATGTGGATTTCATAGGATTTTTTTCCTTCTTCTGTGGGACCTGAGATTCATTTGAAGTAACCTTGGCAGAAAGACCTTAGTTAGTCAGACTCTAAAGGATATTTTGAGCTGGAATATAAAAAGCACATGTAATAATTAATGTAACAGCAGCTAAAAGTGCCTGAGGTCAGTAGTTGCTACATCTATATTGCATGTAAACAAAGTGTTAGCCAAAACTACTTTCAGAGAGCCCTAATTACGTCTGTTTTAATTTAATTTAGTTTGATTTAATGATACTTTTTATATGAATTTGCTTCATGGTTACTCTGTTGAATTTCCTTTCCCTGAGAAGAACCCATAAGAGATTTTTTTCCCCCAAATGATTTAGTTTGGTGACTTTGGATACAGCCAAAGCATTGTATCTTACGGCATAGCATCTTCAAGTGGAAGAATGTACCAGATATAAAGTCAGTAATTTAAGATGAATTAAAATTTTGTTTAGTTTTTAAAATATGAGATTTACATACAATGAAGTACAAATATCTTATTGGTGTATTTGTGTGTGTATGTGTGTTTTGTTTTTGTTTGTTTGTTTTTTGAGATGGAGTTTTGCTCTTGTTGCCCAGGCTGGAGTACAATGGCGCGATCTTGGCTCACTGCAACTTCTGCCTCCCGGGCTCAAGCGATTCTCCTGCCTCAGTCTCCTGAGTAGCTGGGATTACAGGCACCCATCACTACACCTGGCTAATTTTTTGTATTTTTAGTACAGTGGGGTTTCACGATGTTGGCCAGGCTGGTCTCGAACCCCTGACCTCAGGTGATCCACCTGCCTTGGCCTCCCAAAGTGCTGGGATTACGGGCGTGAGCCACCGCCCCAGCCAGTGCATTCCTTGAGTTTTGACACATGCATATCCTTGTGTCCCTGGGACTCCTATCATAATATGGAACATTGCCATCACCTAGCTAGTTTTTTCTTGCTCCATCCCGTCAACCACTGCCTTACCACCTCCAAGGGCAACCTGTTTTGTGTTGTTTTGTTTTGTTTTTCTTCCCCATTGTCCATTCGATTTGCCTGTTCTAGGGCTTCGTGTAAATGAAGTCTCATAATCTCTGCTCTTTTGTAAGGCTTCTTTCATGCGTAAGCTTAAATTTAATAGTTTTTCACAATGTATTTAATGGAAGCTATATCATAAGAAGTGGTGTAGAAAAAAGAGTGGTCCTGTTTCAAAGAAGAAAGAAGGTAACATTCATTGTTATTTTGAAATGGCTAAAGTTGAAAATGTTTTTTATTGATCTATTTGCTAGTTAGAATTTTAATTGTGATAATTGTAGATTTACATCAGCTGAAGAAACAATGTAGCTTTACCTGGTCTCCCCTAGTGATAACATTTAGCAAAACTGTAGTACAATATCATAACTAGGATTGATATTGATGTAATCTACCAATCTTACTCAGATTTCCATAGTTTTACCTGTACTCATTTGCGTGTGTGTGTGTGTGTGTGTGTATACTCAGTTGTGTGCAGTTTTATCACATATATAGGTTTGTATATCTACCACTACAGTAAAGATGCTGAACTGTTACAGCATGGATCCCTCCTATTGTTTTTTTGTAGCTGTACCCAGTTTCTTCTCACCAGTCTCCTATCCTTATCCCTTGGAAACTACTTATTGGGTCTCCATTTCTAATAAACTTCATATATGTAAATAGAATCATATAGTTCATAATCTTTTGGAATTGGCTTTTTTCTTTCTTTTTTTTTTTTTCGATGGGGTCTCGCTCTATCACCCAGGCTGGTGTTCAGTGGCGCTTTCTCAGCTCACTGCAACTTCGGCCCTGCCCCAGGCTCAAGCCATTCTCCTGCCTCAGCTTCCTGAGTAGCTGGGACTATGGGCACCCATCACCACACCTGGCTAATTTTTTTTTGTATTTCTAGTAAAGATGGGGTTTTGCCATGATGGCCAGGCTGGTCTCAAACTCCTGACCTCAGATGATCCACCCACCTCGGCCTTCCAAAATGTTAGGATTACAGGCGTGAGCCACCCCACCCAGCCTATTTTTTATTTTAACCATTCTGATAGATGTGAAGGAGTATCTTATTGTAGCTTTAATTTGTGTTTCCCTGAGAGCTAATGATGTCGAACATCTTTTCTTGGCCATCCATATATCATCTTTGGTGAAGTGGCTGTTCATGTCTTTTCCCCATTTTCTAATTGAAGTTTTAAAAATCTATGTTTAAAGCCGGGCGCGGTGGCTCACGCCTGTAATCCCAGCACTTTGGGAGGCTGAGGTGGGTGGATCACCTGAGGTTGGGAGTTTGAGACCAGCCTGACCAACATGGAGAAACCCTGTCTCTACTAAAAATACAAAAAAAATTTAGCCGGGTATGGTGGCACATGTCTGTAATCCCAGCTACTTGGGAGGCTGAGGTAGGAGAATTGCTTGAACCTGGGAGGCGGAGGTTGCGGTGAGCCGAGATCGTGCCATTGCACTCCAGCCTGGGTGACAAGAGCAAAACTCCATCTCAAAAAAAAAAAAAAAAAAAAAAAAAAAATCTATGTTTAAAAGAAAGATTATGCAAAGCACAACCCCAGTAGGTATCAATAACATTTGAGAAGAGTACCTCAAAAAAGATCTCACTAGACTTGAGAGATACTATTAGATAAATAAATTGAGCCAATTGATGGGTGTAGGTAGATGCTCTGCAACAAATGGGTAAAAAGAGGAACTGTCAACTTTTTGTCGATCCCACAGTTGTCTTGTCAATAGCTTGGGCTTCCAGTTGTTCCCGCTTACCCAGGTTCTGTGCTCTTCCTCTCTTCTGCCCTAGACCTTCGATTCTTTCCATTCCTTTTCTTTTTCTTTTTTTATTTTCCAAGACGGAGTTTCACTTTTGTTGCCCGGCATGAAGTACAGTGGTGCGATCTTGGCTCACTGCAACCTCCGCCTCCTGGGTTCAGGTGATTCTCCTTCTTCAGCCTCACGAGTAGCTGGGATTACAGGCGTGCACCGCCATACCCAGCTAATTTTTACATCTTTAATAGAGACGGGTTTTCACCATGTTGGTCAGGCTGGTCTTGAACTCCTGATCTCAGGTGATCCACCTGCCCCAGCCTCCCAAAGTGCTGGGATTACAGGCATGAGCCGCTGCACCCGGCTCCATTCCTTTTCTCTGCGACAAACCTGCGTGGTGATAGGTCCACTCCCTTGACTAGTTTAATTCTGAAGCTTATTGATGGATTCCTCAAACAGATCTTGTGGACCAAATTATTCTATTTTTCTGTAGAGCCTGGCGATTTGAGATAATCTATCTGCACAGTTTTGTAGTGTTTGCTTCCATCACTCAAGAGTAAGACAATATGTCAGAGTTATCTTGATGGAGGGATAAGAGAGAGATAGTTTGGAGACAGAGCAGAAAACCTTTCTAGTGTACTTGGTAATGAGTTTACTGCAGACTGACATATAGGGGACATCAGGGCATTTGCTTAGATGATGCATTTCTGTCCAAGTAATAGGGTGCACAGGAGCCCAAGGCTTAAAGACAAAATAACCTGTATTTGTGTCCTTGTTCTGCCCTTACTTAGTGACACTGGGCAGATTACCTAACCTCTCTGAGCCTCCACTTAATTAAAATGTAGTGATACTTCCCATACTACCCACCACAGTGGGTTACTGCAAAGATCAAATGGGATAATGTAATGCACTTGTCAGTGATAAAGCTCTATACAAATGTAGAGAGTATGTTTGTAATAATTATATTCCTCCTCTCCACAAAAGCAAACACAACCTGGAAGAGAAACAGGCATTTTCATAGAATGAGGTCAAATGATCACTATAAGTTTCTTGAAGGAGAGGAAAACCCTGAAGCATTATTGTTTTCTTTTTTTCTTTTCTTTTCTTTTCTTTTTTTTTTTTTTGAGGTAGAGTCTCACTCTGTCACCCAAGCTGGAGTGCAATGGCATGGTCTCACCTCACTGCAACCTCTGCCTCCTGGGTTCAAGTGGTTCTCCCACCTCAGCCTCCCTAGTAGCTGGGACTACAGGCGTCTGCCACCACACTTGGCTAATTTTTGTATTTTTTTTTTTTTTTTAGTAGAGATGGGGTTTCACTATGTTGGCCGCGCTGGTCTCGAACTCCTGACCTCGTGATCCACCTGCCTTGGCCTCCCGAAGTGCTGGGATTACAAGCCTGAGCCACCGCGCCCGGCACATTATTGTTTTCTTAGATGTGATTTTAATTTTGTTTGCTAGGCAATAAACTGCTGAAATAATTAACCAGCAATAATTGCTCTTCAGTTAGGCTCTAATATGACCACTGAGCAGAGCATCTAAGAGACTTAAAATTGAGTTACTTTAGGTGTATACCATTCTTACCCATTTAAATTGTAGTTTTAAAGGTGGGTTATGAGTTGGCTTGCCAGTCAAAGCCTTGCTTGGGGTCGTATTTCTCTGTACTTTCATCTTTAATCATCAGCTAGATTAGTCTTCTGGTTGAGTATAGAAGCCAGAGAGACCTAGGTTTATACAAGGAGTGCTATTAACTGTGTGTGACCTTGGACCAAAGATTAGATCCCTCTCTTTATCAGTAATATGAATTCAAGTGAAATTGTTAATTTACCACCTACACTGTCAAATTATTTGGATATCTGCCTTTAAGTAGTAATGTTACAATATATAGTACACACAAGAGAATTGGTATCCTTGTCTGTAAATTGAGAAGTTCACAGAAAAGGTTGATGAAGGTCTGATCAGGGGCGAAATTGTTTTGTTCTAAAATATATCATTGGTAGCAAGCAGTTTAGGTTTGGATGAAACCAAAAGCCAGTTCGCATGTGTGTAGTTCTATACCCCAGGTCTTAGTTTGGGCAATGTACTTTTGTGACTTAGGATAATTATAAGGTCTCAAGGCTACTGTGAGGATCAGATGATACTAACTGTATGAGAAAACGCTTTGGAAATTGTAATGTTCTGTGCAAACTTTGTTGTCAGTTGTATAGACCACAGTGGAGGAGGTGGTGGTAGTAGAAAGGAAAGGATGTGTTTGTCAAGCTTGAAAACTTGTGTTTAGGAATATTTTCAGCTAGTTACTGGGCAGTGCTTGTAAAAAAAATTCTTAAAAATTTCCTTCTAGCGGGGTGCAGTGGCTCACACCTATAATCCCAGCACTTTGGGAGGCTGAGGTGGGCGGATCACCAGGTTAGGAGATCGAGACCATCCTGGCTAACACCATGAAATCCCGTCTCTCCAAAAAAATATAAAAAATTAGCCAGGCGTGATAGTGCATGCCTGTAATCCCAGCTATTCGGGAGGCTGAGGCAGGAGAATCTCTTGAACGCAGGAGGCAGAGGTTGCGGTGGGCCGAGATCACTCCATCGCACTCCAGCCTGGGTGACAGAGCGAGACTCCTTCTCAAAAAAAATTAAAAAAAAAAAAAATTCCTTCTAGACTGCATGGATCTCACACTACTCCACTCTTGGAACACACAGCCATGAATTGAATCACTGTCTACTTTACATTTTAGCAATTCAGTTTTATATGGTGACATTTACAAAATTGTCCCTTAAATCTGGGAGAGCCAATGCAATGACTTCAGATAGCACAATGGGGAGAATCTTAATGGAAACCCAGCCAATGATTAGATTAGGTGACAGGAAGGGGGTCAAATGGATTAGGGGAAAATGAGGAAGGAAGTGAGTTGAGTCATTATGCTTTTACTTACAGTATATTTTTACAATTGATTCTGTGGGTAGTATGTTGTTTAATTCATTACAGCTTTCAAGGACCAATTTTAGATTAAAAGCATGAATGATTGAAGCTCTAACCAAACTCTAATCCTAGATACTAGAAACCGATGACTTTTTAATGTCTTTTAATCTGAAATAGATTATGGCTTTTCTGTAGCTTTGGACTGTTCAAATGTTTATTTCCTTTAAAATACCAACAGCTTACTTCACCCTCTTTGCAAACTTCTAAAGGGGTTGCTTCCTGCCGTTTAATATAGGATATTGACTTTCTAAAGAGTGTGCATGTTTTAAAGAGACTTACATTAGAAATTTGATGTCTGAAGCTTGTCACTCTTTTATTAAGAATTTAAACATTGTATCTGATTACAATTACAACGCATAACCTTTGTAAAACCTTATTACTTATGTTTATCTTACTTGCATCCAATGATATGTCAATTACTATATTCAGTCATTGCCCTGAAAAATAACTCCAAGGAATTTATTAAATGGTGCTTTTTCCTTGATTTCCACATTGCGCCCTTTGTGGCTGATTTCATGTAGCCCTTTACCTGGAAGTCAGGCTTGGGAGTGATCTTGGCCAGCTCTTGTGAGTGGGGCCAGGTGAAAGGTACATTCTTCTTTCTTTCCCTCTGCGTGCTTGGCGGCTTCTGGAGCAGGTTAGCCTCACAAGTTTCTTTTGTTCTTGCTCTAAAATTTGTGGATGTTCATTAATTCCCATGTGTTTAAGCAGCCTGCAGCTTTTTCTACTGACCCATGCGTGGTGGCCACTTTGAGAGGGAAGTTAATATTATTCTCATTTTTTGATTTAGTCTATAATTTGACTAAGTCTTCGGAGTAGATTTCTCTGTCCACCCTATTTAAAATAGCAATATTGTCCCTCCAATACTTTGTCATTCTCTGTCCCTTTTACCCTGCCTTATTTTTCTTCGGAGCGCTTAAACGTATCTGATGTTATACTAAATATTTGTTTGCTGACTGGTTTACTGTTGGCCGGTCTCCTAGAATGTAAACATTGTAGGCAACAACTTTGACTCTGTTCATTCAGAAGAGCGCTCGGCCTGGCAAATACACAAGTATTTGTTGGATTAATTAATTAATTAAATTTAATGCCATGAAACACACCAATCAAGGAGATAGATCCCCCTAAGGTTAAGCTTATTCCAAATTCTAAGTTTGGTATCTTTGAAACCTTGCTCCTTTCTCTCCGGCCTCAGTAACACTATCTTTTGTTGCATGAGAAAAAAAAAACTCCCAAAGAACATTATTTTGGGAGGAAGAGAGGCAAATGAATATGGGTGTCAGGTTATCAAGTAAATATTGGAACAATTTATAGCCTATGATTGGGAATGTTTATTTTGCTTAAATGTGTATTTGGTCTGACCTTGCAGTTAGAGTTACTCAGGAAGTTGCCTAAATGTTAATGAATGTTTATGATGTGGACTATAAGCTGAAAGCACTTAAAATATAAATATTTAAGCCATATGTTAAAAAATAACCAGAGCATTTGCAGCTATTTTGGATTGTGGAGGGAAATTGCCTGATTTATTGATAGAGCTGGGAATTTGGAGTCCTGGGTTCTAGTTCCATTCCTGCTTTTGGCAGCACTTCACAAAATGTCTATGTTTAATAAATGTTTAATAGGACAATATTAATCCTTTTAAAAATAATATCTTTGTATCGCTTAGACTTTTTTTGTGCTCCAATTTCTCCAGCTTTTTTTTTTTTTTTTGAGATGGAGTCTCACTCTGTCACCCAGGCTGGAGTGCAGTGGCAGGATCTTGGCTTACTGCAAGCTCTACCTCCCGGGTTCAAGCAATTCTCTTGCCTCAGCTTCCTGAGTAGCTGGGATTGCAGGTGCATGTCACCACGCCCGGCTAACTTTTGTATTTTTAGTAGAGACGGGATTTCACCATGTTGGCCAGGCTGGTCTCAAACCCCTGACCTCAAATGATCCACCCGCCTTGGCCTCCCAAAGTGCTGGGATTACAGGCATGAGCCACCTCACCCGGCCCCAGTTTCTCCAACTTTATTGATATTTTGTTAGCTTGCTCCTCAGGGTTTTCTTTAAACAAAAAAAAAAGCCAGAAGTTTCCCACGTGTGTGTGTGTGTGTGTGTGTGTGTGTGTGTGTGTGTGTGTGTGTGTATTTGCAGGGAGTTTGATTCCGTCTTCTCATTAGTGCCGCATTAATACATTTTTCTGCCTCACATTTGTTTAAGCTTCACCTGAAAAAACAAAGTAATGTCGTACTTAAAATAGAGTATAACTGTACCTCATGTAGTAAACGTAATTTATAAAGAACCGAACTAGATGAATTTTGATGGGGAAAAGGGAATGTTGTTTCCAATGAAGGTAACCAAAGATGAGAGCTTTGTTATCCCAAGCACAGAGGCTGGACCTGGATAAATCTTGAAAGCAAGCAACTAGGCACAAACCAGGTGCCTATCGAAAGAGGTCCCTTTACCACCATTAGTGTTATCAGGGCTTTTATGTCAAACTTCTGTCTGTACTGTGCTGGGTGAATTTTTAACTGAACAGGCTTTACAATTGGAGCAATGGGGCTAAAACCACTTCAGAATTCCAGAGGCCTTACTCAGCCCCACCTCTCAGTTGGCTCTTTCCATGCACTCATCTCTCTGCGGGGCTTTCTCGAGGTGTGGTCCTGGGACCACCGGCATCCGATCACTTGTGGCACTTGTTAAAGCTGCTAATTCCTGGTTTCGACGGTAGACCTGCTGAATCAGAAACTGTTGGGGAAGAGTCTTGAAATCTTCATTTTTAACAAGCACCTATCAGGTGATTCTTAGGCACATTAAAATTTGAGAGCCTGTGATATATTCCCAGATTAGTACTGTCACATCTCTTAAGGTGGCACTTTATTTTACTTTTATTTTTTAACTTTTATTTTTATTTATTTATTTATTTTTTTGAGACCGATCATACTCTGTCTCCAAGGCTGGAGTGCAGTGGCGCGATCTTGGCTCACTGTATCCTGAGGCGATTCTCCTGCCTCAGCTCCTTGAGTAGCTCGAACTACAGGCAGGCGCCACCATGCCTGGCTAATTTTTGTATATTTAGAGAGACAGGGTTTCGCCATATTGGCCAAGCTTGTCTCAAACTACTGACCTCAGGTGATCTGCCTGCCTTGGCCTCCCAAAATGCTGGGATTACAGGTGTGAGCCGCTGCACCCAGCTGGCACTTGATTTTATATCTTTTTCTGGACTGTGCTATGCTATGAGTGGAGGGGAGAAAACTGAAATATGGAGAAAGATCTTTGTTCTCCTCCAGCTCCAGTTCCTTAATAAAGTTCATAGGAGGAACAGAGAGCCTATACACTCATTTCTTCAATGTGCCTGCTCTTTAGCGGGATATCCTATATCTACTAGATTTTAACATACTGATTTACATAAGCAAGGAACACTTCGACAGACCATTGAGAAAATCTGTGAGCTTAGCAAGAGCACGCCACTGATGCGCGTCACCGTTGGGTGAGGATGTTATCTGGCTGACCAAGCCAGATGCGTTTAATATGCAGGGTGGGTTGGGGCTAACATTTCAGTACTGAGTGACATTGAGGACTGGTTAATGTGATTGACTGATGTGGAATCTTCTCCCACACGGTATATGGTGGGTCTTACGAGAGAGTTGGGTAAAAATAGTGTGCTAAAGGTTCAAAAATGGAACATATGTGGTCAAACCTCTGTGATACTTGTTTATGAAGACTGTAAGGGTTGGAGTTTCCTGATGTGTGAAATGCAGCCCTACTAATGTAAGGGTATAGTCTGCCTGAGTTTTTCAGGAGTGGGCTCAGGGAGGATGCTTTCAAACCCTTTCGAACAGTTAGGAATTCTGGAGCTTTCAACTAGTCATGGAAAAATTGAGTTTTGTTGTACATTGAGCACCTGTGATGAGAGGGGAAAAGGCAGTTTCATTGGTTTACTTAAGTCAGCAGAGAAGGCTGCTGTGCACAGCTTCCATTGCATCATTCAAAAAGAGAGTTTGTGTGGGAACTTTGCAAGTCAGTTTCCCTGTATGAAGTGATGGAGAGAGTGATTAAGATACTGAGCTTTCTCTGTGTTCTTGCCGTTAACCATTGCCGGTTTGTGGGAGATTAAGAAGTCGATGCGTTTTATGGAGAATTAATTTATTTTGATATAGACAGATGGACGGGTCATGAAAATTTGTTGACATACTTTACTAAACTGCTACATTAGATCAAATATTCCAAAAAAAAAAAAAAAGGGGTTTGAAGAGACCCAGTGACTTACAGGGTATGCTTTTATCACTGATGTGAGAAGACATATGAACACATTGAACTTAAAACAGTAGCAAACCCAGAGCATGGCTCAGCTGTTTGCAGACCAGCAGGGCAGACACAGCTGTGCTTATACATTATGCTTGTAGGAGCTGGGGGCTGTGCTCAGTCCTCATCTCAGAACCCACCCACGACATGTGGATGCAGGGACGTCTCACAATTTTAGAAGAGATTCACAGTTTTTCTTGGGCCCAATCCTGACTTAAATTCCTATAGCTGCTTTTGGAATATACACCTCTTCTCATTCCTGTTCAAAATTTGGATTCTCTACCTATTTTGTAGGCTTGTGGGAAGGATTAAACCAGACAATATTTATAAAGTTCCCATCCACTTACCGATGCACAATAAATTCTTGGCAAAATGAGTCCCCTCCCCTCCGTGAAAAAATAAAACGTATTGATAGAGGGAAAGGAATTTGTCCAGAGATGCAAAGCACTGGTGCTGTCAGCGGCTTTCTCAGGCTTTTTCCTTCCAGCAGTTTTCACCCGAGACAACCCCAAAGTGTCCTTTTACCTTTTAGTAGGACATGCAGTTGTGAGGGAGAGTCAGGTTTTCCTTGTTTATGCTTCCATAGTTTTTACCCTGCAGACCCTGAATATTTTTGCCCTTAGAACATAAAAAGGAGAGATAATGAAGCAGCCTGTTGTCACTAAGGAATAGAACCTTTACCTGTTGTTCCCATGACAGTGTAACAATACACAGGATCAACATGTGACAAGAATCTTTTTATTCCTTGTAAACCAAGAAACGAAAAGTCATCTTATAAGCTGAGACATTTTAAGAGAACAGGCCCATGGTGTTTTCACCCCTTTGCTCTGTTGTTTTTTGGTTTTTGTTTCCAGGATGGGTAAAGAAACAGGTTATAGAGGTTTCCTGGAACACCTGTGTGAGGATCTCCCTGGATGCTGGGTGTTGGAGAGCTAACGCTGCACAGCCTGTTGGTGGGAAGAGTGAACAGACGGTTGGTTGCATGTTGATAGGAGCTGTGGACACTCTAGTAAATACAGAGCTCTCCTTAGGGGGAAAATGCTTTAGCTTTAGATGTTTTGACTTTAGATCTTATTGCTGGGGTTTCAGACTTTTAGAGAGGCACAGCTTGACTAAGATTAGCCAAAGCAGCATCTTAATTGAACGAGTGACAGCTATTGGGACAACCAGATATAATTAACTCTGATGTTTTAGAATTCCTTTTCCATTCTTTGATTGGTTCGCTTGCGTTTTGATCCTTAATGATGTGTGCTCAGTGAATTACACTAGAAGAGAAATGTCTGTGTTTATATTCAATGTTACCAGATTATTCTTTTTGTCGAGGGCCAGGGCATTTTCACCTCATGGAAAGATGGATTGGTAAGGAACAGGCTGTACTCTGCTAAGTATGTTTTCAGTAACAGCTAGTAACATCACAAATTCAGGGTCAGAATAAACTATCACAGACTAGACAAGTATTTGTGATGTTAGGAAATGGAGTAGAGTATGCAGATGGACTCATAAGATAATTAGTAAGTGAAAATGAACTTATATCAGTCTTGAAGCAAACTCACTACCTCCTTATCTGTGTGTAGTTTTTTGCATGTGATATTCCTGACTTGGGGAATAGTTGGAAATTTACCAGATTTTCATATTGTTACTTCCTTCTAATCTCTTTATTTCTATAAATTTGGAGATGATATAAAAATATGGCCTATTACTAAGAAATCAAAAGTTATGTATTGTGCCTTTCTAGTCACTTGCTCTTTGTGTCTTCTGGGTAAGTCATTTAAATTTCCTGAACCTCAGTTTTTCTCATCTGTAAAGGGGATATGCCTACTTAGTAAATTGCTATGGGATCAAATGAGATAAATGTATGTGGAAATGCCTTTGACACTCGGAAGTTCTTTATAAATAGAATTCTGTTATGCACAGAGAATGAAAGGGCAGTCTAGAGTAAGTGAAGAACATACCTGCTGCCTTTTCAAAGTCTAACCACTTACCCCCCAAATAGGTACTTGCAAAGGAATGTTTCCTCTTCCAGGCATGCACGCCTCATATCAGTCTTCCTTTACTCATCTTATCACTGCTTCTATTATTTTGGAACCTTAGGACATTAGGTGACAGACACTGTTTTATGGAGCATACTGAAGAACTGTTTGAAAAGTATCGGCTAGGCATGGTGGCTCACGCCTGTCATCCCAGCACTTTGGGAGGCTGAGGCGGGTGGATCACTTGAGGTCAGGAGTTTGAGACCAGCCTGGACAATGTGGTGAAACCCCATCTCTACTAAAAATACAAAAATTAGCTGGGTGTGGTGGCGGGCGCCTGTAATCCCAGCTACTTGTGGGGCTGAGCCAGGAGAATTGCTTGAGCCCAGGAAGTGGAGGTTGTGGTGATCCAAGATCGTGCCACTGCACTCCAACCTGGGCAAAAGAGCAAGACTCTGTCTCAAAAAGAAAAAGAAAAGAAAAGGAAAATTATTGTGGGCTCAAATAAGACTGGGTCAGTTAGTAGAAGCAAATAGAACTCCCCTCTCCTCCCTTCCCCTCCCCTCTCCTTTCTCTTTCCTTCCCTCTCCTTCCCCTGTCCTTTCTCTCTCCTTTCCCTCTCCTCTTCCTTCTTTTTTATTGAGACAGGGTCTTGCTCTGTTACCCAGGCTGTAGTGCAGGGATGTGATCTCTGCTCACTGCAGCCTTGACCTCCCAGGCTCAAGTGATCATCCCACCTCAGCCTCCTGAGTAGCTGGGCCCACAGGTGCATACCACCATGCCCAACTAATTTTTTAAAATTATTTGTAGAGACAGGATCTTGCCGTGTTGCTCAGACTGGTCTCAAACTCCTGGGCTTAAGCAGTCCTCCTGCCTTGGCCTCTCAAAGTGGTGGGATTATAGGTGTGAGCCACGGTGCCCACTCCCTTTTTTCTTTTATGTTTTTTCTGTTTTCCTCTTCCCCCACTTTTTTGAGCATATATACTAAAATTTTGCATATCAGCCCAGATTTTGAGATCAAATTGTGGGTACAAGAATTTGGATCCATTTTATCCAAAAAATGATATTTTACATTTTATTTTCAAGATAGATGAGCTGGTTTATAAACATGTATCTAATCTATTTTTTTTTTTTGGCCTTTGAAGCTTAAGAAGTTGAATAAATATCACTATGCTTATTCTGACCTTGCACCCATTATGTTTGTTGGAATCAGGTCCTCCTGCAGTTTTATTTTCATTTTTACACCTTTTTGATCATCACCACACTGCGAGTTAGTTTAGGACGGTGATTTGAAGCAATTGCTTCTGTTGAGTTTACTTGATGATCTTCCTTGCAGACACGTCCACTTACTTATCATGTAAAAATTATTTACCTATCATACATAACGACACAATCCTTGCCATAAGTGCATGCTAAGTAAGAGATTAGCATGCTGGCATTTAGAAAGGTTCCTCCCCCTTGTTCCTTTAAATGTATTTTGTTGTTCTGTGTGGCATCAAATTTATACTTGTCCTTTTCTTTTAAAGACAAGTTGTGGGAAGGAAAAGACAAGATCATAACATTAAGATTGAATGTGTTTCTCAATCTTCGCATCCTTAACTAGTTTCTTTGATGTATTCGAGTTTGCTATAAAATGTGAGGGGAGGAAGAAAGGCAACCAGTGATAATCAAAGGGGAAGAAAGATCAGGGTAGGACTCGGTGACATTTGAGGGTAAGTTTGGGAGCTGTTGCAAGAGTTATTGCTGCCTGTGACTATTTGGCCTGGCTACATGTCAGAGCCATTAACTTCAGAATAACAGAGGCTTTAAGAGAATGTACTCTTTTAGAAAACTCCTCATTAATTTAATTTATGGAAGGGGAGGGGAGTTGAGGAGCAGGGAGCGGGAAGCATGCGGTTTCACCGGTGCCTAGAGTTTAAGTTAAAAAAGAAACAAAAAAAGTACAAAAGCTGAGAATGCTGGATTATATGAAAGATTTAAAAAAATCCCCTGCTCTGTCTCTGGTGGCCTCAGAGCCTGTCCTGCTTGAGAAGGAATTGCCTCCTCAGTGATGGCTTTTGGAGCTCAACCCCTAACATGGATCCCAGCTGGGAAATCTTCAGCTCTAATTAAGCTTGGCTTGTTTTGATTCTCTTCCAGCCTTGTGGTTGAATAGCTTTGTGTATGCAGCCTTTTGCTAACAAGTTTTCCCACAGTCAGGAAAACCTTCGTCTTCAGTGTCAATCATTACCTGGAAGTCTTTGGCTGCCATCTCACAGGAAGTGGCTAACTTGTCTACATGACTCTCCCTCTTGCCCCCTGGCCTCCCCCAACAGATTTCACCATATTTTGGGAGTGGAAGGAATACAGCTATCGTTACTCATAGAAGAACGGGAAAAGACAGTGTTGTCTGGGTCCATGGAGCCACAAGAACACACCAGGATTGATCATTCCTCTTTCTCTTAATTGTCTTTTGCCTTGCCCTCCCCTGCTAGGATAGAAGAGGTAGGATAAGATGGATGGGGATGGAATTTATTAAATAAATTATTCAAAAATACTTGTTAAACCTATCTACTGTTTGCCATATGCTAAGACCCAAAGGAGGGAAGAGTGTCATCATGCCAAGTCATGGGATGGCAGTGATGGTATTGCTATGGTGCTGTGTATACAAGACCATGAGAGCAAGAGGAAGGAGCCCAGTGTGTGGCCTGGGAGGGTCAAGGGAAACTGGATTCAGGAAATGCCATTTTGGCTAAGAACTATAGAGTCAATACACATTTGCAAGGTTTTAAAGTGAAAATGGAGGCCAGGCATGGTGGCTCACGCTTGTAGTCCCAGCAATTTTTGAGGCCGAGGCGGGCGGATCACCTGAGGTCAGGAGTTCGAGACCAGCCTGGCCAACATAGTGAAACCCTGTCTCTACTAAAAATACAAAAATTAGCCGGACGTGGTGGCACGCATCTGTAATCCCAGCTACTCAGTAGGCTGAGGCAGGAGAATCACTTGGACCCAGGAGGTGGAGGTTGCAGTGAGCCGAGATTGCACCACTGCCTGGGCGACAGAGCGAGACTCTGTCTTAAAAAAACACACACACACAAAAAACTAAAATTGTTCATATGATTGGGCTGGATGCTAGATTGTTTGGGAGATGAAGTTGTACGCTCTGGGGGTGTTTTGGAAACTCATGCAATACTTTCTTTGGTCACAGTGATTGGAAGGCGCTTCTGGCATTGAATGAGCAAAGCCCAGGCAGCAGGTACGATGCAATGTACAAGATAGTTCTGCACATGAAGAATTGTCCTGTGTTTAACACGATTATTCTCAAGCGTCTCAACAGATATTTATGTAAAGTTAATTACAGAACCTGTCTATAAGAGTTTGAGCTAGAACCTAACTTTGTTTTACATATAGGTACAAAGTATTTGTTGCCAGGCTTAATGCACACTGAATTTTCCAGGAATAAAACTACTTTGTCAGTTGGGGAAAGATTGCGCATCGTTTTATGTGGACCTTTACTAAATACTGTTCACAATTTAGAGAAATTGTGTCAGCCATGGCCACACCACTTTGGAAATTTGAATGATCGATAAAACATACTGTGTGGATCTGTGTTTGGAGCTGTATTCACGGTGATTCCATGCACACAGCTACTTCATGGTGTCTTCTGTTGGCAGTTTTGTGCCAATATGTAAAAACAAAAGTTATGTTATTATCAATTCCATTCCCCCCTTTTTCTTCTATACTTAAGATATTATACTGATTTACTTTTAAAAATTATTACGCAGGTAGGTTATATACTACTTACGATTTTTATTTCAAGACAGAAAAGTGTGTTATAAAAAGGGACTTGGGATTGATAGGCTTGAAAACCCCTGCCTAGATCTCGAAGTACCTTGTATACTATTAAAAGGAGCTATGTATTTTATAGTCCTTGAAGTATACCCTTCAAACTATCTACATAAGAGTCACCTGGTGAGCATTTTCAAACTTCAGGGTCCTGGGCCCATTTTAGAACTACTGAATTCCTTGTGGGAGACTTGAATCTATCTTATGTCACCCTCTCCCCAACCTACACGTGACTTTTTTTTTTTTCTTTCTTTCTTTTTTTTTTTTTTGAGACGGAGTCTTGCTCTGTTGCCCAGGCTGGAGTGCAGTTGCATGATCTCGGCTCACTACAGCCTCTGCCTCCCGGGTCAAGCAATTCTCCTGCCTCAGCCTCCCAAGTAGCTGGGATTACAGGTGCCCGCCACTACGCCCAGCTAATTTTTTGTATTTTTAGTAGAGAGGGGGTTTCACCATGTTGGCTAGGCAGGTCTCAAACTCATGACCTCAGGTGATCTGCCCACCTCGGCCTCCCAAAGTGCTGGGATTACAGGTGTGAGCCACCATGCCTGGCCCCCAACCTACACAGGACTCTTATCCCTCTAACATTTGAGAATGCACTGCTATAGAATTTCTCTAAATTTAAGAATTTAGAGAAATGGAGGGATATAAACAGGTTTTAAGGTTAAAAATAATACTCTGGGTTGGGCATGGTGACTTACACTTGTAATCCCAGCACTTTGGGAGGCCAGGACAGGTAGATCACCTGAGGTCAGGAGTTCAAGACCAGCCTGGCCAACATAGTGAAACCCCGTCTCTACTAAAAATACAAAGATTAGCCAGGTGTGGTGGTGCGCATCCATAATCCCAGCTACTTGGGAGGCTGAGGCAGGAGAATTGCTGGAACCTGGGAGGCAGAAATTGCAGTGAGCCCAGATCGATCCACTGCACTCCAGCCTGGGTGACATAGTGAGACCCTGTATCAAAAAAACAAACAAACCCCAAAAAACAAAACTCTAATAGGACTTCAATGGTAGATGGAAGGAGCTTCAGACTCACAGTTGAGAACCGGTGAAGTTTCTATTGTAATGTTCTAGTTGAAAAATTTTGATGAAATACAGCATGGTATGTGGTAGACATGGGTGAGAGAAGTTATTATGAAGTAAAATGATACAATGTAGTGATAGCATTGGCAGAATAAAAGAGAATAAAGCTAGATTAAAGATAACAAAGGATGGTTTTTGCTAGGTAAATGGTGTTATCATTTATCAAGTTGGGGATTTCATTGGGGTGGGTGGCTAGTCTGTGGTTTCTGGTTTGGGCATGCTGACATTTAGTTTCCTGTCATACCTGTCAGTGGAGATTGGGTATATACAGATATGATTTAGTTTAGGAGAACCATCTCCTAGAGATAAGCATTAGGGAATCATTCACATATGGATGGTAGTTGAAGCCATTCAAATGGTAGAGATTTTGCCCAGGGAGTACACAGAATGTCCACATACAGGATGATATATATGTGGGCTTCTTCTCCTTGTTTCTAAGTGAATTTTACTCCCATAATATTCAGGACTCCTTTTAGATATGATAGTTTTAATTATTGAAGATAATGTAGTTCCGTTGTAGCTCCATATCTTTGCTGAATAAGCTTAATTGGGATGTGGTGTGGGAAACCCATACACTTTCAGACATATAGCATGCCACTTGTTTTTTTTTGTTTGGAGACAGAGTCTTGCTCAGTCGCTCAGGCTGGAGTGCAGTGGCATGATCTTGGCTCACTGCAGCCTCCACCTCCAGGGTTCAAGCTATTCTCCCTGTCTCAGCCTCCTGAGTAGCTGGGATTACAGGCGTCCACCACCACCCGGCTAATTTTTGTATTTTTTTAGTAGAGACGGGGTTTCACCATGTTGGCCAGGCTGGTCTTGAACTCCTGACCTCAGGTGATCTGCCCACCTTGACCTCTCAAGGTGTTGGAATTACAGTTGTGAGCCATGGCACCTGGCCAACATCCCTCTTGTTGTTTAGTCCAGCCTCGGGACAAAGGATGTGCCTGGAAAAGACTAATGATATAGTTTATGATACGGTTAAAAAAAAAGGTTATAGTGAAAACAGCTGCCAGTCTACAAAATTAGTGTGGTTTATAGAACTTGCATCTTACAGATCTATTGATTATTAAGACCCCAAACCAATTGGTTTTTACTTGCCTCTGCATTTTTTTCCTTAAAGAATACACATACCCTAGTCTTTGAAGTGTATAATTTATTTGGGTTGGGGTATCTTCTCTAAGGAGATTCTAGCTTCGTTGTCTGATAGTCATTTTCCGTGCAGTTCCTTCCTTTCCAGGCATTCACATTTAAATTGACAAAGACAGGTAAAATTTAACACAAATAGACTGATGTCTTTGTTTAGCCATTGACCTCTGAGTGTCAAATATCACAGGTTCTTTCTGTTTTTGTCTTTCTCTTTCTTTCATTATGACAAGTGGCACTATCAAGTTTTTCCTTACATGAACGCTTCCTATTTCTCTCCTTCCTCTGATAATTTAGAAACAAGTTTGGCAAGTGCTTTTTCGAACTTTCCGTCGTCAATACTGAATGCCTTTAGTTAGAAGTCTATGATTCCAGTCTTCCCTATGGTTTTCACTCTTGGCGATTTCACTTTAATGGTTTAAAATCACAAAGTTCTGGGCTCTGGGGACTGACTTCATAGGGGAGAGTCTACGTATTTAAAAGCATTTTTGCAGTGCCAGCTGTGGCTAATGTTGTGTCAGCATTTCCATCATCATAATTCCCAACATTCGAGGGTTTATAACGAGACTGTTAAATTTCACCACAAAATGAAGCTTGGTATGCAAGAATTGAGCCTGAAGCAAACTTTTTCATTTTAAAAAAAATGTAGTTTGTCTATAAAGCCACTAATAAAGAAGCAAAGCTAGTGATTATTGTTGTTACACTACCCAAACTGCTTGGTTTACTTAATACTTCAGGGACATTAGACTGTAATGTAAGGCAATCACTCCAGGAGTCTGCAGAAAAAACAGAGTATGAATGTGGGTGATATTTAATTTCGGAGGGTGTCTGAACATTAGAAAACATTTTCTTCTCAATTTTAGGATAATTTTCTAGCCTTGTTTATCTAAATGTCCTGTGGGGAAGCAAAAATGTTTGGGGCCCATGATAATGAACTCAGTATAAATATGCAAATGCTTAAAACCTCAAGCAGGTCCCTTTCCTCCAACCTCAGAGCAAGAGAAATGACAGGCATGTCGATGAGGGTGCAGTACAGCATGGGACTGGCCATTGAGCTGCTACAATCTTCATTTAAAAATGTTCTTTCATTCCCATGAAATGTTGATCCTTAAGGACCACTGTAGGGAGAGCAGATACCTAGAGAATTTTTTTTTCCTTGCGGTAATGATGATTGATTTCTGCAGATACCTCCCCATTCTCTGGCTCCGACCTCCCTTGTGACTGGCAGGAAGCATATGCAAGATGCTAATTTGAGTTAAGCACAAAATCTATGGCCTTGCAACAGAAACAGCATGATTCACATATGGATGAACCCATGGCTCTGGCCTCTTTAGTGCTCCATACTTAAATCACCCAAATGACTTAGCCCGCAGGTTAATGGAATGAAAGCTAAAGATAACCTTGTGAGGGTCAAGTCGGCCAGCCTTGTCTTCCCTTTACAGTGTTCAGAGATATTCATTCTATTGTTCTTCCTCTTTTTACCTCATATTGGCTCTTTTAGCCATATTCTCTCCATTTTCATCACCTCTTCTGGGTGTATTTTCTTTTTCTTTCTTTTTTTTTTTCTTTTTTTTGAGATGGGGTCTCACTCTGTCACCCAGGCTGGAGTGCAGTGGTGTGATATCAGTTCACGGCAGCCTACGCCTCCAGGACTCAAGTAATCCTCCCACTTCAGCGTCCCGACTAGCTGAGACCACCACAGGTGAGCGCCACCACTGCCGGCTAATTTTTTGTATTTTGGTAGAGAGGGTTTTACCATGTTGCCCACCCTGGTCTTGAACTCCTGAGCTCAAGTGATCTGCCCACCTCGGCCTCCCAAAGTGCTGGGATTACAGGCGTGTGCCGCCGCGCCTAGCCTTCTGGGTGTATTTTCTTCTTTCCCTTCTTCCTTACTCCAAATAGTCCAGACTGAGGAACTGTTTGTAGAGAGTCTGCTAGGTACTAAGTGAAAAGCTCGGCTTTCACATACATGCACTACAACATTTGAGCGGATGGGTGCAGATTGATAGATAATGAAGTAATATATAATTTGTATATACATATGTGTGTGCATACATACACATATATAATATATATACCTGTATGTATATACATTTATAATCTGACTGCAGACACCCTCAGCAACTCAGTAACAAACAGTTATGCTGTTTAGGTTACAGAGTTGCAAAAAACTGTAATGAGTTAGAAAAAGGTGTTCCTTTTGGCCTCAGGGTGTGTGGTTTGGCAAGCAGGTGAGGGCTGGCTGTGTGTCCCTACTCCCGCCCTGGGTTGGGCATGATTGTGTAGGGGACATCTTGCACAGCCTTATGAGCAGCCCTGAGAATGTCATTGATTGGCATTAATATTTCTTTCAATGTGTCAGTTTTTCTTTTGTTATTCAAAACCGTCACAAATACTTAATGGATAATGAAGTATTGTTAATATAATGTAAGCTTCTTTTATTTTATCTTAATTTACTTTATTTTTGAGACAAGGTCTCTGTTGTCCAGGCTGGAATGTAGTGGTGCCATCATAGCTCACTGCAGCCTCCAACTCCTGGGCTCAAGTGTTCCTCCTGCCTCAGCCTCCTGAGTAGATGGGACTACAGGTGTGCATCACCATGCCTAGCTAATTATTTATTTATTTTTAATTTTTTATAGAGACAGGGTCTTGCTATGTTGCCCAGGTGGATCTAGAGCTCTTGGCCTTAAGCGATCCTCCTACCTTGGCCTCCCAAAGTGCTGGAATTACAGGCATAAACCAAAGCACCTAGCTTCTTTCACTTTATACTTGAGAATGTATTAATATCTGAATTTTTAGACTATTAGAAGAGGCAAATGGTTAGAGGAATTGTTTGTGCAGACAACTGGCTGTTCGTATTACAGTGTGATGATTTGTGGGCAAACATTAGCCAGGCCTCTGAGTGTAACCTAGGATTATTTTTCTCCCCCTCAGTAATTCGGAAGATAACTTTCAAACACAGATATCTTTTTGGTACTGAACAATTAAGTTGTATGAATGCCATGACTAGGTCTTTTAGATTCCTACAGTTTGATGGTTGTTAGTTGAGATTATATGCGTGGATAAATAAGTATTTTAGTAATTATTTTATGTTTTTATGAAATTCACATCCTAGGCTGGGCGCTGTGGCTCAGGCTTGTAATCCCAGCACTTTGGGAGGCCGAGGTGAGTGGATCACCTGAGTTTAGGAGTTTGAGACCAGCCTGGCCAACATGGTGAAACGCCTTCTCTATTAAAAACACAAAAATTAGCCAGGTGTGGTGGCATGCACTTGTAATCCCAGCTACTTGGGAGGCTGAGAGAGGAGAATCGCTTGAACCCGGGAGGCGGAGGTTGCAGTGAGCAAGATCACACCATTGCACTCCAGCCTGGGTGACAAGAGTGAAACTCTGTCTCCAAAAAAAAAAGAAAAAAAAAAAGAAAGAAATTAATATCCTAGTCTTTTCTCCAAATTTAGTGGCTTAACTATAATTAGAGAAAATGTTAGAACCAAAGAGCCCAGATAACAGGGAAACCAGGCTGGCTTTAGGACATTAAATTTATGGACCACTGTATGCATGTTAGGAAATCAGTGGGCTTTTTAACCTGCCTTCACCATGCTGGTCAAAGGACTCACTTTTTTTTTTTTAACCATTTTATTGAGAAAAAAATGTTTTATGTATTTCATGTAGAACTTGATGAATTCGGGGAGAAGTGTATAGCCTTGACAATCAAGGCATAAACTTAACACTTTCAGAAGTTTCCTCTGCTGCTTTTATTGATTTAGTTTTAAATTTCTTTTTGTTTTCTTTTTTTTTTTGAGATGGAGTCTTGCTATGTCACGCAGGCTGGAGTGCAATGGCACGATCTTGGCTCACTACAATTATTTTTAAATTTCTAAAATTTTTTTTACTTTTGTGGTAAGAACATTTAACGTAAGTTCTATTTTCTTAGCAAAATGTTAGGTATAATAAAACATTATTGTTAACTAGAGGCCCTCTTTTGTCCAGAATTTATTCATCTTGCATATAAACACTTTGTACCTTTTGAATCACTCCTCCCCATTTCTCCCTTCTCCAGCAACTATTCTGGAAACCACCTTTCCACTCTTTGGTTCTACCACTTTGAATATTTCAGATTCCTTATAAAAGTGGGATCATGCAATATTTGTGCTTCTGTGTCTGGCTTGTTTCACTCAGCTTAATGTCTTCTAGGTCCATCCATGTTGTTGCAAATGGCAGGCTATCCTTCTTTTCCAGGGTTGAATAATATTCCATTCAAACTCATTTATTTCTGTCTTCCTCCTGTGTGCCAAAAACATAATCCATGATGCTGACATAGCCATGTCCTCCTTTAATCTCAGCCATAATTGATGTTGTAGACGTTCTCCGCTGACACATACGGGTAACGGACTACAAGAGAGAGAATATGAATCTGCTGCTGCCATTATGAGACCTTATTTTTACATGGAAACCAAATCATATTGAGTGAGATGCAAACTGCTTAGATGAAATGTTTATAAGAACCAATTTAGGTCATTATAAACAGAATGAATAACTTGATTATCTCGAAGCATATTGTTTCAGAATAAGAAGTTAACTCTCGAGTTCTGTGTCTTTTTCCTTTGAAAATGATAAAGTAGTTCCTCAGCTCTGTGATTCACTTCCTGTTTTGGGGGACAGGATGTTGGATAAATGGTAAGGCCCAGACATGTCTACTCTTCTAGCTTTGCAAATGGGTCAAATTTCCCTTGTTTATTCAAGGAACCAGGGATAAAGTTGCCTCTTGTCAAACTAGAGGAAACTTCTTAGAACAGAAGGCCATGCTTTAGGGATGTTTTAATCCATATATTCTTTTTATTCTGTGGCCTTGGCTTTACTCTGTTTCTATAATTTTCCCTTTTGGTTTGTCTTCTCTATGTCTTCTTTCTGTAATGACGAGTAGCAGTTGATCATATGTTGTCTATAAGAAGATGAATGATTCACAGTAACTATGCATCTCCCCTATTCCCTTCCTAACAAAATTTTGGAGGCATGCAAAAATGAGTCTTTTAAATGAGATTTAAAACTTTTCAGGCCGGGTGTGGTGGCTTATGCCTGTGATCCCATTACTTTGGGAAGCCGAGGCGGGTGGATCACTTGAGGTCAGGAGTTTGAGACCAGCCTGGCCAACGTGGTGAAACCCCGTCTCCACTAAAAATACAAAAAGTAGCCAAGCGTGGTGGCACATGCCTGTAGTTCCAGCTACTCAGGAGGCTGAGGCAGGAGAATCACTTGAACCTGGGAGGCAGAGGTTTCAGTGAGCCACTGCACTCTAGCCTGGTGAAAGAGAGAGACTCCATCTCAAACAAAACAAAACAAATTTTCTTTCCTAAAGTCTCAAAGCTTTATTCGTTTCCATTGTACATTTCAAATGAACAATGAAACTAATACTTGTATTTGATTTGACTATTGATTTGTCACAAATCCTACTCTTTTCTTGATGGTGAGGATTATAGGAAATTTTACTTGGGCTGGGGGCAGGTAAAGAAAGACAGTTGTTTTTTATGATATTGTTCTAATATGCATATTTCCATATGCATACTTTTATTTTTTTCTTTTCTTTTCTTTTCTTTTTTTGAGATGGAACCTTGCTCTGTTGCCCAGACTGGAATGCAGTGGTGTAATCTCGGCTCACTGCAATCTCCGACTCTTAGGTTCAAGTTTTTCTCCTGCCTCAGCCTCCTGAGTAGCTGGGATTACAGGTGTGCACCACCATGCCCAGCTAATTTTTGTATTTTTAGTAGAGACGGGGTTTCACCATGTTGGCCAGGTTGGTCGCGAACTCTTAACCTCAAGTGATCAGCCCGCCTCAACCTTTCAAAGTGCTGAGATTACAAGCGTGAGCCACCACGCCTGGCCATACTTTCCTTTCCTAAATTTTCCTTCATGAATTTCAGAGGTATACAGGATTCTTCTGCATTCTTCACAAGAGATTACATGAAAAGAAAACATAACATTGGATTGATCTGAATGAAAAAACAAAAGCCTGAGATGAAAAAGAGTAAAAAAGACACTATGCAAGATAGCTTACATACCAACTCCTTGGTATTACAGGTTTAGCATCCCAAAGTGGAAAATCTAAAATGTAAAATGCTTCCAAAATCCAAAACTTTTTGAGCCCTGACGTGATGCTCAAAGGAAATGCTCATGGGAGCGTTGGTTTTTGTTTGTTTGTTTGTTTGTTTTTTTGAGATGGAATTTTACTCTTATCGCCCAGGCTGGGTTGCAATGGCATGATCTTGGCTCACTGCAACCTCTGTCTCCTGGGTTCAAGTGATTCTCCTGCCTCAGCCTCCTGAGTAGCTGAGATTACAGGTTCCCGCCACCACGCCTGGCTAAATTTTTTTGTTTTTTTAGTAGATATGGGGTTTTGCCATGTTGGCCAGGCTGGTCTCGACCTCCGGACCTCAGGTGATCCACCCGCCTCGGCCTCCCAAAGTGGTGGGAGGCCACTGCACCCTGCCTCGTGGGAGCATTTTGGATTTCAAATTTTCTGACTTGGGATCCTCATCTAGTAAATATATAATGCAAATATCCCCAAATCTGAAAAAATCCAAAATCTGAAACACTTCTAGTCCCAAGCATTTCAGATAAGGGATACTCAACCTGTGTTGAAGAAAAAGAGAATCCATAATAAAGATGGCAAAGGAAGCAGATCCTATGATACCTAAACAGAGACAATGAGAGATTTCTGTACTTTTTCTAAATAATAGAATCTTAGCCCTGATTCACGTCTACTGGGTCCAATCACTAGGCAGTTAGTCTCCAAATAGCCTTGTGATTTATGATATAGTCTAAGTGGAATCAAAATTGGAGCCTGGATTCTCCATGCCATTTCTGACTTTTCTGAGTGTGGGTGTGTTGTAAATATGTAGGTTGGATGGGAGTTGAAGATCCTAAGAAATGTAAACAACAGCCCTGTCTTTGAAGAACTGGAGGAAGGCTCAGGGTTATGAGGATGGAACATGGAGTAAGGGGTGTGATTATAATGAGTGAAAGACATCTCTTTGATGGATGGTATTCCACCCAGTGGGTCTCACACCTGGCCATACCTCATCACACCTTTGTTTGCACATACCTGACATCATTGGCAAATCTAGGTCTCTGGATGCTTCCCAACACTGGCACCCTGAGCTGAAGCTAATTCTGTCACCATGATTAGCTGTGTACAGATAACTTATCTATGACAATTAAAAAAAAATCCATGATTGGCTTTTTGCTGTTGCCAGCCAGCCACTGTCTGCAGTTGTTACTTGGCTTGTGTGGAGGGAATATAAAACTTAAAATTATTCTAAAGTAAACTTAATTAGGGAGGGAAATTTGTAGCCAACTTACCACCCTCATATAATGCAACCAAAACCAAATGTAAATGATTTTTGGATGATCCAAATTAGTTCTCCCTTCTGCCAGCTCACATGGAGCACCAAGATTAGAGAGTAATAAGAAGGCCTTCTAATAGGTAGGTTTTGGAACGGATTTCATTTGCATTAGGAAAGAGCATTGGGAAGAGTGCCCTTTAGAAACACTTGCCCACATATTTATTTTTGGATTTATGATACCAGCATACTGCATTTTAATTTGTTCCTTTTTGTTGAGTGCTCAGATTTTTATGTCTGGCTTTTTATTTTGTCTTGTGAATTTGTATAACTTTCAAAATGACAACACCCATTGCTTAGCATAAGGGACAAAAGAAACTCTTTTTTTTTTTCCTCCCCTCTTGTGCCTTTTTAAAATAAGCTATCTAACAAAGACACAATTTTTTCCCTCCCTCTCCTAAGCCCCAGATGACCTAAGGATTTAGAGGTCTGAGGTCAGATTTCTTTCTTCTTTGCTTCACAGACAACTGTCTCTTCTTTATATTGTGATCTTTCTGATTTGTATAGGGACTCGGCAGGTAGAAGAATGTGTGTGTGTGGGTTGTGTGTAAAATATGTACGCTTTCACATGCGGCGGGGGCATCTTTATGCTTTGGCTCAGATGGCGCATATGAAAGAAATTAGGTGATTCTAATTATATAGCCCCCAAATAGTGAGGATCCCAATTCTTCTCCTTCCCTCTTTGAATCTATTTAATAGTTTACCTTTGAACCAAGTTAATTAGGAAAAGGGACAGGCTACAGTCATTTCATTTGGCTGTTTTTGGCATCCAGGAAAGTGTGGGGTGGGGAGCTCATCAGAGGGAAACCAAGGGAAGCTCGTAGACATTGAACTTGCTCTGATCAGATTATTAATTTTCTTCTCCTTGTACGTTGTTAAATCTGTAGAAAAGGAACATCAGCTCAAGATCTGTCGCTCTGGCTCCGGGCCAGCATGCCAAATTCTGTCATCTTTGCAGCATGGCCAAGCATCTTTATTACATGTTATAATTCTGGTTTTTGAGCTTGATCCAGTGATCCTGCTACAGCATCAGATGGTTTGGGATGTGGAAAAAGAAGAGGGCTATATTCATCTGTAGATGAGGTTTGGGGAGAATTGTAAGAGCCAGAAAGGTGGAGTGGTTGTCTAGGGCAGGGACTTTTCATGGATGCTACAGACACCTCCTTTGTGCTGCCTCGAATTTGAAATGCATTATTAATTTCTGTTCAATACAGATCGTTGATGTCAA
Organism: Homo sapiens; assembly: GCF_000001405.40. Taxonomy (NCBI): domain Eukaryota; kingdom Metazoa; phylum Chordata; class Mammalia; order Primates; family Hominidae; genus Homo; species Homo sapiens. The sequence continues at coordinate 21,844,592 of NC_000006.12, forward strand.
ACCAAAAATAAATGTGGGCCCTACTCCTGCTCTGGCCATTACATCTCTCAGCAGCCCAGCAATTAGCACCAACCTTGAGAACAGAGTGCCATCATTGATGTGACAGTTTCGTCCCTATTGTCCTGTTCCTGGGTGCATGGGTGACCCTTGACCTCCATTGGTCTCGGAGTGGGAAACTGAACTTATGAACTGTTCGGGCTGCGCTGGCCTCAGATTAACCTGGGCAAGGTTAACTTTCTCACTCTCTTCTTCAAAAGTGCTTTAGAGGGTGAGGAAGTACTAGGAGTAAATAATAATTTTAAAAAATGGTTGGGAGGGGAAAAACAATTGCATCAATTTCCTGAGTACAGACACCCCTAACCTGCCTTTTGCAAATAATCTCCCTTTTGTCTGCTCTTAGGGGTTTTGCAGATGAAGCCTTGGCTTTGGCTTGTCAATGAGGACTTTTCAGAAGCTCCAGAATGCCTTTAGCGGCTTTGCAGGAAGCGGTGACACAAAGTTCCAGCCAGTCTCCCCCTCCTTCCACTTATTGTTTCAGAATTGTCAGAAAACAGGCTGGGATGAGGAGGAAGAGCTACTGTGAGGGCTTTTTTTTTGTTGTTAGTTTGGCTGCTGAATGAAAGCAAGCACTTTATTTAGAAGTGAGTAGGGAGGGAAATGCAGCTTAGGGTTGACACCCTTCTGGTGCTTATCCATAAATATGAAATGGTGTTAGAACACCAGACACCAGAGAGCTTTCTGATTGGCTGTTGGTGATGTCATCATGTCATTAATACTGTGCTCAGAAAATAAACTGATCCGCCTGTTTTCCTTCTTTCTCTCTTTCTTTCTTTCTTTCTTTCTAGCTGAAATGTATGAAATCCATTTTGTAATCTAAAATGAGGTGCTTCAGTCAGGACATTTCGAAAGAATTATTATGTTTCTCATGTGTTCAGAGTCATTTTGGTATTCACTTGAGCAAAGCAATAGTCACCCACAAGTATTCAGCCTATCTTGTCTTATTGCTTAAAAGTAAAGGCAGACGCTATTCAACACCTGGGTACCAACAGTTGACATTTACCCACATTAAGTGCTAAGGCTGTAGATGAGGATTTCTTCTTGTCGGCCTTTAAACATCCTAGTAAGCCCAGGGCCAACGCTGGCACAGGGGAAGGTGAGGGATGTGGGTGAGTAATAAGGAGTGCTTTCTTTTTTATTTTCTTATAAACTAATTTTGTTTCTCTACCTGTGATAACTCTGCAGTCCAATTTAAACCTGCCTGCTTTTCCACTTAATGCATGCTCATCTGATCTGTTAGCCTTATAATTGTGTTTCAGCAGGAGGAATACACTTGTGGCATGTCCAAGGTGTGTGTGTGTGTGTGTGTGAAAAATCCAATAGCATTCTTGATATGCAGGAGTGAAATTCTCGGGAGGAAAGCCACTGCCAAGCAACACTCTAACCTCTGCATTGATTTTGGATGCCTAGAGGTCTGGAAGATTTGACAGTTCTCCATTCCTACTGCTTCACTCTCATCCAAGAAGGAATACTGTTTCGATTAATCATTGGGAAGCATTTTGGATAGATATAGCTCTGTGTGTTTTCTTTAAATTAAATATAGAACTGTCCTTTTGAGGGAAAGCCGTGATTCTTTATTGTCAGAAAGTTTGGCTAGAATAACCTTCCCTTTTCTTGTAATATTTAACTTTGCTTGTGAGTAACTATAACAATTCACTTCCTTGCATGCCAGTGTCCTCTTGGGTAGAATCTCCTAATAACATGTACAAATGTTATGTAAATCCCCCCTCCCCCACAAGATGTTTATTGAGTGAAAATGCCTCTAAGATTTTATTCCATTACTGTCAAAATGTCCAAGGTTATTTTACGCATGCTGTGGACATATTATTTGGATTAGCAAAATGTCTAGCAAGCAGGTATAACTGATTCTGGCATGCAACTGTAATCTCTTGTTACAGGGAGACAGTGCATTCCTTTTCAAGGTTACCCTCATTTTTTTGCAAGGTTATAAACCATAGATTTAGGAATCACTGGGGTCAAAGGGAAAAGGGAAAGACAATGAGCCCCATTCATCCTTATGAGCCCTAATGAGTATAGAGATAGTATATTTTCCAGGTTAGAGCCCCATCTCTGACAGGCTTTAATTATCTATGAGCTGAAACAAGAAGCAATATAAACATACAAAAGCATTTCAGGAACAGGTTTTTGAAGGAGATGAATCACCCAAGTTGGTGTCCCACTCAGCCCTTTTGCAAGGGGCCAGCTCCCTCCATTCTGCCTGCCACTTGATCACGTGACAGCTGTTTGCAGACTAAAGGAAAGAAACAATCATTCACTAGCAGGAAACCCAATCCCGGGCAGGTGCAGTTTGAGTAACGACTCTAGGCCTGAAGGTCAGAATGGCTGCAAAGACCTAAGCTTTTGCAGATGGTCTGAGTGGGAGGAGCCAGGTTCAATAACCCTTCTGTAGCCCCCAGGTTGGTCCTTCCTCGGGGAGGGTGCTACCACTTCTCCAGATACTGCTGAACTTTTGAACCCAAGTACAGTACGCTATTTAGGATGTTTGTCATTTATAGCTTTTAGATAAAGCAGTAGCGGATTTTAAGGAAACAGTAGACAGATCCATTTTCCTTTTCCTCCAGTGATGTTAGTGATCTAATTAGAAGTCAGTGTTTTAGCAGCTTCCTCTCTATGTGCTTTGGGTTCTTTTTTTCTAAGAGACGCCTATGGACATGAACAAAAGCCGGATGTTGCACTAGGGCTTCTGAACAAGTGCTCTGCATTAGATACGTCTGGAGTTTACACACCACGCTTTCCTCTGTGCAGACCAAATGAGAGCCTGCCGGGTGTTACGACTCCCTGTGTCCATTGTCAAAGCTGTATTTTCACTGCCTTGAAAAGTGCCCTTCTGCCACTTCATTTTATATCCATTACCAGTGGCCACTTTTTCTATTTATATTGCTTGGAACTAATTGAGATTCCAGGTGCACAAGTGTGTCACACGCAAGGGCTTGGGTACTTGGGCAAGTGTAACAATAGTTCAGGAAGAGATGATCAGCAGCCACCCTTTCTGGGTTGAGGAAACCTCCAAAAAAACCGAATAGAAAGTATCAAATACATAAATTTGAAGGGAGAATATATGAGCCTGGCATCTTCTCAGCTGCAACCTGATTTATTGAAAAAAATGGTGATTGGGGGAAAGTATAGAATATTTGCTTGAAGGAATCCACTTCTCTGAATAGCTCCCTCGTTTCTGTGGCTTGGAGACTGAGACTTAGAATTCCACAATTATACTGTATAGATGAGCCTTGTTCTATATTTGGGATGTAATCTCCACACTCAGGAGCTACATATGGCCGTGAGCACCCACTTAAGAGCTAAAAATGTAAGTTACCGCCTACTTTGTCCTGAATTGGAATCATACATAATTGCTCTATGCTTTAAAAAATCTTCCTTTGAGGAAAGAGTTCAAGATCAAATTGTTAGTGGGTAATCTTATATGAAGCCAAGTATCACTAGCTGTTGAAAGAAGCTACATAAATACTTGTTGTTGAACAAATAAAATAAATGAAGGAAGAATTCACATCTCTCATTACTTAATCAGAAAGTAACATGGTGAGTCAGGAAGCTGTAGGCTTATCCTAGAAGTAAATACCCATCATGAAATGGGCAGAGATCTGGAAGCAGGAACCGATGGGGTGGACTCCTAGAACTAATGAAAATGGAAAGTATGCAAAGTCCAGTGGTTTCTAAATTTGGCTGATCATCAGAGTCAGCTTATGAGCTCTTAAAAACAAAAATAGGCTGGGTGCAGTGGCTCATGCTTGTAATCCCAGCATTCTGGGAGGCTGAGGTGGGCGGATTGCTTGAGCTGAGAAGTTCAAGACCAGGCTGGGCAACATGGCAAAACCCTGTCCCAACAGGAAATACAAAAATTAGTTAGTCATGGTGGTGTGCACCTGTAGTCCCAGCTACTTGGGAGGCTGAGGTGGGAGGATTGCTTGAGCTCAGGGACGTAGAGGCTGCGGTGAGCTTTGATTGAGCCACTGCACTCCAGCCTGGGTGACACAGCGAGACCCTGTCTCAAAAAAAAAAAAAAAAAAAAAAAAAAAAAGCTGGTGCAGTGGCTTATGCTTGTAATCCCAGCACTTCTGGAGGTCAAGATAGGAGGATGCTTGAGGCCAGGCGTTCAAGACCAGCCTGGGCAACATAGCATGACCCCCTCTCTGCAAAAAAATTAAAAAACAAGTTAGCTAAATGTGGTGATGTGCACCTGTAATCCTAGCTATTCGGGAGGCTGAGGTGGGAGGATCACTTGAGCCCAGAAGTTTGAGGCTGCAGTGAACGAGACTTTGACTCTAAAAAGCAAATAAACAACCGAAAAACCCCAAAAGACAAAAATAAAAACAAACACAACATCAATTTCCTGGCCTAGACTCCGAAATCTCTTAATGCCCAGCCTTTGTCCACAGATCAGAAATGCCGGGGATGAGAAGGGGATGTGGAGGTCGAGGGCATGAACCAAGGAGGTGGCCAGGCTTTGCCAGCACAGAGCAAAGGAAAGATACCATTTTGGGGGTTTGTTTTTAAATGGATTCCGCAAACATTTTTTTGAGCACAACACATTGTATCACATTTTGTGATGGAAGTATACAAAACAAAACTCACTTCTGCTGACAGGCCCACAGACAGATTTATCTTGAGCAGAATGACAGCTCCACTTGCTCAGTGTATTGTGGCCCTCTGAGTATCATTAGTAGAGGAACGTAGAGGAGGGAGGAATAACAGGTTCGTAGAAGCCTTTGAGGTGATCTTTAAACTGGTGTTCTGAAGGGTGGGTAGGGTTTTTCTAGGAGTACGAAGGCCAGAGGGGAGATTAGGAAGATAGAAAAAAAAAAAAAAGGGCAAAGACAAGGAAGGAAGAAAGAACAAGGTGTGTTTGCAGAATGGTGAAGAAGGCAAAGGATGATTGGAGGTGAGAGCTGAGCCTGTGGCCAGTGCCTTCGTTTGCAAGACTAAGGTATCTGGAGTTCATAGTATGGTTGACCTTGAACAACATGCGGTTGAATGGCAAAGGCCCACTTATAGGCAGATTTTCTTCCTCCTCTGCCATCCCTGAGAAAGCAAGACCACTTCCTCCTCTTCCACCTTCTCTGCCTACTCAATGTGAAGATTTCTAAGTTTCAGTCTCCAAGGATGAAGACCTTTATAATGATGCCCTTTCACTTAAAGAGTAGTAAATATACTTTTTCTTCCTTATGATTTTCTTTTCTCTAGCTTTATTGTAAGAATACAGTCTATAATACATATGAGATACAAAATATGAGTGCATCGACTATTTTATTGGCAAGGCTTCTGGTCAACAGTAGTTAAGTTTTTGGGGAGTCACAGTTATATGTGGGTTTTTGACTGTGCAAGGTGGTCAGTGCCTCTCACCCCCACATTGTTTTTTGTTTGTTTTTGAGACAGAGTTTTGCTCTTGTCACCCAGGCTGGAGTGCAATGGTGCAGTCTCGGTTCACTGCAACCTCTGCCTCCCGGGTTCAAACGATTCTCTTGCCTCAGCCTCCTGAGTAGCTGGGATTACAGGCGCCCACCACCACGCCTGGCTAATTTTTGTATTTTTAGTAGAGACAAGGTTTTGCCATGTTGGCCAGGCTGGTCTGGAACTTCTGACCTCAGGCGATCCACCTGCCTCCGCCTCTCGAAGTGCTGGGATTATAGGTGTGAGTCACCGTGCCTGGCCTACCCCCACATTGTTTAAGGGTCAATTGTATAATCAACCCTGTTCCCCCCAGAAAGATAAGATGAGATGCTTTTAGGATGTTAGCCTTACCACTCTGGAGTGTAAAAGAAACTGGGGGGGTTGCCCTCAGGCTTAAAGGAGCTGTGGACAGGGAGAGGCACGTTGGGTTTTGTCTCTAAACAGAATACAAGCCCTCTGAGGATGGGCAACTTAACTTCCAAAGATTATTCTCATCTCTGCAGCATGTGGTAGGCACTAATACCATTCTTTGGTTAATTAAAAGATGTTTAATATATGCCTCATTAAGCAGAATAATCAGTATCTCTGAGATGCTTATGTGCTTTATTTTTCTCCTTTTAATAAAAACAAAAATTAGAGGGATAAGAAATAATTAGGGGCAGGCTGTTAGCTCTCACTTCATTTTTTTTTCTCCCTTGATGATTCTCTTTCATTTTTTTTCCATAGCTCACATAGCTCACTTTCTCCCTTGACCTAGTCCTCTGCTGATAACATCAAAGTTAGCACAGCTTGCAGACCTAAGTGGGTTTAGAACACAGCTCTCAAGATGGAGCCATGCAGATATGGAAATTGGATTTTAAGCATCTGTGATCTCTGCCCACTTCCTCTTTAACTAACACATGAGACCCCTCACAATCTCTCTAAGATGTAGAATTGTCCATATCTGTAGACTCGAAGTGCTGTGGCTGAGGACTTTTTTTTTTTTTTTTTTTTTTTTCCCAAGGCAGAAGAATTTTTCTTAGTACAGAACAAAATGAAAAGTCTCCCATGTCTACCTCTATCCACACAGACCCGGCAACCATCCGATTTCTCAATTTTTTCCCCACCCTTCCCGCCTCTCTATTCCACAAAACCGCCATTGTCATCATAGCCCATCCCCAATGAGCCGCTGGGCACACCTCCCAGACGGGGTCGTGGCCGGGCAGAGGGGCTCCTCACTTCCCAGTAGGGGCGGCCGGGCAGAAGCGCCCCTCACCTCCCGGATGGGGCGTCTGGCCGGGCAGAGGGGTCCTCACTTCCCAGTAGGGGCGGCCGGCCGGGCGGGGGGCTGACCCCCCCACCTCCCTCCCGGACGGGGCGGCTGGCCGGGCAGAGGGGCTCCTCACTTCCCAGTAGGGGCGGCCGGGCAGAGGCGCCCCTCACCTCCCGGACGGGGCGGCTGGCCAGGCGGGGGGCTGATCCCCCCACCTCCCTCCCGGACGGGGCGGCTGGCCGGGCAGGGGGCTGACCCCCCCACCTCCCTCCCGGATGGGGCGGCTGGCCAGGTGGGGGGCTGACCCCCCCACCTCCCTCCCGGACGGGGCGGCTGGCCGGGCAGAGGGGCTCCTCACTTCCCAGTAGGGGCGGCCGGGCAGAGGTGCCCCTCACCTCCCGGACGGGGCGGCCGGCCGGGCGGGGGGCTGACCCCCCCACCTCCCTCTCCTCACTTCCCAGTAGGGGCGGCCGGGCAGAGGCGCCCCTCACCTCCCGGACGGGGCGGCTGGCCAGGCGGGGGGCTGATCCCTCCACCTCCCTCCCGGACGGGGCGGCTGGCCGGGCAGGGGGCTGACCCCCCCTCCCCCCTCCCGGACGGGGCGGCTGGCCGGGCGGGGGGCTGACCCCCCACCTCCCTCCCGGACTGGGCGGCTGGCCGGGCGGGGGGCTGACCCCCCCACCTCCCTCCTGGACGGGGCGACTGGCCGGGCAGAGGGGCTCCTCACTTACCAGTAGGGGCGGCCGGGCAGAGGAGCCCCTCACCTCCCGGACGGGGCGGCTGGCTGGGCGGGGGGCTGACCCCCCCCCCACCTCCCTCCCGGACGGGGTGGCTGCTGGGCGGAGAGGCTCCTCACTTCCCAGATGGGGTGGCTGCCGGACGGAGGGGCTCCTCACTTCTCAGACGGGGCGGTTGCCAGGCAGAGGGTCTCCTCACTTCTCAGACGGGGCGGCCGGGCAGAGACGCTCCTCACCTCCCAGACAGGGTTGCGGCCCAGCAGAGGCGCTCCTCACATCCCAGACAGGGCGGCGGGGCAGAGGCGCTCCCCACTCAGACGATGGGCGGGTCAGGCAGAGATGCTCCTCACTTCCTAGATGGGATGGCGGCGGGGAAGAGGCGCTCCTCGCTTCCTAGATGGGCTGGCGGCCGGGCAGAGACGCTCCTCACTTTCCAGACTGGGCAGCCAGGCAGAGGGGCTCCTCACCTCCCAGACGATGGGCGGCCAGGCAGAGACGCTCCGGCTGAGGACTTTCTTTGTGCTTATTTTTATGGCTGGTTTATTTGCATCGTTGCAGAATATTCATAAATCAGAAAAGAATTTTTTTTCTTTCTCCTTTAAGGATACCAAATCCAGGTGGGAAGTAATGATCTTGGTGAATTCTAGCACTTGTCAATTTGAGAGTGTTCAGGGAAAACAAATGAAAGAGAAAGGATGAATTTGTTTGTATGCTATCGTTCACTAATTCAAAGCTGCAGACATTTCTTTCTTACTATACTTTTGAAGTTAAGGATTGGAACTGAATAATAGACAGCCTTCCAACATGAAACATGACCAAGCTTGAGGGATTTTATTGGGGTTTTTGATATTGCATTGTTTTCTAGTTTCCCTTTGTCTTTGATCAACTTATTCCGATGACAAGAATTTGGTCATGTTATTGCTTTTCTCTTTCCCCAAAGCTTGTCTTATGTCATGGGAATTCTTTCTCTTTTTTCTTTTCTCAGTAATTTTGTTGATTGCAAATAAATAAACTAAGTATTTATCTAGACTTAGTTTAAATATACCAGTCAGTTGGAAGTCTGCTTTTATTTTTCCTTCAAGTATTTTCAGTTTTCTATTTAAATGTGTTCATAGTAAAGAATTTTAAATTCTAAATTATATAAAACCCATTCATCCTGAATATTGGGCTAAGGCTTATCTTTGCTTCGTAAACCTTTCTCAGTGCTGCAAATTAGGAGCTAAGTAATACTGTCCTAGTGGTGGTGGTGGTGGTGGTGGTCGTGGTGGTGGTGGTGGTGGTGGTGGTGTGTTAAAAATCCTGGAGTATGAACTGTTTTCAAGTGTCTTCAAGTACTTCAGAAGTCTCCATTTTTATAGTAGCACTTGATATGGTAATTATATATGATTCTCCTGTGTTCATTAAAATAGGAGCCTAGGGCTTCTCTGACAATTTGTTAGCTTCCCATAGGTTGCAAGTAATAAAATTGCCTTGCTCTAAAAATCTGTAATTCATTGCTTTCACTAATTCAGATGGGCTTTCTCTCCATTCTTTTTCCTGGTAGATAATGAGAGGATTTTTTTTTTCTCATTCCTCTGAGAATATGAGGGTAGTCCAGCTATGTTAGGAAACAGAAGATATGGGTTATCTTGGAAGGTGAATGTGGCTATTTTTATTGCTTTGGTCTTAAAGGACCTGTAATTTCAAAAGCATGATAATTCCCTACCTCTTAGTTCCTGCAGTTAACTCCTAGGCCCGTATTTCCAGAAAGGATGTATATTTTTTTCCTGAAACCAAAATAAAAGTTTCTATCATCTCAATAAGGCAGCTTTTTAAAACGTGGAAAAAAAGTTTAAAAACAAATCCGCCTAATAGCCAAAAGGTAGAACCAACCCAGAAGTCCATCCATAGATGAATGGATAAACAAAATGTTGTATATACACACAATGGGAGATTATTCAGCTTTAAAAGATGGAAATTATGACACATGCTACAACATGGATGGATCTGAGGACACTGTGCTAACTCAGATAAGCCAGACACAGAGGGACAGATATGGTATGATCTCAAAAATATGAAATATTTCGAATATGCAAATTCATAGAAACGGAAAGTAGCTTAGAGCTTACCTGGAGCAGGGGTGGAGGAATGGAGTTACTGTTTAATGGGTACAGAGTTTGTTTTGCAAATTCAAGAGTTCTGTGGCAGGCTGCTGGTGATAGAAAAACAATGTGAACAAATGTGCTTAATGCCACTGAATTGTATACTTAAAAATGGCTAAAATATGGCGTGTGCCTGTAATCCTATCTACTAGGGAGGCTGAGGCAGGAGAATTGCTTGAACCTGGGAGGTGGAGGTTGCATGAGCCGAGATTGTGCCACCACACTATAGTGGGAGACTGTGTCTCAAAAAAAAAAAAAAAGGCTGAAATGGTAAATTTTATGTTATATATATATATATATATATATATATATATATACACACACACACACACACCCACCCACAATTAAATTTTTTTTTTTTTTTTGAGATGGAGTCTCACTCTGTCACCAGGCTGGAGTGCAGTGGCATGATCTCAGCTCACTGCTACCTCCGCCTCCCGGGTTCAAGCGATTCTCCTGCCTCAGCCTCCTGAGTAGCTGGGACTACAGGCGCCCACCACCACGCCTGGCTAATTTTTGTATTTTTAGTAGAGACGGGGTTTCACCATGTTGGTCAGGCTGGTCTCGAACTCCTGACCTCATGATCTGCCCGCTTAGGCCTCCCAAAGTGCTGGGATTACAGGCGTGAGCCACTGCGCCCGGCACACAATTAAAATTTTAAAGAAATCTTCAGGGAAAGGGAGTACTACTAATACTAAGTTTTTAGAACTTACAAGTTATATAATACAAATTGGTCATTTGAGCTGATTTTCAATATGCTGACACATGCAATATAAATTGCAAATATGTATGTCACTACCACAACATCTAAAAGAAGTCAAAGATGTACACAATGTTTATGACAAATAAAACTATTGCATGTAATGTCAGAAAAATATCCCCCAAAAAAAACCCAATTAGATTTGCTAATTTGTGGTATTTGTGTGTCTCCTGTACAGACATTTTCTCATTTGGATTCCTGACACTTGGTAAATAAAATTACTATTATTGTTCTCTTGTTTCTTTGAATTTGGAATTCCTGGAACACAGGAAAATTTGATACACGTCCTAAAAGAAAAAGAGGAGAACAAACTGAGTGCTACTTAATATGGGGGCAGCACAGTGGCTCACACCAATAATTCCAGTGCTTTGGGAGGCTGAGGCTGGAGGATTGCTTGAGGCCAGGAGTTCCAGACCGGCCTGGGCAACATAGCAAGATCCCATCTCTACCAAAAAAATAAAAATTAGCCAGGGTGGTGGCATGAGCCTGTAGTTCTAGCTACTTAAGTAGGTTGAGGCGGGAGGATTGCTTGAGCCCAGGAGTTTGAGGCTGCAGTGAGCTATGATTTCTTCACTGCACTCTAGTCTAGGTGACAGAGTGAGACCCTGTCTCTAAAAAAAGAAAAATATAAGTAAATAAAGTGAGTATGCATGTCTGAAATTTGTTTACCTGAATGTTCTGATTTAGTGGGTCTGGCGTGGGGCCTGAGAGTCTGCTGTGCTCACAAGCTTCACCTGAATCCCTACTTCGGAGGTCCTGGGAAGGCTTTGGATGGTTCTGCTTTCATCACTGCTAGTTTAGGATCCACGCTAAATCACGCTGGTTACTTACCATGAATCAGTTTTCTGGCTTTCGTGATATTGTTGCTGCTGTCATCTCAGTCTTCTTGTCCTTGTAGATTTCTGCATTCTGAGAAACTCCTTTAGTTTTATTTTAGTGGAGTATTTTGATAGGGCGAAATGAAGGGAACTGAGGTGGCACTCATTTTTAAAAGGAAGTTCCCAATTCTGTTTTCACTTTTTTTCTGGCTAAGTGCTCATTGTTGGGGGAGGGGAGAACACTGACTAATTTAGCAGAATCAGCAGCATGTATCAGCATTCCCCTCTGACCTCAAGTTTATTTGAATCAATGTTGATTGAGCGCTAAGTATGTGCTGGGCATTGTGCTTATCCTTGATGGTTGGTAGATATGGTCCCTGCTATAATGAAACTAGTGCTATATGCTTTAACCCAAAAAAGGAGGGTGGGGCACACAGATGACACAATCTTGACGGAGCATGTTCTTACAGTCTGTTGTATGTGACAGTTGTGAAAGCTGCTTCCTTAGACCCCACCCCCACTGTCTCACTCGGCAATTTCAGTCTCATCCCCAGATTGTTCTCCTTTATCTGTTTTTATGATTTCTACCCCTTTGCTATCCCGGTTGAAGTGGAAAGTTTTAAGCCATAGAATATGCTTGTTTCTGTGAAGGGTCTTTCTAAATTGTGTCCATGCCACTACATCATTCTTACTTCAGACAGAATAATTGCTTTCTAATTTGGCAGAGTTAGGGGAAATATAAACATGCCCTTATTAGCATTGTGTGGAAGAAGAATTCTGACATGGCCCCCATGATTCACTCCCAGACCCGTGTTGCATACACACCCTGAGTAATCCCTGGAACTATGTCTGTGATGAATTTACTCCCTTGACTAGTTATGTTCTATGGTATAATTGACCTTAAGATCTGGAGAATATCCAGGTGAGTCTGACTTAATCACACCAGCCCTTTAAAAGCAGAGAGTTTTGTCTTGCTGCTTGAGGAAAGAGAAGCTGGAGATTCTTAGCATGAGGAAGATTCAAATGCACCTTTGTGAGCTGAAGATGGAGGGGGCTGTGTGGCAAGGAATGCCGGCAGCCCCAAGGAGCTGACAGCCAGCAAGGAAGTGGGGATGTCAGTCCTACAACTGCAAGGAACTGGATTCTATTAATGACAAGAATGAGCTTTTAAGGGGCTTTTTCCTCTAGAGGCTTTAGATGAGAACTCAGTCCAACACCTAGATTTCAGCCTTGTGACACACTGAGCAGAGAACCCAGTCATGATGGGCTGGGCTTCTGACTTACGAAACTGTGAGCTAGTAGATGCCTGTTGCCTAAGCCACTAAGTTTGTGGTAATTTGTTATGCACCAATAAAAAACTAATATACATATTAGTGTGCAAATGCATTTGAAAAAGAGTCTACAAGTACATTCGAAGAAGACTGTAGAAGGCTTGCCTGTGAAAAACCAAGCTAATGCTGCTTAGCCAGCTGGGCAAAGAAAGTCTAGCTACCTTACACATAATAGGAATGTAAAATGTCATCGATACATAGGAAGTATCAAACCATGGAAAGGGCATAGATTTAGAGAGAAGAAATATGAGCAAGTCTTGGCTCTCTTACTTCCTAGCCAGGGGAGGCCATTCCTCTGAATCTCACCTATAAAATGAAGGGGTTGACCAGATGCATCTCATCACAATGTAACCCCTGGTTTTATTTAGCAAGCGATGTACTCATTTCCATAACTTTCTGTGGTTTAGCCTAGCCCTGACCCACTGGGTATAGGATAAGGGTTGTTGTCTGATGGATGTCATTTTTGGGTAGTTTTTTTAAAAGCAGCTTAAAATTTTATGGGTTTTTAAGGATCAGTCCAAAATATTCCTGTCTCAGTACAATAATCTGATATTTGCATCAAAAAGCTACCGCAAAATATATTACTTGGGGCTGAGGCAGGTGGATCACTTGAGGTCAGGAGTTTGTGACCCCAGCCTGGCCAACATGGTGAAACCCCGTCTCCGTTAAAATTACTAAAATGCCGGCGTGGTGGCTCACGCCTATAATCCTAGCACTTTGGGAGGCTGAGGCAGGCAGATTACCTGAGGTCAGGAATTCAAGACCAGCCTGGCCAACATGGTGAAACCCCATCTCTACTAAAAAAAAAAAAAATACAAAAAATTAGCCTGGTGCAGTGGCGTGCGCCTGTAATCACAGCTACTCGGGAGGCTGAGGCAGGAGAATTGCTTGAACCCAGGAGGCAGAGGTTGCAGCGAGCCGAGATCGTGTCACTGCATTCCAGCCTGGACGACAAGAGCGAAACTGCATCTCAAAAACAAAAAACAAAAAACATGCACCTAGAAATTGATCTTTAAAAATCTGTTTTTGAAACTCAGGGTGATTCTGACTAGAAGCATTTCTCTGCCTGGAACACCTGCTCATCAGAACTCATTCTTAGTGTGCTTCCACAGTGTTTTGGGGGTGGGCACATAGCCCATTCTTGTGCATCACTGTGCGTTGAGTCTGGTCTGTTGAACTTAGAATTATGTTTAAAAATCTGTCTGTGTGTCTAAGTACTGGTGTTTTACAAGAAGTGGTTGCATGGAGCATCTGTGTTGCTAGTCTTTTTCCTAGGAAATGATTCTTCTCTGAGCTTAAGGATCTTGTTCACACTGCAAAATAAAAATCTGTAGAAAATTAAGGACACTCAAGTTATAATATTTCAGGGATATAATGATATTTCAATGGGAAAATGCTAATTATGGGGAGCTTGCTTTCCCCCAACACCTGGAGCTTCTTAACCTGCTACCAACTAGCTGCTGATTTTCATAAATAGGACTGTACGAGGGGAAAAAATCCCTCATCAACTCAGCCACCAGGAAGATGCTGGAAAGTGTCTGTCAGTTGTTTAAAAGGGAGAAAAGGAATACCTCAGCCGCCTCCCAGGATGCGTGAAGCCTCCAGGAATATCAGCCAACCTGGGCTTTCCGCATGGAAAACAAAGCTGCCTGAATGGGTATGTTTTAAGACTATAACTTCTGAGTTGCTCTCCTGGATATTTTCAAACACATCTTAAAAAGGCAGGTGGACTTAGTGGCTCACACCTGTAATTTCAACACTTTGGGAGGCTGAGGTGGGAGGATCGCTTGAAGCTAGGAGTTCGAGGTGCGGTGAACTATGATTGTGCCTCAGCACTCCAGCCTGGGCGACAGAGTGAGATCCTGATTCTAAAAAAAACAAAAACCAAAAAAAGGCCAGAGGCGGAAATGCCTCACTGTTGTGGTTCATGATTCCATCACAGACATTAATGAAACCTTCTATCCACCCAAGGGGCACACCACTGTTTCCCCCTCCATCACTTTTAATTTTGCCCCAACGTTGCCAGCCCTCACTTGACATCTGGCTTGTGAGGATGACTTCTGTGGAGCTAGCTATTGTTTCTTCCGTCATTTTTAAACAATACTAGAGGACAGTGGGGAGGGGAGAGGGAATCACAGCTCCCACACAAGCAGATGCCTATTTGAGAGTGTGCAAAAGCAGTGTGACATTCTGGAAATAGTAGTCTCTTTTCACTTCCTTGCCCATTCTTCTCCATCCATACAAATGACGTATTTTCTGACATTGGTTCAGGGTTTGAAACCTCAGGCTTTCAGAGTCTGCCCACATTTTTGAGAATTCTGTCTTAATGAATGTATGCCGTGAAAAGCATTAACCATTACTTTCATTCTGTTCTAGTGAAACCGCCCAATGCTCTGCGCTTGTACAAAATCCTTTGGACTTTTAATTGGGCGATAACTTTGCAAGTGGTTAAGCACTATACAAATTAAACTTCAGTCATTCAGCAATGTTATTGAACACTTATATCTTCCCTTAATTTCCTTACTCTTCATATCTATGTTTTATGAAATTGAGGGCAGCACAGGTTAGCAAAAGTGGTTTGATCTTAGAATGCTTTGGTATTTAATTCTGTGCAGAGTTTCTGGTAATTCACTCTCACCAGCTTAGCCATGTAATGCCACAACTCCATAGATGGTGGTTGGGCACCATGGGTTTAGGCACCACCTCCTCTCATTTCTGTTTGATGTTTTCAAGTGAAGTTAATTTACAGTAGGATATAGAAAGGTTAATGATTTGGGCAGAGAACTTGCTTTCCCTCTACCATATAATTGTGATTTTGACTCTACTTTTTGTTTTGTGTGTGTGTGTGTGTGTGTGTGTGACGAAGTCTCTGTTGCCCTCGTTGGAGTGTGGTGGCGTTATCTCGGCTCACTGCAACCTCCACCTCCCAGGTTCAAGCGATTCTCCTGCCTCAGCTTCCCTAATAGCTGGGACTACAGGCATATGCCACCACACCTGGCTACTTTATGTAGTTTTAGTAAAGACAGGGTTTTACCATGTTGGCCAGGCTGGTCTTGAACTCCTGACCTCAAGTGATCTGCCCACCTCAGCCTCCCAAAGCGCTGGGATTACGTGCCTGGCTTGATTTTGACTCTGTTGAAGTCAAAGACAAATGATCCAGCAGAGACAGTATAAGGTCTTATCCTGATTCTCAAATTGTGTGGAAGACAAATATGACTTAAAAATGACATTAAGACAAAAGAGTAAGTAGAGGCTGAGAAATGGGATTGGATGAGGCATGTACTCCATGTGGAATGCCTATTCAGTTAATTGAAGGGTGAAAATCTTGCTTTGTAAAACAAAGTGCTATAAAAATGGATACCTGGAGACCATATCCTACTTCTCCCTGCAATTTTCGAATATTAATCTGAAAGGGAGAAATAAATGACCCAAAAGGGTCTTGGGGTAGAGAACCATGCTCTAGACGTTTCTTGTTGGTCATGTCTCCATCTCAGCAGGAGGATGAGTGGTGTCCTGCACCCATGCAAGACTTTTAAGTTCTGGCCAGGCGCAGTGGCTCATGCCTATAATCCCATCACTTTGGGAGGCCGAGGCGGGTGGATCACATGAAGTCAGGAGTTGGAGACCAGCCTGGACAACATGGTGAAATTCCGTCTCTACTAAAAATACAAAAATTAGCCGGGCACAGTGGCGGGCAGCTATAGTCCCAGCTACTCAGGAGGCTGAGGCAGGAGAATCACTTGAACCTGGGAGGCGGAGGTTGCAGTGAGCTGAGATTGCGCCATCACACTCCAGCTTGGGCAACAGAGTGAGACTCCGTCTCAAAAAAAGAGAAGATTTTTAAGTTCCTAAGCTGCTGCTTGAGGTCTGAAGCCTCAAATGATGCAGCTAATGAGTAGGTCAACATATTCCTTTTCTTCCCCTTATAAATGGAGTAATACATTTAAAATGTAGAGGCTGGTTGCCAGCAGTGGCTTAGGTCTGTGAGGTCCAGGGTGACGAAGTGCACATGTGTTGATTAAGTTTCAATCCTCTGCCTCTAGAAAGGCCTCGTCCTTCAGCCTGGTGTCATGGATGGCGTGTCCATGGCCTCTTCTGCCTGGATGGAGGTCCCATGATCTCCATGCTGCCAGCTCCTATCCCATGGCCATGCTTGGGGGCTCCCTTTGACATCTTCAGAGGACCCTGAGAACTTTTCCTGACGCCTCCGTCTCCCAATCTGTCTTAGTCTGTTCCTGCTGCTGCAACAGGAAACCTCAGACTGGGTAATTTTTAAACAACAGACATTTATTTCTCATCATTTTAGAGGCAGGGAAGTCCAAGATCAAGGCATCAGCAAATTCACTTGTCTGTTGAGGACTCAGCCTCCGCTTCTAAAATGGTGCCTTGTTGCTGTGTCCTTGCATGTCGAAGGCAGGAGGGCAAAAGGGGATGATTGTGTTGGCTGTGTCCTCACATGGTGGAAGAGATGGAAGAGGGAGGCAGCTCTCCTTTTTTTTTTTTTTTTTTTTTTTTTGAGACACAGTTTCGCTCTTGTTGCCCAGGCTGGAGTGCAATGGCGTAATCTTGGCTCACCACAACCTCCACCTCCTGGGTTGAAGTGATTCTCCTGCCTCAGCCTCCCGAGTAGCTGGGATTACAGGCACCCGCCACCATAGCCAGCTAATTTTGTATTTTTTTAGTAGAGATGGGGTTTCTCCATATTGGTGAGGTTGGTCTCGAACTCCTGACCTCAGGTAATCTGCCCACCTCAGCCTCCCAAAGTGCTGGGATTACAGTCGTGAGCCACTGTGCCTGGCCTGAAGCCTCTTTTATAAAGCCATTAATCCCATTAATGATGGTGGCGCCCCCATGGCCTATTACCTAACAAGGGTCTTGCTTCTTAATACATTACATCACCTTGGAGGTTAATTTCCAGCGCGTGAATTTTGGAGGAAGACATACGTCCAAACCATAGCAGTATCTCATTATGCTTTGAGTCTCTCTTTGCTTCTGGCCAAGGCGTTTCAGTTTCTTCTTTCTTGCTTCAGAGATGAATAGTCTTCCTGGGCCCAGCGCTGCAGTGGTCTCCCTTTTCCTGTGGTGCCTTGTTTTTTTTGTTTTGTTTTGTTTTGTTTTTGTTTTTGAGACGGAGTTTCACTCTTGTTGCCCAGGCTGGAGTGCAATGGCATGATCTTGGCTCACTGCAACCTCCACCTCCAGAGTTCGAGCAATTCTCCTGCTTCAGCCTCCCAGGTAGCTGGGATTACAGATGCCCGCCACCACACCTGGCTAATTTTTTGTATTTTTAGTAGAAACAGGGTTACACCATGTTAGCCAGGCTGGTCTTGAACTCCTGACTTCAGGTGATCTGCCCGCCTCAGCCTCCCAAAGTGCTGGGATTACAGATGTGAGCCACCGTGCTCGGCCGGTGCCTTCTTTTTGTGTTTAAATAGCTCAGGTCTTATTTTGCCCCTTCCTCTCCTCCTCCCTACTTTCCTTCTCTTACTGCCTATGATCAGGTAGCAGGAAAGGTGGGTGCTTTCATGTGGACTGTCAGGTTGATGGACTCTTGGGAGTCAAGTCAAGGCCTTGTCTAACTCATCTTCCCTCATCTTAATTTCCTTGTTTTCGACTGGGTGCAGTGGCTCACCCCTGTAATCCCAGGACTTTGGGAGGCCGAGGCAGGTGGATCACAAGGTCAGGAGTTCAAGACCAGCCTGGCCAACATGGTGAAACCCCATCTCTACTAAAAAAAAAAAATACAAAAATTAGCTGGGCATGGTGGCATGTGCCAGTAATCCCAGCTGCTTGGGAGGCTGACGCAGGAGAATCACTTGAACCTGGGAGGCGAAGGTTGTAGTGAGCCGAGATTGTGCTACTGCACTCCATCCTGGGCAACAGAGCAAGACTCTGTCTCAAAAAAAAAAAAAAAAAATTCCTTGTTTTCTTGCATCAAAATTTAAGAACACAAATCGTAAAATGTGGAAGGTCTGTGGGACAGTAGGGGTAAATTTCCACTAGAGTAGAAGTCAGAAGCCTGGCCTCAAGTGCCCTCTCTGCTATTTTCTAGTTGGAAAACCTTTGACAAGTGAGTTAACCTTTTTTGAGCTTCAATTTCCTCATTTTAAAAATAGACATCGTATTGATCTTATCTATAGGGCCACTAAAAAAATCAACTGGGATAAGGTATACCTACAAACTTTGCAAATTGGCTGGGCATGGTAGCTCAAGCCTGTAATCCCAACAATTTGGGAAGCCAAGGCGGGTGGATTGCCTGACCTCAGGAGTTTGAGACCAGCCTGGACAACATGGCAAAACTCCGTCTCTACACAAAATACAAAAATTAGCTGGGCCTGGTGGTGCACGCTTGTAGTCCTAGCTACTTGAGGGGGTGAAGGCGGGGGGATCGCTTGAGCGCAGGAGGTTGAGGCTGCAGGGAGCTGTGATTGCACCACTGCACTCCAGCCTGGGTGTTAGCAAGACCCTGTCTCAAACAAACAAACAAACAAACAAAAAATTTATAGATAAATGAAAACAAGAAAAAGCTTTGCAAGTTCTAGAAAGAGCGAGTAACCTGTTTCAGGCAATATGCTAAGCACCGTAGGACAATAGTGAGAACAGTGCAGGAAGCTGGGCGCGGTGGCTCACGCCTGTAATCCCAGCACTTTGGGTGGCCAAGCCGGGGGATCACTTGAGGTCAGGAGTTCGAGACCAGCCTGGCCAACATGGTGAAACCCCATCTCTACTAAAAATACAAAAATTAGCCGGGCGTGGTGGTGCATGCCTGTAATCCTGCCTATAATTTTAGTTATTTGGGAGATTGAGGTGGGGGAATTGCTTGAACTCAGGAGTTGGAGGTTGCAGTGAGTAGAGGTAGCACCATTTCACTCCAGCATGGGCAATAAGAGAGAAACAACCTCTCAAAAAAAAAAAAAGTTAAAAAAAAAAAAGAAAACAGTGCAGGATTAAAAGTGGGAAGACTGGTTTGAATCCCAAACATGGCATTTCCTAGCTGTGTGACTTTGGTAAATTACTTAATCACTTTGAAGTTTATTTTCATCATTTCTAAAATAGGGACAATAACGTGAGGTAAAATGTAATGCTATTGCTAGATATCAAAAATTACCATGTGTCATACAAATGTTAGCTGTTTCATTGTTACTCTCCAAAATTATTTAGTGTAGTGATACAGAGACTAATTTTTGGATATATTTAAAAGTACCATACTGTTAGAATCCTGGGAAATGAAGGAGTATTTCTTGTGATCCACGTTGCAACCTCTTTTGGAATCTAGACATGAATGTAAGGAGCCTGGCCAAGTTTCTTTATCTTCCACATAAAATAAAGTTCACTTGATTAATTAAGTGCATTGTTTTATCTTTTTTTTTTTTTTCAGGATCTTGAGATACAAGAAAAGTTTTCTATCTCGTATTTGGCAAACCTAATTCACTAACTGTGGTGTAACTTTTAAAACCTTTGGTATTTTAATGTTTATATTTTTAAAAGGGAGGTAAAAAAATTTGTCTTACTAGGTGGGATGGCCGTAAGGTAAATTGAGATAAATTAAGGATAGATTTTGGAAACCTGAAAGCTAACATGTTTTACTGCCATCTTTTCAATATATTTTGAAACAAATATAAAGCTTTTGTCCAAAAGTGCTTTGTTTAGGACAGGCTTAAAATTACTAAAAAACTAAAATGAATTAGGTTCTTTCATTATTTAAAATTATTTCAATTTAAAGGTTTGTTTCATTAAAGTAGCCTTGACTTTCACAGTTCAAAATAATGTTAATATAAAATATAGTTGAAATAATCTTTCTAAATAACAGAAACAGAGACATTAACAAAGACACGCAATTTTTTTTTTTTTTTTTTTTTTTTTTTTTTTTTTTTTTTTGAGACAAGGTTTCCTTCTGTCACCCAGGCTGGAGGGCAGTGGCGCGATCTCAGCTCACTGCAACCTCCGCCTCCTGGGTTCAAGCGATTCTATTGCCTCAGCCTCCCTAGCAGCTGGGACTACAGGTGCACGCCACTATGCCCGGTGAATTTTTGTATTTTTAGTAGAGACAGGGTTTCACCATATTGGCCAGGCTGGTCTCGAATTCCTGACCTTGTGATCCACCTGCCTTGGCCTCCCAAGGTGCTGGGATTACAGGCGTGAGCAACCGTGCCTGGCCAAAACCACGCAATTTTAAGGAGTACTCAGACATGCCAGTGTATCACAAATCAAACAGATACCAAATAAGAATGCTAAGGATTTGATCAATGTAATTAATAAGTAGAATTAAGAGATACATTGTATTTTGCATGCCACTGAGAATGGAACCTTTCAAATGCACAAGACATATTTCCAAGAGTTCATCATATCTTTGTTTCCATTATTTTTAAATGTCTGGATAAATTGGTGACTCTTTACCATTAAGTTTAAAATAGTTGAGTTCTACTCTCCTACTCTTCTATTCTTAGAATAGATGTGTAGGGCTCCAGCTAAAACAAGAGGCTTTGAACAGCCGGCTGTGGTGGCTCATGCCTGTAATCCCAGCACTTCGGGAGCCCGAGATGAGCAGATCACTTGAGGTCAGGAGTTAGAGACCAGCCTGGCCAACATGGTGAAACCCCGTCTCTACTAAAAATACAAAATTTAGCCAGGTGTGGTGGCAGGCACCTGTAATCCCCGCTACTAGGGAGGCTGAGGCAAGAGAATCGCATGAACCCGGGAGGCGGAGGTTGCAGTGAGCCAAGATCATGCCACTGCACTTCAGCCTGGGCAACAGAGCAAGACTGTCTCAAAAAATAAAATAAAAAATAAATAAATAAATAAAAACAAGAAGCTTTGAATACTTCTTCAAGTCTAATGAGACTGAACTTTTGCCACCAGTTACCACCCCTACCCCCACCCCCAGCCTTTTCTAGTCTGCATAGAACTTTGGGGAAGGGTTGAGGAGGAGAAGGTCTCTTCAGCTTTATAGAGGACATGAGAGAGACAATTCCCAGAGACACTTGCCATGAGGATTGGGGTGCCTGCAGGAAGACAGCATTAGCATTGGATTTTCTGGTTGAGTGACTGCTCGGGCTGAGTTGCCAACCTGCCCCTGTGCCTATCTGGGTTGGGAGGAGAGAATGGAGAAGAACAGCAGGAAGAAGGTTGCCAATGGAGCAGCCCACATATCTCCCTTTCAGTTTGTCAAGGATATGCATGGTCTCCAAGGGTGAAATGGACACTGGGAATGGTGGTTGGTCCTGAGCCATCTTGCTAGAACTTTCCCTAAGTGGCTGGCTTTTGATAATGGGAGCCAAGGCGTGGGTGGAGAAGGTTGAGCCAGACCTATATCAGGGAAGCTGTGCAGTGAGGAGCTCCCATAAGACCCTCAGAGGAACTCACATCCCAGCCGGCATTATCCAGAGACACGATCGTGGCCACTTATGCAGGGAGATATTTGCCTTTCTCTCTCTACCAGTTCCTCATGGGAGGAGGATGCGCTGGAGGCCGGGGAACGAGAAAGAAATGTGTAAAAGGCTATAACCCAGCCCTTCCTGTTTAGAATCCAAGTAACAGCTTTGCCTGACCAAGGCAGGAACTTACATAAAACCAAAATTGAATTTGAGAATAGAAATGTAAATTGATCAGGCTGGGCATGGTGGCTCACGCCTGTAATCCCAGCACTTTGGGAGGCTAAGGTGGTTGGACCACCTGAGTTCGGGAATTTGAGACCAGCCTGACCAACATGGAGAAACCCTGTCTCTACTAAAAATACAAAATTAGCTGGGCGTGGTGGTGGATGCCTGTAATCCCAGCTACTCAGGAGGCTGAGGCAGGAGAATCGCTTGAACCTGGGAGGCGGAGGTTGCAGTGAGCTGAGATCGCGCCATTGCACTCCAGCCTGGGTGACAAAAGTGAAACTCCATCTGAAAAAAAAAAAAAAAAGTAAACTGATCAAGAATATAATCACCTAAAGTATGACCCCCAAATTAGGAGATCGGTGTCATTAAAGATGAGAAAGAGGTTTATAAATAGCAATTTGGGGCCAGGCATAGTGGCTCATGCCAGCAATCCCAGCACTTTGGGAGGCCGAGGTGGGTGGATCACCTGAAGTTGGGAGTTCGAGACCAGCCTGGCCAACATGGTGAAACCCTGTCTACTAAAAATACAAAAATTAGCCGGGTGTGGAGTCAGGTGCCTGTAATCTCAATTACTCGGGAGGCTGAGGCAGGAGAATCGCCTGAACTGTAGAGACGGAGGTTGCAGATCGTGCCATTGCACTCCAGCCTGTGCAACAAGAGCAAAACTAAAAAAAAAAAAAAAAAAAAAAAAAAAAAAGTAATTTGGGGGCGGGGCTTGCTGGCTCACACCTGTTATCCCAGCACTTTGGGAGGCTGAGATGGGCAGATCTCTGGAGTCTAGGAGTTAGAGATCAGCCTGCACAATATAGAGAAACCCTGTCTCTACAAAAAATACAAAATTTAGCTGGACTTGGTGGTGCATGCCTGTAGTCCCAGCTACTTGGGAGGCTGAGGCAGGAGAATTGCTTGAGCCTGAGGGGTGGGGGTTGCAGTGAGCCAAGATCACACCACAGCATTCCAGCCTGGATGGCACAGTGAGACTTTGTCTCAAGAAAAGAAAAAGTTTGGTAGCCTTGACGTGATTAAAGTAAGACCATTTCATGTTAATTGCCCACTGAGAGGATAACACTCAAATGAACCCAGTTTCAGATTCTCCTTTTCACATCATTATGATATCAAATATTCATCCTCTATCCAAATTCATCCCAGAAGAGTTGGTATTAAGTACTTAGCTTCTAGGAGCATTGTTATTAGGCCTGGAGCCCTTGACATTATGTATGGTGTGAAGTATATGTAAAGATGAAAAGATGACTCAAGGCAGTAGGTGTTTGCTTAAGTGAATTACTTGTGATAATTGCATGGCCTCTGTACACAAATGGAAATATCTTCATTTTAAGAATTGGGTTTGCATTGTCAACGGTGTGTGGGACAGCTCCTGAGACACCTAAAAGATATATAATAGACAAAGTAACACTGAGAGATGCTCAAAACTACTGAGTTGAAGGAGCCATACTCTAAATAGAAGACTGTAAGCATTATGATACCATGTCAACACAGCTTAATAAAAAGCTACTTTACAAAGGGAGAAATATCGTTCCTAATGTTTTCCATAGAGTCAGTGAATGAATTGAGAAGTGGATCCAGGATTTCATGTATCAGCACCATAGGTTTTATCATTTATATAATCCTTTTTTCTGTCACTGTCAAGATTTTAAAGGGGGGATTATGGTTTGACTTAAAGAGAGTAGGCAATTCAGGCATACCACACAAAGCTGTTAAATCTCAGAGGCTTGAGATTTCTTGGCTCCTTTTAAGTTTTGGAAGCAGAGCACTCCTAGGGAATGCTATTCGGAATTGGCTTCATGGAGAAAATGTAGCTTTTGGGCAGTTAGCTTTTGAAGCTGAGAGAGGATAATAGGTTGGTGAACAAGAAGGCAAAAGTTGCTTCAGGTTTGAAAAATAAAGGAGTGAGGAGGTGATAGTCTTGTGAAGACTCTCACTGTAATAGTTCTTTGCAGGACCAAGTGGTTCTCCAGATCGAGCTCAATTTTCCCCTGAGTGCATTTTCTGAGTTGTGATAAAGCCCAGGTACCCTCTTACGGAGCGACTTATCTCTTTGTGCCCAATTGCTAGGGCTGTGCTATCATCTTGGCCAACTGCCCATTTCCTTTGGGTCTGAGAGAACATTTCAATTTAAATCTGATTGTATAGATTTAGGACTTGGGGGAAAAAAAGGTATCTGGAGTGACTTTTTTTTTTTTTTTTTTTTTGAGACGGAGTCTTGCTCTTTGCCCAGGCTGGATTGCAATGGTGCAATCTCAGCTCACTGCAACCTCTGCCTCCTGGGTTCAAGTGATTCTCCTGCCTCAGCCTCTGAATAGCTGGGACTACAGGTGCGTGCCACCACGCTCGGCTAATTTTTTTTTGTATTTTTAGTAGAGATGGGGTTTCACCATGTTGGCCAGGATGGTCTCGATCTCTTGACCTCGTGATCCACCTGCTTCGGCCTCCCAAAGTGCTGGGATTATAGGTGTGAGCCACTGTGCCCGGCCAACTTTTTTCTTTCTCTGCCTCCTACTATGAGAGTTCCCATCTTTGATGGATGACTCAGAATTCAAATTACACCTAGAAGCAAACACATCAGGCTTGAGGGTAGAGAGGGAGAGAAAAGAACAACTGTCCCATCTGTGTTTCATCCTGAGTGGGAGGTTCAAATCTAGGTATTGGCAGAATGAGATAAAGGAAGGAGAGATTGAGAAAGAGTGGAAGTGGGATGGAAAGTTATTAAGGGAAGTCATTCCAGGACAGTTTTCACCCACTCAGTAGATTACAGGACGCCATGGAAGAACTGAACTACCTCGGTAGGCTGCACCTCAGGCTCTGTGCAGACTAATGTTTTTATTGCTTAACAGGTATTGAGTCACCTTGTTAAATGCCATCCCTAATATAGAGATGGGCTTATTCCTTGCCCCAAAGCTATTGGGAGCCTAGTTAGGAAGACACGTAACACACACAGGTCCCAACACCACACAAGAATGGTGCTCCTGTCATTCTATTAAGTGGCTTACCAGGTGGAATGAAGTTATCTTGCTGGGAGTCCTCTGCCAGCGAGTTCAGTCTGATGAGAAATTTGAAATTTGATGCAACCACATTGCATCAATAGTAAGGGTTTTGGGAAGGCTTCGCTTTGCTATATGTTGAGAGAGACTTGATTCTTGGCACCGAGGAGGAGAGCTAATGGCCCTCACCCTGCACGTGCTTGAGTGTGAAGTGGTTAAAACAAAATTTTCTTTTACTTTTTAATTTTAGGTGATATTTTGATAGGGTCATAAGAATAGTGTTTCCTACCTAGGCCCATTGCTAATACCACTGTATTAAGTCTTCTTAGAAGCCCATGAATTCTCTGGCTAAAAAGTCCTGGGGGCTCCCTGTGCTAGACGTAGGGGGACATATAAATGGTTTTGAATTTCAGTTTCTATGTCAGTGAGAATTCTGTGCCAGAAAAGAGCATCTGCTCTTTATTTTACAGATGAGGAAATTTAGTCCCAGAGAGAGCGTGATTTGCCTCTTCCCTTGAGATTAGCCAGCAGAGTCAATAAGAAAAATCTAGGTCTTCTGATTCAGTCCAGTGCCTTTCTCTGTATGTCGCACTGTTTCCCTCATTATCTTGAGATTTGCTGGAGCCACAGGACTGCACAATGGTTGTGCATATGTGGATTTGAGTGCCACAGCTGAATTAACTCATGTCAATCTCAGTCCCAAGCCTGTTCCCACAACACGTGGTAAATCGTCACTCCTTGTGGTCTCAGAATTGGGTGCCTGGAGGATATCATAATCACCAGGGATAGTTTTTTCTGTTGCTGCCTGGTGCACACATCTCCTCTGCCTTGACTTGTCTGAAGTCTTTCCCTCTTTGAGGCAGGGACTGAAGGGGTGGAGCCCAGCTGTGCAAGTGCAAAGGCATGCAGCCCTAAGCTGAGCCTAATTTGAGCCCATTGAGTAGTACTAATTTTGACTCATTATATTTTTGAAAATTCAGGGCATAGGTTTTTTGTTTGTTTTTTGAGACAGAGTCTCACTCTGCTGCTCAGGCTGAAGTGCAGTGGCGTGATCTCTGCTCACTGCAACTTCCGCCTCCGAGATTTGAGTGATTCTCTTCCCTCAGCCCCCCGAGTAGCTGGGATTACAGGCACGTGCCACCACACCTAGCTAATTTTTATATTTTAGTAGAGTTGGGGTTTCACCATGTTGACCAGGCTGGTCTTGAACTCCTGACCTCAGGTGATGTACCTGCCTCAGCCTCCCAAAGTGCTCGGATTACAAGCGTGAGCCACCGTGCCCAGCCCAGGGCATAGTTTTAAGGCAAACGTAGTTGTGGTTTTAAGAACGCCGGTTTGAGGTGCACTGAGACTGAGCAGGGAGGGGTATTTGTTACTGTGGACCTGGTGATGAGGACTCCCTTATGTCTTCTCTGAGCTAGAACTTCTCTTTTGAATTGGCTTCATGCTTCAAACTCATGACCTCTCTTACCTTATTGGTTGGCAGGTTTTGTGCAATGGATTTTATCAGTAAGGAACTGAATTTAAATCTTGCAATTAGATAATGTGATTACTTAAGGGGACTTTCACTATTTTAGGCCGGGACTCCAATCAAATAAATCCCAGGCCCTGCCCAATCTATGTGCTCAAAATTTTCGAGTTTTCAGTTGTGATGGGTCACCCTCTGTATATTCTTACTGTAGTACACAATGCAAAATGTATCAAGATAATTAACTGATTTAGGTGTTCACAGTGCTATTATGGAACATTACTTCTTTTAGTGTGACACGCATTAGGCTCTATCACTTGTGTCATGCTAGCCTGATTAGCACCTCTTCCTAGGGCTGTACGCTGACTCTTATTTTTTTTGAGACGGAGTCTCGCTTTGTCACTCAGGCTGGAGTGCAGTGGCACAATCTTGGCTCACTGCAACCTCTGCCTCCTGGGCTCCAGCAATTCTCCTGCCTCTGCCTCCCGAGTAGCTGGGATCACAGCCACCATGCCCGGCTAATTTTTGTATTTTTAGTAGAGACAGGGTTTCACCATGTTGGCCAGGCTGGTCTTGAACTACTGTCCTCGAGTGATCCGCCCACCTTGGCTTCCCAAAGTGCTGGGATTACAGGTGTGAGTTACCGCACCCGGCCCCCTGACTCATTTTTAGAGAAGAAATGTTCTGTTTTCTAGAAGCATTTTCTAACTTCTCAAGGGGCCAACCGAAGTTTACTTTCGTTGTTCTTCTGTACGTGTGCCTGGTTTCCTAAAGCCCTTTGCTTGGGAACAGCTCACTCAGTGAGGCTGCCTGGGGTGTTGCAGCCTCAGGTGTTGGTGGTGTAGGGTTTTCTGTGCTTGCCCTTCTGCCACAACTTCTGCAGTTTCTCATTTCCTGCTCTGCTCCCTGGGTCCCAGGTACTGGTCGCTCATTTGGCTTTATTGCCTATGAGAGGCTTGGGCAGGTGGCATTGCAACACCTCTGCCTTTGTTTCTTCCTTCTTCCCATGAGGGCTGGGAGAACAGGAGGGAGAGAAGGCAGAGGGGAGCACGGGTGCTGATCGCCCATTAATTTAAACACAGAGAAGGGTAACTGGAAACAGGCTTCCTTTCTGCCCCTACAAAGCCTCTTTCCTCCTCTTTTCTGCTGCAGGCCCTTAATTCCTCTTTCTTGCTTAGGTTCTATATCTTATGGGATTTTTTACTTTAGGTATATAGGGACTCTCTCAAAATGTTTCTATAGGCTGGTCTGGAAAACTAATTGCTGTTTATGATATTGTTTCTATGTGAAGCTGTCTTATGAGATCCAGATAAATTGCAAACACTCCTTAGGAATATGAACCATCTGCAAGTTTTGGTAAGTAAACATATCCTTCGTTTTTGGGTCTTTTTAAGTTTGTCTGCACTTCATTTTGGAGTCTAGAGTTGTGACATGTAGTTTTAAAGATATCAGAGGGCACAAAGTGTATTCTTTCCTGGCATTAAATCTCATTTGCCACCTCCCCGCACTTCTAAGATCTCTACGTTTTCCTTTCCATGGGTGTCTTTCAGAGGATCATATTTTGGTCTTTGGATAATTCTGCTTTCGGAATACAGCATGTGGCTGGGGACTTGCTTTAAAGTGCTATGCAGAGTTTTCTCCTTTTAGAGTGCATTATTTTTCCCCCTTGGTTGACTTCACTAAATACTGCAAACCCAAGAAGAGTCCCATGGTTGCAGATCTGGTATTGATTATCATTAATTCTTCTCTTTATGACTTTGCCACTTAAATACACGTTTAGAAACAAACTAAATAAACATTAAATGGCATAACTAGATTTTGGACTTGGGTGGTCCAGTGAGTTTCAACATATGCTTAGCTTTGAAAGGTGGTTATAAAAACACTCCATTTAACTACCCCATTAAATGATTGGGATATATTTTTAAAGATTTTTAAATGTATGAGTTCAGATATTTTTAAAAAGAAAGTTGGAATTATTTATAATTTATTGTCATACAAATTAGCTGAAAAGGGAAAGTAAATTTTGCTTATATGGATGCTTAGTCTCTGTGTTTCAGTTTGGCTGGTTGATTGATTGGTCTCTAGCTGTGTGGCTTTGGTGAAGTCACTCAACTCTCTGAGCTTTGGTCTCTTCAGTTGTAACAGAGAATATTTCCCAGTTGATTCCCAGGCTCTGTCCCACTTTGGAAATGCTAGAACTCTGCAATTCTGTGAATTTAAAAGTTGATATTTAAAATAATCATGTGAAGCAGAAGGTATACTGTCTACTTAGCCATGGAAGTGGGGAGATGGCAAGTTCTGGAATGATCAAAAAAGGTTTAGGAATAGTGTATGATCCTGAGCCTTGTCTCCAAAGTCAATCCTTTTTTGTTGCCCTGTTTATTGAACTGTACGTACGGTTGGGACAATAGATGGGGCATCTGGAAAAAATATTAAAAAAAAAAATGTATGGGCAGAGACGATGCCTCAGGACCTTAAATGTGCTGTCATACAGTGTTCAGTGATGTTGCTGTTAAATGCAGTGCTCTGTGACTCAGCCCTATTAGAAGCATTTTGGATTTGGCCCAATGGTGTTTTGGCGGTTTTTGGATTATGTGTTAGGAGTCAGAGCGTCTAGAGTAATTCTTGGCATTGGATCATCATGGCGGACAGGAAGCAGGACTAGATTGCAGCTCCAGACAGAGCAGCTTGCGGAAACTTGCACTACGAATTTTAGCTGCAGATCGACTGCAAGAAAAAACCAGCAATCCCGAGAGGACCCACAGACCCTCTGAAGGAAGTGGACTGCTCCTGCAGGAGTCAGGAGACACCCTAAATACTGTGAGTGCTCTAACTGTGGAAGTGGGAAAGGGAGACCCTCCTCTCCTAAACACACCCCCGCTGGAGCTGAAGGTCTGTTTGTGGGAGAAGTTTCTGACTTTACCTGCAGCTGAGTCACTTTAGAGAACTGAGTGAAATACAGGGGTAGAGGAAGCAGCAGAAAGGCCCTGGGAGCTCACTGTATCCCTTAGCAGGCCATTCCTGCCTGGCATCACAGAGATCCATTGGGAGGGTGACCAGAGGAGCAGCAGGTAAAACTCCACAGGGAGAAGGAACTCTCCGAGCTGAACTTTGTAACAATTTGAACAGGACCAGAAGCCTGGTCAGAACTTGGGGGAGGGTGCAAAACTAGTGTGTAGACACCACAGGCGGGGGAAGAACCAAGCTTTTTCTTTTGCAGCTGGGAGGTAGGTAGCCCAGGGCAAGTTTTCAAGCCCATCCTGCCCTGCGCCTGGAAACAGACTCGGGGCTGTTTCCAGATATCAGGGCAGGGGGCATGATGGGAGTGAGGCTGGCCCTTCACTTTGTGTGGGAGCTGGGTAAGACCTGTGACTGCCGGCTTTCCCCCACATTCCTGACAACCTGCATGACTCAGCAGAGGGAGCCATGATCCTCCTAGGTACACAACTCCAGTGACCTGGGAATCTCATCCCCATCCCTCACAGCAGCCACAGCAAGACCTGCCCAAGGAGAGTCTGAGCTTAGACACACCTAGCCCTGCCCCCGCCTGATGATCCTTCCCTACGCAGGTTGGTAGCAGAAGATAAAGGACATATAAGCTTGGGAGTTCTAGGGCTGGTCCCTCTCTATGCAACTATAGCTGATACTGTCTGGAAAGTGCCACCTGCCAGCAGGAGGCCAACCAGCAAAAAAACAGAGCATTAAACCACCACAGCTAAGGATCCCCACGGAGTCCATTGCACCCTCTACCACCTCCACTGGAACAGGCGCTGGTATCCACCGCTGAGAGACCCATAGATGGTTCACATCACAAGACTCTGTGCAGACAACCCCCAGTACCAGCCCAGAGCCAGGTAGACTCGCTGGGTGGCTAGACCCATAAGAGAGACAACAATCCACTGCAGTTTGGCTCACATGGAACCACATCCATAGGAAAAGGGGGAGAATACTACATCAAGGGAACACCCCGTGGGACAAAAGAATCTGAACAATAGCCTTCAGCCCTAGACCTTCCCTCTGACAGAGCCTACTCAAATGAGAAGGAACCAGAAAGCCAACCTTGGTAATATAATAAAACAAGGCTCTTCAACACCCTCAAAAAAATCACACTAGTTCACCAGCAATGGATCCAAACCAAGAAGAAATCCTTAATTTACCTGAAAAAGAATTCAGGAGGTTAGTTATTAAGCTAATCAGGGAGGGGCTAGAGAAAGGGGAAGCCCAGTGCAAGGAAATCCAAAAAATGATACAAGTGAAGGGAGAAATATTCAAGGAAATAGATAGCTTAAAGAAAAAAAAAATCAAAAATTCAGGAAACTTTGACACACTTTTAGAAATGTGAAATGCTGTGGAAAGTCTCAGCAATAGAATTGAATAAGTAGAAGAAAGAAATTCAGAGCTCCAAGACAAGGTCTTCGAATTAACCCAATCTAACAAAGACAAAGAAAAAAGAATAAGAAAATACGAATAAAGTCTCCAAGAAGTCTGGGATTATGTTAAATCACTAAACTTAAGAATAATCGATGTTCCTAAGGAAGAAGAGAATTCTAAAAGCTTGGAAAACATATTTAGGGGAATAATTGAGGAAAACTTCCCCGGCCTTGCTAGAGACCTAGACATCCAAATACAAGAAGCACAAAGAACACCTGGAAAATTCGTTGCAAAAAGATCATTGCCTAGGCACATTGTCATCAGGTTATCTAAAATTAAGACAAAGGAAAGAATCTTAAGAGCTGTGAGACAGAAGCACCAGGTAACCTGTAAAGGAAAACCTATCAGATTAACAGCAGATTTCTCAGCAGAAACCCTACAAGCTAGAAGGGATTGGGGCCCCATCTTCAGCCTCCTCAAACAAAACAATGACCAGCCAAGAATTTTGTATCCGGTGAAACTTAGCATCATATATGAAGGAAAGATATAGTTGTTTTCAGACAAACAAATACTGAGAGAATTCGCCATTACCAAGTCACAACTAAACTGCTAAAAGGAGCTCTAAATCTTGAAACAAATCCTGGAAACACATCAAAACAGAACCGCTTTAAAGCATAAATCACACAGGACCTATAAAACAAAAATACATGTTAAAAAGTAAAAACAAAGAACAAAAAAGCCAAGTACACAGGCAACAAAAAGCACGATGAATGCAAGGGTACCCCACATTTCAATACTGACATTGAATGTAAATGTCCTAAATGCTCCACTTAAAAATACAGAACCCCAGAATAGATAAGAACTCACCAACCAACTTTCTGCTGCCTTTAGGAGATTCACACAACACATAAGGACTCATACAAACTTAAAGTAAAGGGGTGAAAAAAGGCATGTCATGCAAATGGACACCGAAAGTGAGCAGGGGTAGCTATTTTTACATCAGACAAAACAAATTTTAAAGCAACAGCAGTTAAAAGAGGCAAAGAGGGACATTATATAATGATAAAAGGCCTTGTCCAACAGGAAAATATCACAATCCTAAACATATATGCACCTAATACTGGAGTTTCCAAATTTATGAAACAATTACTAATAGACCTAAGAATGAGATAGACAGCAACACAGTAATAGTGGGGGGCTTCAGTATTCCACTGATAGCACTAGACAAGTCATCAAGACAGAAAGTCAACAAAGAAAGAATGGATTTAAGCTATACCTTGGAACAAATGAACTTAACAGATATTTACAGAACATTTCATCTGGCAACCGCAGAATACACATTTTATTCAACATCGCATGGGATTTTCTCCAAGACAGATCATATGATAGGCCACAAAACAAGCCTAAATAAATTTAAGAAAATTGAAACTATATCAAGCACTCTCTCAGACCACAGTGGAATAAAACTAGAAATCAACTCCAAAAGGAACCTTCAAAACCATGCAAATACATGGAAATTAAATAACCTGCTCCTGAATGAGCATTGGGTCAAAAACGAAATCAAGATGGAAATTTAAAAATTCTTCAAACTGAATGACAATAATGACACAACCTATCGAAACCTCTGTGATACAGCAAAGGCGGTGCTAAGAGGAAAGTTCATAGCCCTAAGTGCCACATCAAAAAGATTGAAAGAGTACAAACTGACATGCTAACGTCACACCTCAAGCAACTAGAGAAACAAGAACAAACCAAACCCAAACCCAGCAGAAGAAAGGAAATTACCAAGATCAGAGCAGAACTAAATGAAACTGAAACAAACAAACAAAAAATGCAAAAGATAAATAAAACAAAAAGCTGGTTCTTTGAAAAGATAAATAAAATTGATAGAACAGCAAAATTAACCAAGAATAGAGAAAATCCAAATAACTACACTAAGAAACGAAACAGGAGATATTACAACTGACACCACTGAAATACAAAAGATCATTCAAGGCTACTATGAACACCTCGACACACATAAACTAGTAAACCTAGGAGAGATGGGCAAATTCCTGGAAAAATACAACCCTCCTAGCTTAAATCAGGAAGAATTAGATACCCTGAACAGACCAATAACAAGCAGCGAGATTGAAATGGTAATTAAAAGATTACCAACAAAAAAAAAGTCCAGGACCAGACGGATTCAGAGCAGAATTCTATCAGACATTCAAAGAAGAATTGGTACCAATCCTTTTGACACTATTCCACAAGATAGAGAAAGAAGGAACCTTCCCTAATTCATTTTATGAAGCTAACATCACCCTAATACCAAAACCAGGAAAGGTCATAATCATAAAAGAAAACTGCAGACCGATATCCTTGATGAACATTGATGTTAAAATTCTTAACAAAATACTAGCTAACTGAATCCAACAACATATCAAAAAGATAATTCACCATGATCCAAGTGGGTTTCATACCAAGGGTACAGGGAAGGTTTATATATCCAAGTCAATAAATGAGATATACCACATAAACAGAATTAAAAACAACAATCACATGATCATCTCAATAGATGCAGAAAAAGCATTTGACAAAATCCAGCATCCTTTATGATTAAAACTCAGGCCAAGCACGGTGGCTCACGC